>NC_000008.11:22284345-22587375 GCF_000001405.40 Homo sapiens | reverse complement strand
TTTTTTAAAGAGATGGGGGTTTCACTATGTTGCCCAAACTGGTCTGGACTCCTGGGCTCAAGCAATCCTCCCGCCCCAGCCTCCGGAGTAGCTGGGGCTCCAGGCACATGTCACAGCACCCAGCTACACAGTGATTCTCAAAAGGCAGCTGTGGGACCCTGAGACTTGTGCACCCGTGGGACCACAGCCTCATTTGTAGACTAGAACGTCAGCTCCATAGGGTCAGAGGTGTCACTCTGTTTTTCCACGATTGCATCCCCAGAGCCCAGATGAGTGTCTGACATGAAGCAGCTGCTCGACAAATATTTGCCGAAGGAATGAGCAGAGTCATCAAGGTCAGAGAAGGGAACTCAGAGCGTCTAGTCTGACCTGAGGCCCAGGGAGAGGAAGGGGGGCTGGTCCAAGTCGTCAGGCAGAGGTGGGACCGACCCAAGTGAGTCTCCCCACACCCAGCTCTGGGCTCGTGACCCACAAGCCCCATGCCCAATTCAGCGGGTGTAGGCTGGAGCCTGGGAAGTTGCATTTCCAACAAGTTCTCAGGTGTTGCCGCTGGTTTGGGAGCCATGCCTCTGTACCTCCCACACCCTTCATTTTCCTGGACTGGGGGCAACACGATGGGGAAGCTCGGGAAGGCTTGCCCTTGAGCACGTGGGTCCTGCTGAGACCACAGCCCACCAGAGGTGTCGCGGAACAGAGCCAGGACTGACACTGACCAGCCCTCTTGAAACAAGCTCATTCCTGGCTCATCTCAGAACAAAGGTTCCCCCTAAAAAATCCCCCAGCCCCAATACATCAGCCGTCGCCCGGACCAGTGTTTCTCCATCTCCCAGCATGTCGGGCCTCCTGCTCATCCTTCCCTAAACCCTCTCACCACCACCTCTAACGTCCAGCAATACTCCTCACACAGCCTTCCTTCCCCTCCCCTCCCAGAACGCCTCCTGCTTTTGTAATTAATACCACACTGCTTAGTGCCTAATTGCTCCAAAATTGTTTTGCAAGTTTGCCTTATCTCTACAACTGCATCTTCAATTCCTTAACAAGGGGACCCATGGAATATATCTCTATGGCCACAGTGCCAGGCTGGCCTCTGGGTGGGCACGCAGCGGGTCACTAGGCAGCCGCTGTTCGGAAGGCCCCCAGAAAGATCCTGCTCCTTCCTCCTCCAGAGCCTCTGGGTTCTAGTGCCCTCCCTGGCCACCCCCAAAGGCTCTGCTTTCTGGAATGCAGAATCAACCCAAAGGTAGGGCTCAGCAGCTGGGCCATATCCCCATCACCCCAAAGGCTGGACGTGCCCCCCACGCCGTCCCCAGCAGCTGCGGCCCAGGGCTGTTGGCTGCCTCACTCCCTCACCATCCCCCACCGTTGAAGAGGAGAAATACCACCCAGGAAGGGGGTTAGGCTGTCACCAGGGGCCACTGGGACCTGGCTGAAAGAGAGTCCAGGGGAGCTGGCGGGGGTAGGGGGAGGAGGAGACAGAATAAGCCAAGAGCGCTCAAGGCAGAACCGCAGTCCCACTGGGGCATCTCTGGGCTGAGTCAGAGGAGGAAGGGAGGGTGTGGGTGGGAGTCAGGCAGGCCCGGGTCTTGGAATGGGGAGGAATGTGTTCGAGAGATGCAGCCAGAGACGAAAGGGAATCATCCCAACAACAGCAGCGAAACTATTTCAGCCACAGCCCAAGAGAAACATACTGGGCAGGGAGGAAGTCAGCAGGATGGGAGGGGAGGGGGATGAGGGGAGGGGTGCAGGAGATGGACGGGCTACTGGGCACTGCTGGGCAGGTCTTGGGCACAGCACAGGTGGCCCACGACCAGAAGCATGGCCTCCCTGGCTCAGGAGCAGAGCATGCCTGTGGCCAGGAGAAGGAGGCCATGGCTGCCCAGGTGGGCCTGGCCGCCTGCAGTCCCGGGGCACTGGCAACCCACAGGAACGGGAGGTGCTTCTGTTCCTCCAGCCTGTCCTCCCCCAGGGAGCCTCACCTGTCGGCTTCCAGGGCGGCCTGAGTAGGACAGGCGGTCAGCAGCGGGGAGGCCCGGGGAACATGCCAGACTCTGGAAGCTGAAAGTGGGAAAGGGACAGTGTGTGCCAGGGCCACCCCCAGCCTGCCCAGGGAGGATGCTGCCCCGGGCTCCCAAGCAGAGCTCCTGAGACTCAGAGGAGCCAGCCTGGAGCTGGCAGCGCAGGCGACCAGGGTACCCACTCACAGGCACACTCACCTGCGGCTGATGGCTGCCTCTCCAGTGAGGGAGCTGCTAGAGGGTGGTGGTGAGAAGGGGCTGCCGGCCCTCGGGCTGAGGGAGGTTGGGCTGGAGTAGGAGGACCTTAAGGAGGACTGACTCTCAGTGTATGTCCTCACGGAGCCCTGTGGAGAGAGTGACTGTGTCAGGAAAGGCAGGGCTGCCCCGCCAAGGCCGCCCTGCCCTCGGGCCTCACTTTCATGCACCAGTGATCAGGGTGCTGAGGCTGTCAGGGGAGGGCACCAGCTTACCTGGAAGCGAGTCGCCAGCACTTCCAAGGAGCTGTCCCCATTGGTCTGCCCTGGAGACGTAGCCTGAGACCTGAGAAGGCAACAGAGGGAGGGAATGTCACAGGGGCCCTGCACCCTGCAACCCCCAAAAGAGGCCAAAACTGTTCCCAGATCTAGTTCTCAACACCAGTAAAAGCTACAGAAAATTTGGACATCCGGTTGTCAACTTTTAACTTTGTCAAACTCAAGACAAACAACTATCATCAATGACAACCATGGTTCCTTAAAAGAAAGGACAGTTGGCCAGGCACATTGACCCACGCCTATCATCCCAACGCTTTGGGAAGCCAAGGCAGGAGGATCACTTGAGCCCAAGAGTTCAAGACCAGCCTGGGCAACATAGGAAGACCTCATGACTACTAAAATTTTTTTTTAAGTAGCTGCACATGGTGGTGCATGCCGGTAGTCCCAGCTACTTGGGAGGTTGAGGTGGGAGGATCGCTTGAGCCCAGGAGATGGAGGTTGTAGTGAGCCGTGATTGTGCCACTGCCTTCCAGCCTGGGCAACACAGCGAGATTCTGTCTCAAAAAAACACCAAGGCCGGGCACGGTGGCTCACGCCTGTAATCCCAGCACTTTGGGAGGCCAAGGAGGGTGAATCTCTTGAAGTTAGGAGTTCCAGACCAGCCTGGTCATCAACAAGGTGAAACCCCATCTCTAATTAAAAAAAAAAAAAAAAAAATTTAGCCAAGCCATAGTGACGCATGCCTGTAACACCAGCTACTTGGGAGGCTGAGGCAGGAGAATTGCTTGACCCAGGGAGGCAGAGGTTACAGTGAGCCAAAATTGTACCACTGCACTCCAGGCTGGGCGACAGAGTGAGACTCCATCTCAAACGACAGTAACAACAGCAAAACCCACCCCAAAAAAAGAAAGGATAGTTTGGTTCTAAAAAGTAGAACGTACATAACTTCATCAGAAAGTTCAAACATTCAGTTTTATTAGAGAGTCCTCACATTATCCTGCCCTTTTTTTTTTTTTTTTTTTTTTTTTTTTTTCTATTTTGCCTGGACTTTGTCACTGATATCACTCAGCCTCGGGTTTGTAGATTGATTTGGGGGAAGATTACTGATTTTTTTGTTTTTTGAGATGGAGTCTCGCTCTGTCACCCAGGCTGGAGCGCAGTGGTGCAATCTCGGCTCACTGCAACCTCCACCTCCTGGGTTCAAGCAATTCTCCCTGCCTCAGCCCCCCAGGTAGCTGGGACTACAGGTGCCCACTAGCATGCCCGGCTAATTTTTGTATTTTCAGTAGAGACGGGGTTTCGCCGTATTGGCCAGGCTGGTCTTGAACTCCTGACCTCAGGTGATCCGCCCGACTCGGCCTCCCAAAATGCTGAAATTACAGGTGTGAGCCACTGCGCCCGGCCTGATTACTGATTTCATAGAAATAATCCTTTATATTTTAACCCATGGAGAAACTGAAACCCAGAGAGGGAAAGTGAGCTGCCTCAAGTTCTAGAGCCCACGGTGACTGGGCCAGCTGTGCACCCTGCCCACTGGAGGCCAGGGTGCCTTTGAGCGCGTCACTCCTGATCCCTTTCTCAGGGGTCTCCCCAGTTAAACAAAGGGCGAGACCCGCCTGCCTCCTTCCAGACAAGTAGGCCCAGCTCCCCACCAGCGAGAGGGGCACGCCCTCCCAGCTCCCTGGGTACCCTCTTCCAAAGTGGAACCCAGCTGGAGCCCTGAATGGGAGGTAACTGAAGTCTGGGCTGAGGGACAGCCTGCCTCGTCCCATCTTGCCACACATTCCTGGCCGTGAGGCTGCCTCTAGAGATGTAGGGCAACAGGACCCTCCGCTTCCTGGGAGAGCCATGGGATCAGGGTGAGGAGAGCTCAGTCTCTGGCTCCAGCCTGGAGCCCTGCTTCCTGCCCCAGGGCTTCTGAATACCAGAGAGGTCACCTGGGAGGGTAGGAGGCGGGAGATGGGGGCGGGGGGGGGGGTGGGCATCACGTCAGCAAAAGTAAGGAGACTGGGCCGGGCGCGGTGTAATACCTGTAATCCCAGCACTTTGGGAGGCTGAGGCAAGTGGATCACGAGGTCAGGAGATCGAGACCATCCTGGCCAACGTGGTGAAACCCCATCTCTACTAAAAATACAAAAATTAGCTGGGCGTGGTGGCACGCGCCTGTAGTCCCAGGTACTCAGGAGGCTGAGTCAGGAGACTCTCTTGAACCCGGGAGGCAGAGGTGGCAGTGAGCCGAGATCACGCTACTGCACTCCAGCCTGGCAACAGAGCGAGACTCTGTCTCAAAAAAAAAAAAAAAAAAAAAATTAAGAGACTGGAGTCTGGGCTTGCCTGGTGCAGAACCAGAGGCCTGACTTACAGCCCAGGCCTACCTCCCCCGAGCCCTGGTCCCTCCAGAGAACCCCAGAGGAAGAGACAGTCCGAGGCTCCTGCCCTTCCGCTGCCAGACCCTCAGCCTCCTGTAGCTTTCTGCCCCATTCCCAGATGCCATGAGGTGCTCTCTACCCTCCTTCTTGGGGTCCCGCTCCTGCAAACACCCAGGGACCTGAATGACATGAAGGGAGCCGGCTTCTGCCACACCACAGGGCAGGGCAGTTGGAGAAGGAGGGGCTTGGTAGGGCTGAAGAGAGCAGGACAATGTGGGGGTGGCCAGGATGCAAGAGGTGTCTGACTCAGGTTCTAGGCCCGTGCAGAGGGCTCTCCTGGCTCGGGGATCTCCTGGCATTCCCGATCTGTGACTCACTGCAATGCCCCACCCCAGGGAGCCACCTGTTCCCCCTATAGCTTGGCCTCCAGGCCCCACCCTGGCCCCACCTTGGCTTATAGGCTCAAAACCCTAGGAGTAACCCAGGATCGGGCATCTGCCTTCAGTGATGGGGAGGAACAGACAGCCTCTATGAGGAATGAGCCCCCCAAGTCCTCACTTCCAGCTGGGAACTAAACAAAGGCCATGCCCTGTTGGAAGCAGGAGTCCTGGGGATGCAGCCTCGGGCATACCTTTCCCAGAAGGTTCCCCTCTTCAACCCACTTCATGCCCACGCCCTGTGCCCTGCACACTCTTGGGAACCAGTCAAACCCGGGCTTCAAGGTGGCTGGTGCCAGCTCGCCCTGCCCAGCCTGTGACTGCACGCCCAGCCTGGCGCCCACCTTTACCCAACCAGGCATGGGAACACCCCTCAGCCCACCCTGCTGCAGGAAGCAGAGCCCAGGACCTTCTCACCAAGGTGTGGAGAGGGCCCAAGAAGGCCGCTTTAGGGCTGAGCTCTAGCCCATGGGCAGGAGCAAGGGCTGCTCAATACGTGGGGTGGTGGAGGAGGGGGAATGCCACAGGCTCTGCAGAGCGGGAGGCCCTACCGGTCCAGCTGCAGCCGCAGGGGCGAGGGGCTCTGGCGGATCTTGCTCTGGGCCTCGGCATGCAGCATGCCCTCCGCGCTTTCCCCGTTGATGGCCACGATTATGTCTCCAGGCCGGAGGTCAGCGTCCTTGGCTTTGCCCCGCTCGGCCACCTGTAGGGATGAGGAGCTGGCATGCTCAGACCGTGGCCCAGCTGGAGAAGGGACTTCCCACTCTGCTACCCAAGAAACACAGAGGCTGGCTTGACCCAGGCCGGCCTGCACCCTCCTGCATGTCCCTCTGCCTGCTCATGACACCCAGCTGATCAGCCATCCCCTCCAGGAGCGCAGGTGGCAGCCCCCACCCCACACTGGCATTCTAATGGGCCTCCCAAAGAATGTGCAGTGGCAGAATTTCAGGAACTGTGCTTGGAAATACTTTTGGATAGAGAGCCTTGCCCGTGCAAATCGCACCTTGCAGGTGGCTGCCTGCACAGCCCTCCTGTGAATGTTCCCAGCCTGGGCCCAGGTCAAGAGGAGACTGCCAAGAACTCCGGGGCTCTTGTTCTAGTAATCACCCCAAATGGCTGCCTGCAAGTGTGGGGATAGCAACTGGGGAGGCAAGAGCCGGCCCTGTCCTGGTCCCAGCTCCCTTTCACTCCCAAGGTCTGTTCCTGAAGTGGCCACCACATCCCCGTGGCAAAGGGCCACGGCTCCCTTACAGCCAGCACGCCAGGCAGCAGCAGATCCCTAGCTCCAGAACAGAAAAAGCAAGCCATCTGTGCAGAGTGGGGTGAACAGGGCCGACCTCGCTTCTGGCAGGACCTTCTCATCTCTTTGAGCCACCATCCTTACCTTAGTCACCATGATGGGCGTGTGGAAATCCCTGCCCCCTGTGATACGGAAGCCCCAGGGCGCTGGCCCGGCCACATCCACCGTCAACGCCATACCTGAGGAAGAGAGGACCAGGAGGTGAAGTCCATGCCCCTAGCCGGCTCTGGGGGCACTGTAAGGCAGCAGGAGAGGAGCCAAAGGGAGAAGGAGAGGGCACCACAGCTCCCGGAGCAGCTACTCAGGGGCTTTGGGGTGGGTAGAGGAAGTGGCTAACTCCCTCCCTCAGCCCGGTTTCACTTCCCCCCACCCTGGGAAGCCATGCTTCTGGGTTCTCCCTTCCTTAGTCTTCAGCCCAGGGAGCGACTCCCAGGAGGGGGCTGCCCAGGCTGCCAGGCAGGGGGCTTGCTGGAGCATGGGGGGCAGGGGCTGGCAAGTGGAGGGGATGCCAGCACCCCCTCAGTCTCCCCTCCTCCACCATCAGGGCTCAGTCCCACTAGCGCTTGCTTCCTGTCCCCAAAACCCACAGCACACGGTACTTCCTCTCCACTCTGGGGGAGGGCTGGTGAGTGGCCTAGGGAGAGCAGGGCTCAGGAAGCAGGAGTGACGGGTCAAGGAACAGGCTGGCACCAGTACAGACTGTGTAAGTCACTGGCCAGGTGAAGGACTGGTGGGGTGAGGCCGAGTCTTCACATGGGCCTCCTAGCTGCCCACCTCGTTCTTGGCAAAGTGGATCACACGGGCAAGACCGGGCTCCCCACCTCCCCCAGGGGCCGGCTGCCAGGGCAAGGAGGCCAGGGTTCATCTGTCAAGCTGGACACACCCACCCCCAGATTCCTGATGCTGCCCGACAGACAGCCGGGGTGACAGGCCTCCCATCCACAGCCCCTCCGCTGGGCAAGGAAGTGCCCTTGCAGACAGACCCCTGTGGGATTTCCTGAGCCTCTAGCTCTGGAGCCAGGAGCCAATCCAGGCAGGAAGCCGCGGTGCCAGGCTGGGCACCACCCTGCCCAGCACCCATCCTGGGGCTGCCCTGGGGACGCAAGTGCTGCGAGAATCTATCAAGAGCACCAGCGGTCTGTCCGCTCCATCCCCGGCTGCCTTCCCCTTGGGCCCAGGCCTAGCCTCTGTTCCCAGCACCGCCCCCACCCCAGTCCCCGAGGCCGGCTCGCGGCCGCCCCGAGATTCCCAGACCTTTGAGCCGGTCAGTGGACTCCGCGCTGCGGGCGCCGCGGGGAGGTGCCCAGCCCGATGGCCCGGCTCTACCAGTTCTGGAGCCTCCTTCGCTCCGAGGGCAAAGTACCCTGCGGGCTGGGGGCTGGAGGAGGAGCGCTCCGGCCGGGGAGAGCGCAGCTCGCGGGGGCGCCCCCGCTGATGCGAGGCTCCAGGGAGCTGGGCCGCGGACGAGGCCAGGGTTCCGCGCCGACAGGGGCGCGGAGAGGAGCCCGGCGCCGGGGAGGGCGGGCCGCGCGGAGAGGCGCAGGTGGGCGCGCTCACCTGGCTGCCGCTCACCTGTCCGGCTGGGCGCCCAGGCCCGGGAGGGAGGGAAGGCGGGGAGACGCCACCGCTCCCGCTGCCGTCTACCCGACTCTGGGGAGAGCCCGCCCGGGGCTCCCGGACCTGCCTCCGCCCATGTGATCCCGGGGCCGCCCCTGCCGCCGCCCCTAGCCCGAGAAGCCGCCGCCTCCGCGCGGCGAGCCCAGGCGCTGCCACCTGGCCCGAGCCCGCCGGGGGGATGAGGCAGGCTGTCCCCAGGGCCCCCTGCAGGCTGCGACCGTCCAGCCGGTGGTGCCCGCATCCTCCCCGGAGCGCCCGCAAGCCCCCGACTGCCCGGAGCACAGCAGAGCCGGTCCAGGGACTGCCCCGCGCCCCACTTCGCAGACGATCGAGGGGGCAGCCCCATAAAGCTCTCCCACGCCGGCCGCGCTCTCCCGCCCCGCATCCCCAGGTCCTGGGCAGGGTGGGCTGCCTGGGTGTGTCTGCGGTCCGCCTGGCTCCTCCACCCACTCCAGGCTGGGAGGCTGGCGCAGATGCGGCCTTGACACCCACAAATCCCAAACCAAGGCCACCCTCCTGCCCGCCAACTCCCTTCCTGAACGCTGGCTTCTCGGCAGCGCAGAACTTCTCTGCCTGGAATGCCCGCAAAGGGGGACCCGCAGGGGCCCTAGGAGATGGAGAGAGCCTCCTGGCTAGGGGTTCACTGGGCACCCCCACCCCTGGGCTGGTACCTTCCCGTTCCCGTGGGCCCTCACCTCATCCTCTCTGCAGGTCTTCACCCCGCTTCCTGCCCCCTCCCTTGTCCTCTTTCAAGCACCTGAAGCCCAGGCTATAAGGATGAGGAGAGGGCAGCCAAGGAGGGGACCCCGGTGCCAGCTCGGGGAGGAGAAGCCGTACCTGGCAACCCTCTCTCCGGGGACCTCAAGGCCATAGAGCCGCCTCTCGTTGGGTCTCCACTTGGCCTCTGGCTGCCAGGCTGCTGTGTTTTCAGGGGATCACACCTGTGGGCGCAGCTGTGCCTCGCCTGCCTCAGGTGTGACTCATTCCCTCCACGCTCACTCTGTGAAGAGTGCCCTCCCCACGCCCCTCACCTGTCTGTGCCCGCGTCTCAGCCTCCTTGCGTTCACACTCTGGCCCCCCTCCTCCCACAGACCGTCCTGGGTGTGTGTAAACTCCTCTCCCACGGGCTGGTCTCCGGCCTCCCGGCATGACCGCCTGGCCTGACGTACCTGCTCTGCCTCCCTGACTAGACTGGAAGCCCCTTGAGGGGAGAGGCAACTACAGGCAGGGTGAGCACAGCCCCGGGGGCACACAGACCTAGCCCCAAGTGCACAGCTGCGTCTCACCGGCTGTGTGACCTTCAGCAACCTCCTCGGCTCCTCCGGGCCTCAGTTTCCCCATGTGGAAAATGGGGATAATGTGCTGCTTACCGTCTTGTTGTAAAAATTGCTTGGCCACAAGCAAAAGCCAAGGATGGCACAGAGGTGTCAAACAGAGTCCCTGCCTCAAATGGGGTGGGGACTTCTGGGAAGGGACCCAAAGGAAGGGAAGTTCATCCATTCAATTCTTCCACACAATCATTCCAATAACATTCATTCAGTGAATACTGAGTGCCAGGCACCGTGCTTGCCTCTGGGAATGGAGAGTGAATCAAACACAAGCCCATCATTTCCTCAGAGAGCCCCTCCTGCATGCCTTGGACAGACTCTACAAATAGCCCCAGGTTCATCTGGCAGGGCTTTCTGATGGGTGGGTTGTGAATTCACAAAACCCACCACAAAGACAAGTCAGCGAACCCAGGCAGGGCACGCCTCTGTGGCACAGAAGGGGACATGTCCTGCTCATAGCCTCTCTGTGGCCCTAGGTAAGCCACATCACTGCCCTCCCCTCTCTCATGGGTGAGCCATCTCCAGCAGCCTCTGATCCTCCCTTCACCTCCCCAATCAGGCCAAGTCGAGGCACAGAAGCATCTTTCAGGCAGGACCGTGGTGCAGGCAGCCCAGGGTTGGAGGGTTTGTTAGCTGCGGGAAGTGCCAGCGCTCCATCAAAGAGAGGGCATGGAGTTGGTCTCTGTCCCAGGGAGAGGAGGCCTCAGCCCTGATATGTTTTATGAGGGAATCAGGGAGTTCATGAAAAAAGAGCTGGGATGGGGGAATGGCAACCAGGCCAGTGGGTTCTGAGGAATGGTTGTTTCCAGGCCAGGATGGGCTGGACCTGCCCATTTAGAACCAAACCAGGGTGAGGATGGAGGTGGATGGAGGACTCGTTCTTCCAGCTGCTGTTGAACCCCTGCTGGGTCAGGCCGCACCCAGGTTCAAGAAACCAGCCAGGGCTAGGCCACTGCCCTGTCAACCACGAGCCCCTCCCCTCTGTCCTGACAGAACTGGGCACCACCACCTTTCACTCCAGCCACCACCTCTTCACACCTGTCTCAGGTGACAGGCCTAGAAGACAGGATTGCCAGGAAGAACATAAAAGCGGCCCAACCTGGGCCGCCCTAGAGAAGTCCCTGACCTCACACATGACCTTCCTTCTCCAAGGGCCTGGACGAGGGCCCTGGACGAGGGCTGCCTGGGCATTTGGTAGATTTCAGGAAGTGAGGTGGACCTGACTTCAGCATTTAATAATGATGTGAGCTAGACAACTTAATTTCTCAGAGGCTGGGTCTCTCCCCCTGTAAAATGGAATCATGACCTGCCATCGTGAGGCTCATGTTAGGTAACACACGGAGAGGCCCTGGTGCCCTGCTCACCTCTCAGCAGCAGCCGAGAAACGGAGCTTCCTTTCTTGGCAGAGTGGCCATGCCTGGACTGTGCCACCACTGCCACCCCACAGGGACCTGCAAGCTCCAGGACTATAAAACCTTGTTCAAGGTTGGGCGCGGTGGCTCACGCTTGTTATCCCAGCACTTTGGGAGGCCGAGGTGGGTGGATCACCTGAGGTCAGGAGTTCGAGACCAGCCTGGCCAACATGTGAAACCCCATCTCTACTAAAAATACAAAAATTAGCTGGGCATGGTGCCGCAACCCTGTAATCCCAGCTACTCAGGAGGCTGAGGTGGGAAAATTGCTTGAAGCCGGGAGGCAGAGACTGCAGTGAGCCGAGATCGGGCCACTGCGCTCCAGCCTGGGCGAAAGAATGAGACCCCATCTCACACAGAAAAAAAACAACAAAAAACAAACAAACAAACAAAACACCCTTGTTCAAGAGGAGTTTTGGCTGGCTGTGCTTGACCACTCCCAGCTTCCCGCAAAGGATTGCTCAAAAGCCTGAGCCCAAAGAGGAGAATAAACACACACACACACACACACACACACACACAAGGGCTTCGGTGTGGAAACAGAGCACACAGAAGGAAAACAGCAGAATAGTTAGAAATGTCATCTAGCCCAGCAACCCCACGGTGGCAGCTCCAGAATCAAAACAGTCTGCAAACAAGGCCACATTCAGTCCCCCATCTCTGGTGTCTCCCTGCTACCAGGGCCTGGCACTGTTCATTCTCCCAGCACTTCTTGCCACACAGCTGCCCAATTGTGGGGGCTGCCGCAACCTGCCTGACACCCAAGGGCAGAGATCTTTGGAGGTAATAATGGTGTTTTTCCATCCTCCTCCTCTTACACACACACCTGTCCCACCTGTCTCCCAGCACAGCCCTCCACAGAAGGAATTCCCATCTCCTAGACAGGAGGAGGCATCCCCTACCCCAAGGAAAAGGCCGCAGAGACAAGGTCCCTTGTGTCCAGGTTTATTTTACATTCTCTTCCAGAGGGGATGTGGGGCTGGGGGAGAGCCAGCAGGCAGGCGGGCAGCACACAGCAGTCTCCCTGGGGAATATTTGAGCCAGGCTAGTGGTGCCTGGCCCCACAGTGCGGGGTGATATGCCAGGGCCAGGGCCAGGACTTGGCAGCCCCTGGGAAGAGGAGGCCTTGGGGCCAGAGCTCTTGCCAGGCCTAGATCGCTAAGAAGGTGCTGCGTCTGTCCCCCGCCTTGCTCCGCCCCCCCACACCCAGCTGGAGGCCAGAAGGCAAAGAGGGCAGCCAGCAAGCTGGGGTGCTGGGAGGAACCCCAGCAGGCGGGGGCGGCCTTTGGTCTCTACGAGGCTAGGAAGCTGGTTCTGGTTAGAGGAACCCCGTGGGGGCAAAGCGGAGAGCTGGTCCCTGTTAGAGGAAACGCTGGAGCAGGATGGGGGTGGGGGACTTGGGGTCTGGTCTCAATAAGGCCTGGAAATGGTCTCCGCTTCAAAGCAGACCTCTGTATTTGGGGAGTGGGGTGGGGAGGAAATGAAAGGGCTGTGGGAGGAATGCCTGTGAGTCGTGGGTGGGAATCAGTCCAGGGGGCTTCGAGGGGGGTCCGAGGGAAAGGCTGCGGGGGTCGTCTGCAGATGCTGGGAGCTCAGGTCCTGGGGAAGGAGGATGTGGGCGGGGGTCCTCTCCCTCCCACGAGTGCCACCGCTCCCCACCCCATCCTGGCTGGCTCCAAGTTGCCATGGAGACCACTCACACCGGGGCAACGTAATTTCCAGGGAACGTTCCGAATTTCTGGGTCCTCCGGGAGACACCTGAAAGAGGAAAGGCAGGAAGAGCTTTCCCCACTCCCTTCTTTAACAGGGATGCAGGGGTGAGGGCCTGCCCCCTGCCGGCAGTGCCCAGAACTGTAGGGGAGTTCTGTAGGGGAGCCCAGAGAGGGAATTGGATTTGCTCTCCTCCTTCCTGCCCCCTAGCGGCAGAAGCTTAGATGGGCAAAGCTACACTTCCCACACTCAACCACCAAAGAATCTGAGCAATCAACAAATGTGCATCACACTGTACACAGCAGAGTCACTCCCCCCCTCCTCCGCAAAGTGGGGACACAGGAGGAGGAATCACAGAACTGAAATCGGGAGAAACGTCCCTGGTCTAATAGGGCACCCTCACTTAGAGATGGGTGGGAAGGCCTATGGGAAGGCTGAATGCATTGCCCGAGAGCACCCCGACGCTTAGGAGTAAGCTTGGGACTCCGATCCAGGCCTCTCAGCCCCACAGAAACTCGTGTCTTGAAGAGGAGGAGGGGGGGGAACCCCAGCGGGCAAAGCATCTGGGGGGCCTGGCACCCGATGCTTCCCCAAAGCCAGCACTTCTGTTGGCTGCTTTCCTTCGTGCCATGAAGAGAAGGACGCCCTGGAGGAAACTGGCACCACCCCAGGGTCACTGATGGAGTCACTGGGGACCCAGGCCGGGGTTGCCGACCTTCAGAGCCCTGCCCCTTTTCCCTGCACACCCCTGCCTCTGGAGCAGCCCTTGGGGAGAGCGCCTGGTGGAAAGGACCAGGGCTCACACCTGTGTATCCCCACACCCCCCAGCTGGTTCCTCCAGCCTGGGAGGAAGAGGGAATGGAGAAATATAGAAATACAGAAATGTAATAAATATTATTATATTCCTATATATAGAAAAATAGGAATATAAACTGAAATGAACGTCACTCCTGACCTTGGGTGAATGGATGATCCTGGGCCTCCCCTTCCAGGCTGGCACCCTGACTTCCTTGGGGGCAGCCCGTGCTCGTCCCACCCCCACCCTCGTCCTCTGCCCCGAGTACCTCCCTTTCCTCTTGGCCTCCCCAAATCCTTCCCCTGCCCTTCCAGGCCCAGCTCCCTCATTTCCTCCAGGAAGCCTTCCCTGACCTGCACTAACTAAAATGGGCACCACTCGCCACCTGTGGCTGTTGGGCACTTGAGATGTGCCTGTGCAACTGAGGAACTGGATTTTTAATTTATTTCATTTGAGCTACATTTCAACAGCTGAATGCCGCCGGTGGCTGCCATACCGGAAAGGGCACAGGTCTCGCCCATTCCTCTCAAAGCGCTTGTGGCTCCTAATACAAAAGTGGTACTTTTTCTTCTTGTCTGCATAGGTTTGCAAAACTTTATTAGTAGTTGTAAAAAAATTCCAAAGCAAAAGTGTATCCAGTAAATTTGAATGCATCTCCAAGCACCGCCTCCCTCCCTCCCCCACTAGAAGGTAGGGGCCATTCACAGGCTAGTGCTTAATGGTCCTGGGTGGGTCAGTACAGCTGGCTGGCAGCTGTACTGGGATCAGATCAGGAAGGGTGGGCTGCCAGGTCAAGGGGCTGCCCAAGCAGCCCCCCAACTCCTCAGGCTTCAAAGCCTGCTTGGGGCAGGGCAGGGGGCTTCTGGCCACTCTCTTCTCTCTGGGGACGGCCCATCCTTTGAAGATGAGACCTGCACAGGGCCCGCCCACTCTGGGGAAAGAGGCCATGTGAAGCCTGGTGGGTTGGTCACCTTGATTCAGGCTGAGGCCAACCTGAGGCTTCCTGCATTTGTCCTTGGTCAGAGCTGCCCTTGGGCCAGCCCTGAGGGGCTGGGACCTTTCTCCATTCCCTCTTCCTCCCAGGCTGGAGGAGCCAGCTAGGTCAAGTGTGAGCCCTGGTCCTTTCCACCAGGAGCTCTCCCCCAGGGCTGCTCGAGGCAGGGGTGTGCAGGAGGAAGAGGCAGAGCTCTGGACGTTGGGAACCCTGGCCTGGGTCCCCACTGACTCCATCAGTGACCCTGGACTGGTGCCAGTTTCCTCCTGGGCCTTGGCCTCTTCATGAAGGAAGGCAGCCAACAGAAGGGCTGGCTTTGGGGAAGCATCGGGTGCCAGGCCCCCCCAGTAGCCCGGCCGGAAGCTGAGTCGGGGGGTGGTCGGCCATGAATCTTTGCTGAAGCAGCACTGGCAGGCAACAGCACCCCACCCACATCCCCTGGGGCCCTGAGATGCCCCCTCCCGGCCTGCCCACATACCCACAAACCAGCCATCGTCACACTGCTGCATGACATCCACCCTGTCCCCCTCGCGCAGCTCCAGCTCGTCTTCGTTCTGGGGCCTGTACTGGTACATCGCCCGGTACCTGCGAGAAGCGTATCATGGCAACCAGAGAATGGGCCCAGAGGCTCTAACCCAAGTGTTGCCGCTTCCTGTGAATGCCCCAGGGTCCCTTCATGCTCTCACTAGCCCCTGATCCAGCTCCTCAGAGCAACTCAGCCTGTGCTCACCGTAGTCTTTCCCAGGCCTGCCTCCTGCCCTCTGGGCCCTAAGCACTGAACCCTCGCCTCCTCTGAGCACCTGGTGCCTTCCTGTCCATTCCACCAGTTCCACACTTCAATTATACATGCACCGACCTCAGGGCTAGAAACCCAATGAGGAGACCAAGGCCACAAGGCCACATAGCTGCCAGGAGGGATTGGGAACATCACAGACCAGCGCCTCCTCCCTGCCCCAAATCACCATAAGCTCTTCGAGGACAAGGGCTACCTGGTAGAAGTTTCCCAAATCCACAGGTGGGGACTTGGGGGAGGGTGGAATATGGGGCATTGCCTGCCAGTGACCCCCCCCACGTCTGATCAAGAGCCCTCAGATGGTACTCACGGGGTCCAGTGTATCTGAGAGGTGTTAGGAGAGGAGGTCCCCAGGTCCAGGGGATGGCTGGGACCTCGAGAGTGGGACAGAGCTGGACCAGGGGTGCCAAGATTCTGGGAGTTGACAGGAAGAAAGGGATGTCAGAGGGAGGAAGACGATGGGTACATGTAAGCCTGAGGGAGGAGGCCCAAAATGGGCGTTCCCAGTCCACCTGCCAGCACGCCTTACAAACGGCTTCATCTTAGCCTCCAAACCCCCAGGGCACAGGGACACCTGCTGTGACTATTTCATTTCACAGGGGCCAGAAAACTGAGGCCCAAGTAAGGTCAGTGCCTGGGTTTCTGGACGCCAGCATGGATGAACCAAGAACACCCAGGGTCAGGAGCCTGGGCCGGCTTTGGGATTCCATCTAGAGCTCCCTCGGCTAGAGCTCGGTAGGTTGAGGTCCCCCAGGCCAGGGTGGGGCTGCCATACTAGCTTCTGCCCTGTCACCCCACTCCTATGTCCCAGGGCTGTCTGGGAAGGAGTCCCAAGTGTGGACAAGTCACGGGGGTGGGGGATGAGGGGTGAGGAGGAGGTCGACTCTCTGGTGGAGGCAGGCTACCTCACCTGGGTCTGGGGTCTAGGCTCCTGGGTGGGGAAGGAGAAGCCAGTGCGACGGGGGGAGGTCTGTCCCCCCAAGTCGATGGGGTCAGCTGGGCTGCGCAGGGCTGAGGGGGAGCTGGGGTGACGGGCTGAGCGGGCGGCAGCGGTCAGGCGGGGAGACGTGGGGAGCTGGGGGCCGTCGTCACAGAGCCGGAGCCGGGGTTCACGAGACACCTGCACGTAGCTGGCAGGGAATATGCCTTGGCGCCCCGTGCCCGTGATGCGTCCCTCGTACCAGTTCTCGTTCACCTTGCGGATCAGGCAGATGTGCTCTCCCTGAGGGGGGAAAAGTCAGTGTCTGTGGGGCCTTCCTGGTGCCATGGACCCACGGGTGCCTTATCTGGGCTGTCTCATTCAACCCTAACACCTTGGACACACGAGGGGTCGGAATCGCAGGGGGCCAGCAGTTTACCCGAGTCACACGGTAAGAGCAGGAGCCAGGAGCCAAGCCCAGGCTGCCCAGGCAAGGCTGAGGCTGAGACTGGGTCCTGCCTCTTGGAAGCTCAACGGGTGTGCATCCCCCTTCGGCGTTCATAGCAAGGTCCCTCCCCAGAGCTCCGATCACAGGTGAGCCCGTGGCTAATAATACAGATCCAAACCCAGCTCCACCAGGCCAAGCTGTGTGGCCTCAGGCAGCCTGCTCTGTCTCTCTGAGCCTTGTTTTCTCCTATGTTAAGTGAAAATAACCATACTGTCACTATGAGGTGTGAACGAGATCAACAGTCCACTCCTTAGACACACTGGACAGGTGCTACCACTACTGCCCTGCCTGGGTCCTGTTCCTGCCTCACGCTGGGGGACCTTGTCATGAGCGTGTCAAAAACACACTCCCCAGGACAGGCAGGGAGTCCTGAAGGCCACAGGCTGGCTGACATTAGGTAGAACCACCCCCTGGGAGGGTGGCCTCCAGCCCTTGCCTTCCCCTGTCCTCTCCTGCCCCCATCTGTCTCCATCCAGCCACCTTCTTCCCCCTCTGTCCCTGGGGCCAGCTCTTCTGGGAGGCATTCACTATGGGCCGTCTTTCGCTTATTTTGGGAGCATGATCACTGCTCCCAAAATCAACCAAAGGCAGACCACTTCCCTGCTTTCTAGAACAGCATTTTTCAAACTTGTTTCACCACAATCTACAGTTAAAAATGTTTTAATAACAGCCCAGAATACATATATATGTGCATACACAGAACTGCCTACGGTATGATAAAGTGCTTTCTGCTCGCAACGCATGCTAACATTTCTGTCTATACCTTTAAAAATGCTGAGTATGATCCCCTGCAACCTGCAGTTGAAAAAATATATATGTAACTCTAGAAGTTTATGATGATCTTTTAAAAATGGACCAAAATTACTTGGGAGGCTGGGGCAGGGACAGGGGATCGCTTGAGCCCAGGAGTTCAAGGTCAGCCCGGGCAACATAGTGAGATGCTGTCTCAAAAAAAAGCAAAAAAAAGCCACTACACTAAAGGAAGCATAATGAAAGAGACTGGGGAAAACTTTGAAATCCTGGGTGAAGCTAGGTACATCGGACTCTTTTTTAAAGAAGTGTTTTTAGGCCAGGCGCGGTGGCTCACGCCTGTAATCCCAACACTTTAGGAGGCTGAGGCGGGTGGATTATGAGGTCAAGAGACTGAGACCATCCTGGCCAACATCGTGAAACCCTGTCTCTACTAAAAATACAAAAATTAGCTGGGTGTTGTGGCGCGTGCCTGTAGTCCCAGCTACTCGGGAAGCTGAGGCAGGAGAATTGCTTGAACCCGGGAGGCGGAGGTTGCAGTGAGCCGAGATGGCACCACTGCGCTACAGCCTGGCGATAGAGTGAGACTCTGTCTCAAAAAAAAAAAACTGTTTTTAGTGCACATATTTACCTACATCTTCACCTGCCCCCACCCACCCCTCCGTCTCCGGCCTGGCCCACCTTGCGGAAGGACAGCTCCACCTCCAGGTCCCCCTTGAAGGTGTACTGGGCCACAGCCTCTCCATACTCCAGCACCTGGTAGGTCGGGGGCTTGATGGGCTTAGGGATCTCATCTGCGGGCAGCACCTGCATGAAGAAAGGTCATGAGAAAGATTTGGCCTGGGCATCAACATAGCACAGGCTGGGGGTTCCTGTGAGACAGCAAAGAGAAGGTGGGCCCGCCCCTAGGCAGAGAAAAGATATAAACACCAGACACAAGCCCTGGGGGCAGCCACGGGTGGGCACAGCCAAAGGGTGCTGGAGGATGGGGAGGAGTCTGGGAACGCTCCCTGGAAGAAGAATTTTCCATAGGGATATATGGAGTGGGCATTACTGAAGTGAAGAACTCCAAGAGAAAAGATGGAAGCCAGTCCAATTAGAGAGTTTAAGTTGGACCACAGAAGAAAATGAGGCGTTCCAAGCAGCAAGGGGAACTTGGGGAACTGTTCCAAAACTGAGCATTCACCCTTTTCTCACTGCTGAGAACCGGGTGTCCCTGGGTTCCAGCGTCTCGGTTCTTCCTCCCCATCTACCCCAGCCGGAGCCCAGAATCCTCACGTTCTCTTTGCTTCACTCTGCCCATAAAAATCAAGCAGCCAATAAACCATTTCACACAAAGATAGAAACGACTGGCGGAGTGAAATACTGTATATACTTTGTGAAATTTCAGGACCAAGTGGATCATCGTGTAAGCAAGGGAGGCCTAATGATACCTATCAAAACAAGAGCCTGAATTAAACAACAACCCAACCCATGGGTCAAAGAGGAAGTCACAGACGAGATGAGAAAACAGTCAAGAGTTGATGAAAAATCAAAATGTGTGAGATGCAGTTAAAGCAGCATTCTAGGGAAAAATGTTTCAAATCAATAGTCTAAACTTTCATCCTAAGAAACTTAGAAAAATAACAAATTAAACCAAAAGCAAGCAACAATAAGCAAATAAGAAGCAGAACTCAATGAAATCGAAAACAAAAACGAGAGAAAAACATGAATAAAATCCAAAGATCAAGTAAATTAATAAAGCTCTAGACAGAATAAGAGAAGACGCAAATTGCCAACATCAGGAATGAAAGAGAACATATCAGCCGGGCACAGTGGCTCACGCTTGTAACCCAAGCACTTTGGGAGGCTGAGGCGGGTGGATCACCTGAGGTCAGGAGTTCGAGACCAGCCAGGCCAATGTATAGTGAAACCTCATCTCTACTAAAAAATTACAAAAATTATCTGGGCGTGGTGGCGCATTCCTGTAGTCCCAGCTACTTAGGAAGCTGGGGCAGGAGAATCCCTTGAACCAGGGAGGTGGAGGTTGCAGTGCACCAAGATCCCGCCACTGCACTCCAGCCTGGACAGCAGAGCAAGACTCTGTCTCTCCAAAAAAAAAAAAAAGAAAGAGAAGACATCACTACATATTTTACTGACATGAAAAGGATAGTAAGAGACTATAATGAACACCTTTATGCCAGTAATTTGGATAACTTGACATATTTTAAAAGTCACAAATAGCAAAGATAACCTATCGCCCTTTATCTGTCAAGCCCAGAACCTGTCTCTGGAATCAAAAGACCTGGATTCAGATTCTGGATCTTTTACTTAATAACTTTTCACTGAACCTTGGCATCCCCATCTGTAAAACAGAGATAATCTATCACTCTCTGGGCAGTGAGAGGAACCAGGGCGGTAATACACCTGAAAGAGGTTATGCGTGTATACGTGATTTATAAACTGTCGCACACTTCCCACTCTTGCTAGTTGCCATTAGGATGATTTCCAAAGACAGCTTTAGAAAGACGGATCTGAATGGTGAAAGTCTGGGACACGAATGGTTGAGGAGCTGGCTGCTGGGTCCTCCCCTGGGCTAGGCTCCACCCTCATTTAGCAAACATTTCCTGGGGTCATGCACAGCATTGGGCCAAGCCCTGTGGGGGCCAAGGACAGTTCCGAGACACGCCCCAGCCCCTCACAGTTTTTTGCTTTAGGAAACCCAAGGTTTGCACTAAGTCTCTCCCAACCCCTGCGCCCTCCCAGCCCAGCCCCACTTGCTCTTGTCTCTCCTGCTCACCTCCACATAATTAGCAGGGAAGATGCCCAGGCGGCCGTGGTGCTCTCCCTCCAGCCAGTTCTTGTCCACCTCCTTGTGGATGTAGACAATGTCACCCTTCTGCAGAGTCAGCTCCCTGCAGGTGGGGACGAGGACCGCAGGGTAAGCTGAAGCCTTCCCAAGCCTCCTTCCCTTCAGACCCTGCCCAACACACCCCAGTTCTCTCACCCCTTGGGGATGCCCACTGCAGCCCAGTCCCCCTCCCCATCCCCCTCTGGGATGGCAGAGATTGCCTTGGGTGGAAGGGGAGGGGGAGGAGGGCGCTTACTTGGGGGACTGCGCCTGGAAGTCAAACTTGAGCCTGGCGGCCTTTCTCTAGGCAGGGGAGAGGACAGAGTGGGCTCTCTCAGTTGGGCGGGTGGCAGATCCAGGATGGCAGCCTTGGGACCACTCCAGGTCCCCCACACCTGGTCCCCTCCTTACCTTCTTCTCTTCCCTCCTGGCTGGGCTGCCCCCTCCGTTAGAGGCACTAGGGTCTGTGGAGAAGCACAACCTCAGCTTGGGGAGGCCATACCTGGGGGATGGGGTTGCACCCCCACCTAGGGCAGGCACTGGCAGAAGCAAGGGGCTCTGTGACCTGCCACCCCTGGGGCACCAACATGCCTGGTGGGTGGGCATCTCCGTGAGAAAGAGAGCAGGGCTGGGTCCTTACCTCGGGTTGAGGAAGGGTAGACAAAGTCCCTCCGACCTAGGAAGGGGCTTCCTCCATCAGCCATTTTGTGGGGACTCAGGGACCGGGCGGAACCCAGGTAAGGTGCATGTGGGTAGCTGGAGCTCCAGGCTGAGGCCGGGCTGCACGGGGCACAGAGACTGAGCCTCCAGCCTGGGGCTCCGCACCCCACCCTGGTCACCCCTAGACCGCTCTGACCCCCCATCGCCCCCATCCCTGCCACCTCCTCCCAGGGCGTCTCCCGGGTCCTGGGCTCTCCACAGGATGTCCTACTTCCCGAGTCGCTGCGCGGGGAAGGGTGAGGCCCGGCAGGGCCCAGCGGGAGTGCCTGGGCCGTGGCGGGGCCGCCCTAACCGCGCTGCGCCCCCGGCGGCCGCGACCCCGGTCCTCTGCTAGGAGTTAGCTGCCCTCGGTGGCGCGGGAACGGCGCCCCGCAGAGAGTGGCGCTGCGGTCCCTCCCGGACACGGCTCTGCGGTTCCTTCCTCCCCCGGCTGGGCCCCGCGATCGCCCCCGTCCGCCCCGCCCGGCCGCGCCACGTTCCCTCCCGCCCGGCCTGGGACAGCCCCCTTCCTCCTCCCGCGTCTCCCACTCACCCGGCCGGGGGCCGCTGCTCCGGGGCCCGTCGGGGCGCCGGCGAGCTCTGCGCGGGGAAACGGCGCAATCAGGGCCCGCGACCCCGGGACCCAGCGGCAGCCGAGGCCGCCGCCTCCGGAAAAGTTCGCGGCTCGGGAGGGGAGGAGAGCGGGCGGGACGCGGGGTCCTAGAGGCGCCCGCGCGGCCGATCCCGGGAGCGGGGCGGGAACTAGGGGAAGGGGCGGGGGTCCCCGAGGCTGGGGCCCGGGGGCCGGACGGGGCGGGCGCCCGGTCGTCGGGCTGACGTGGAGTCCGCTTAGAAAGGCTCCTCGGGGTCACTTGCGAAAGTCGACGCCCTGTATTTTATTTATGGAGGAGCGAGCCCGCCAGCGCCCAGGAGGGCCCGAGGCCGGTGCGCGCCGCTGGAGGCCGGACCTCGGCTGCCCGTCCTCCGCCCAGCCCAGCCGCCGAGGCTCCCGGCTCGCCCCGACCCTGCGGTCGCCGGCGTGCCCCGCGGGTGAACCCTGGGGGCTGGTACCTTGGGGGACGGCAGTCGGGTCTCAATTGCCCGCAGGTCCTTGTCCAGCTCGGCGCTCAGCTCGGCCAGCTCTCTCTCCAGCAGCACCTGGGGGCGGGGAGAGGCTGGGCAGTGAGGGGCAGCGCACCGTGGGGGTGGGAGGCAGCGGTCAAAGATCGACTGTGAAAAGCAAGGCCAGCGCACCGGGCCGGCGTAAGGGCAGGCCTCAGCGCACGGGCCGGGCTCCTGCCAGGAGGTGTGGCCCAGGGTGCCAAGAGGGCATCCCCGCCACGGCCTCTCACCTGCCCAGCACGCCCCGGGAGTGCCTACGCGCTTCCTGATCCCGCGATTCCGCAGTCCTGCCAGTTTCTGCCAAGTTGTGTCTCTGTTACAGCACCAATGGGGTTCCCCATTTCCTCTCCCATCTTCTCCCGCCCTCCAAGGCCTGGCTTCACTGTGCCCATCCAGGTTCCCCCGCCACCCCAGGGACCGGAGCCCCCACCCCCACGCTGCTTCCTGCCAGCCTCTGCTATGGGTCTTCGCCGAATCAGGCCCTCGGAGCTTCTCAAGGGTCCAGCTCCACCTCCAAGAATATTTCCTGATAATCCCAGTGCGCACTGACCACTCCCTTTTCTGCTCCTGCTTTGGCCAACACATATTTATTTAACACATGTTTACTGAGCGCCTCCTGTATGCCAGCCACTGTCCTGAGTGCTGGCATTACAGAAATAAACCATGTGGGACTGGAGAGAGAGCTCTTAGTTCGTGGCCTATGCCCATGGTTACTGGGGCCACCAAAACCCTAATCTCCCTGGTTTATCAGGCTGCTGTCCCCAGCACCCTGCAGCACTCACCTCAATGGGCTGGGAGGGCTTCTCACCAGGGTCGTCCACCAGCGGTTTCTTGGGCTGAAGGGTAGAAAGGGTGTGTCAGAGCAGGTGAACTCACTTTCCAAAATGTATCAGCTGAGGGTGCGTGCACACCCCGAGAGCCAGCCAGCACTCACCCTCTGCCCAGTCTCTAGTTCCTGCAGAAACTGGTTCCAGGACTCTTCCGTCCAGACATTGTCTACTTTTTCCCGGCGTCTGAGCACCTGCGTGGAGGTGGGTGGGTGTCAGCTTGTGAAGAGGGCTACTGGGACACTGGCCAGGCTCAAAATGCAGGCTTGCAGGCCCCTGCCCTTCCCCTGGGCCCACGGTGTCCTCCAAGGGATTCAAGCTGAAAGGACATCGTGGCATAGGGTCTTGGCCATACGGCATACAGCTGGGGCTGACCAGGGACTATGCTGGGTGGGCTACCTGATTTGAGGGCTGCAGCACAGTGGAGAATGCTCCAGGTCTGTAGTTGAAGGTGCTTCTAGGTAACTCTTCAGAGTGGTCCCAGCTTCTTCTAAAGAAAGGGAAGGACATCTCTTCAGCTTCCTTTTAGGGAGACTGAGGCAGAAGCCAGCACACAGCCCTCTCACCCTGCCCTTGTCCCTGCTGTGGGGTCTACTCTGCCTCTGACTGCCCTGCCGTTACTCTGGAAGCAAGATTAAACTGTGGAAGTGTGTGAGCTCCAAGCTTAAATTCCAGCTCTACTGTTTAGTGGATGTGTAACCTTTGAACAAGTTACTGATCCCTCAGAGCCTCAGGCTCAGAACCTGTAATATAGAAATGATTTGGTGAGAGAACATATATGAGGTGCCCGGGAGAAGGCCTCACACACATATTTGCTCCAGGTGTGGCCCGACCCTCTCCTGTGGGCCTTTTTGCTAAAGTGTCCTGTATGTGTGTTTGGTCTGGCCCCATGACTGTGGCTATGTGCGTCTGTGCAGCTTTGAAGAAGCTGGTCTTTCTGGGTGCTGTGGCTGAGTGATCGTACACCCATGGGCAAGGAAAGCCAGAGGCAGCTCTGCCCTGCAGCTCTGGCCAAGTTATTTCTGCTCCCTGGGCCTAGTTCCATGAGGGTGCTGGATTCAGTGACTCTGTCTGTGAGACCACCCCAGCCACTGCAGTACAGCATGGACACATCTGCCTTAGCTCCCCTCCAGGGCCCCTTGCTGGCTGGCTTACATGGAATGTTCCAGCCTCTGTTTGAAAGTTTCCACTGAGAGGAACCACTGCATCAGGCTTATCAAATAATACAACGTCTGACCAAGGGTTGGGATTTGTTGGCTGTAATAATGACTCCATTCTGATTTTGGTAATAATAAAAGTGACTGTGAGAATGTCATTCCTAACCTAAGGAAGCAGTAATCATAATTTTTTTTTTTTTTGATACGGAGTCTCGCTCTGTCGCCCAGGCTGGAGTGCAGTGGCGCAATCCCGGCTCACTGCAAGCTCCGCCTCCTGGGTTCATGCCATTCTCCTACCTCAGCCTCCCGAGTAGATGGGACTACAGGCACCCGCCACCGCGCCCGGCTAATTTTTTGTATTGTTTTTAGTAGAGACGGGGTTTCACCATGTTAGCCAGGATGGTCTCGATCTCCTGACCTCGTGATCCGCCCGCCTCAGCCTCCAAAAGTGCTGGGATTACAGGCGTGAGCCACCACACCCAGCCTTGTAATCATAATTAAGCCTGTATATTACTAATGTTTGTGCAGGCTTGCTATGTGCAAAACATGATGCATGATACACACATGATCACACTGAACCCTCTGGGCATTACCACTTAAAAGATGGGGACACAGAGGCTCAGACTGAGTGAGGTACCCACAGTCACATGGCTAGTGGCAGTGCACAGGCTTAAACCCAGAACTCAGCGTCCAAATCTTGAGCCCTTTGCCTCTGAACCTTATCGGTGATGCCCAGAGCTACGGGCCAGTTTCAGCCATGCTAATGAGACGAGTCCTTCCCTGCAAGGGAATAAGAAACTCAAGGATTTAACTCTGAGAGCAAAGATCCTGATTCCCACGGTGGTGCTGACCCCGCCAGGGCCCCAGCAGCCGGGCGGAGCCTGTGGTTTGCACAGAGGAAAGGAATGTCATCCTTATCCCTCCAAGGGGCTCCTCTCTCTGTGCTATCAGGCTGGAACTTGGGTTCTTCCATATCCCTTGTTTTCTCTCAGGTTTCAAAGTGGACAGCGCCAGGTCCAAGTTCCCCTCAACAGTTCTGTCCACGGCTGTCCTGGCCGCCCCACTCCCGGTCTCATAAGACCGGTGGGATCTTTGGGGCAAAGAGTTCCTGCTGCTGACCACAAACGCATCACAGGCGTTCCTGGCCAGGAGCGGGTGCCAGGTCCACTCTTGCCTACCCTTCCCCCCTTGACCCTGTAGGGAAGAGAGTCTATGGGGGTGGTGGAGACCCAGAGATGGGACAGAGCCCAGACGGACACGGAAGTGAGACCCCACTCCTGGCTGGGCTCCGAGGCTGTGCCGGCTGTGGTCACGAGGGGGCGCCCGTCCCATGGTGTCTCGCGGGCCGCGCCCCTCCGCAGCCCTCGGCCCCGCCCCACTGTGCTCACCCACTGGAAGATGTTGCCGGGCCGGGCCTGTGGGCAGGTCTTTGCTGGGCTCCTAGATGCCTGGGGTCTGCAGAGGAGGTACACGAGGAAAGCATTGAAGGTGGGAGGAGACAGGCCGTGACTGGGGCTGAGGGTGCCTGGGTGATTATTTAGAGTTTCAGCACCACCCCCTTGCTCCTGGGTGGATGGTGGGGGCAGGGTGGTTGGTGCTCAGGGACACTGAACGCGGGCATTGCCCTCAGAGCTTTACGACATTTACTACATCTTCAAAACAACTCCGAGTAGGTGATGATCTCATCTTATAGATGAGGAAAGGGAGGCCCAGAGAAATCCCGGCCAGGGAGTGGCAGAGCGCGCGTTCCCCGTGCAAGCTGAGGCTGTTAATTACCACCTACCGGGGGATTTGAAGTGCTCTGGAAATGAGCTATAAAAACCTCTCAGGTTGAACTGAGCCAACTGGAGAGCCCCAAAGCCAGGCGGGGCTGCGAGTCCCAGCCCCAGGGAGGGGCGGACGCAGGCGCAGGGCTATGGCAGGCAGGTGGGCCCGCATCCCCTCACCTCTGGGTGGCTCCTCGAAGGTCCAGTCCAGCTGCAAGTCTGCAGGAGCAGAAGGGACCAGGTCATGGGACGGGGCAGAAAGCAAGGGCAGGGTGCCCTGGGAGGCAACCTCAGCCGCTCCCAACATCCCTAGAGTAGGGGGCTGAGGGCTGAGTCAGGGCCTGAAGAATGTCCCAAGGGAGGGAAGGAATTAGGAGGGCAGCTCTCTGGAGGGCTTGAAATGCCTCTGGCAGGCTTGGGGCCTAAGCGAGCCAAGCGGGCAGCCGCCTTGCCCAAGCCCTCCTGCTCCTCCCTCCCTGTTCCCACACACACCCTCTCCTGACCTTTGTGGACTTGCCCTCACCACTCAGGCTGGGGAAACTCGACTTGCACCCTCTTCCAAACGCTTTCCTTCCCCATTTGCCAAGACCCACTCCTAGCTCCTCAAGGTGCCTGGGAATTTCTGGGGCTTCCTGGAAAGAGCTACTGACCCACTGCTCCCCACGGCGCGTGCGCGCGCGCACACACACACACACACACACACACACACACACACACACACGCATGCGCTGCAACGGCACCTGCCTAAACGCCAGCCACATCACCCCTCACTGGACCCCACACCCTCCTCTGACTCCTGGATTTGTCTGCTTTCCCCCATAGTAAACTGTAACCAGTGACCATAAAGACCACACCATCTCCAATCCCCCTACTCCCCGTCTCCCTAAACAGGCTTTTGCTCACCACTGCCCAACCACTCACTCTTATCAAGGATGCTGGTGACCTCCACGTTGCCAAATCTGACAGTCAATTCTAAGTATTCATCTTACTCAACCCATCAGCTGCATTTGTCACCACTGGTCACATTTTTCTTTTGGAATTCCCTTTCCACTTGGCCCCAGGGAGATCTCTCCGTTTTCCTCCTACCTCCCTGGCTCTACCTTCTCAGTTGCCTTTTTGGTTCCGCCTCATCTCTCAAACTTCTAAGCATCCAGGTGCGTGGGGGCTCAGTCCTGGGGTCTGTTTGTCTCTCTATCTCCCTAGGTGATCTTGTCTAGTCTTATGGATTGTTGTTTTTCAGAGACGGGATCATGCTATGTTGCCCAAGCTGGACTTGAATTCCTGGGCTCCCAGGAATTGAATTGAACTCCTCAGCCTGCCAAATAGCTGAGACTGCAGGTGTGTGCCACCACACCCAGCTAGTCTTAAGGCTTTTAAAACGCCATCTATTCCCATGTTTCACAATCTTGGCTGCTAGTTAAAAGTTTAAAGTTTCCCCACTAGAATTACTGGGGAAACTTTAAATCAAAATCTCTCTCTTCTTTTTTTTTTTTTTTTGAGACTGAGTCACCCAGGCTGGAGTGCAGTGGGGTGATCTCAGCTCACTGCAACCTCTGCCTCTCAGGTTCAAGCAATTCTCCTGCCTCAGCCTCTGGAGTAGCTAGGATTACAGGTGCACACCACCATGCCCAACTAATTTTGGTATATTTGATAGAGACAGGGTTTCGCCATGTTGGCCAGGCTGGTCCCAAAATCTCTTTTGAATGAGTCCCAGGTATTTCCATCTGCAGTTTTAGACCTTGTCCCGTGAACTGCAGACTTGGATATTCATCTGCTTACTCAACCTCTTCACTCAGAGGGAACATGTGTCTAAAACTGAACACCTCTTTTCTTTTTTTCTTTTTTTTTTTAGAGACAGCGTCTTGCTCTATTGCCCAGGCTGGAGTGCAGTGGAATGGTCTCAGCTCACTGCAACCTCCGCCTCCCAGGTTCAAGCAATTCTCCTGCCTCAGCTTCTCGAGTAGCTGGGATTACAGGTGCATGCCGCCACATCCAGCTACTTTTTTGTATTTTTTAGTAGAGATGGGGTTTCACCATGTTGCCCAGGCTGGTCTCGAACTCCTAAGCTCAGGCAATCCACCCACCTTGGCCTCCCAAAGTGCTAGGATTACAGGCGTGAGCCACCGCGCCCGGCCTGTGAATGCTACTCCTACAGTCTTTTCTGTTTTGACAAATGGCAACTCCAATCTTCAACTTGCTGAGGTTTAAAACCATCCTTGACTCTCTCTTCCAAGCCACGTCCAATCCATCAGCAAATTCCAGTGACTGCAGTGTATTCAGAGTCTCATCCTGTCCCACCAGGGCCACTGCTACCGCCCTGGTCTAACACACGATTATCTCTCCCCTGGATTGAAGCAAAGTTGTAAAGGTGGCCTTTTCTCCCTAGCCCTTACCAGGCAAGGGAACTGGTTCCACCATTCCTTTCCCACCCCACAGCCAGGCACAATCTTTTCAGCCATTACTTGTCAGAGCATGGCACTCTTCCGCTCAGTGGCTCCTCCTTATTTGCACCGTAAAAGCTGAAGTCCTTATAATGGCCCACAAGGCCCCACGTACCCTGACACCACCACCTCTCTGACTCCATCTCCCACCACATGCTCCTCGCTCCAGGCCAGGCTCTCCTTGCCCGTCCAGAACATGCTTCTACCTCTGGGTCTTCGGAGCTCCCTTTGCTGGAATGCTTCCCCCAGCTCTGCCAGGCCGACTCCTTCACTCCCTCCATGGTCTGATCAAACACCGCTTACAAATGACCTTCCTGGCCGCTCCTGGGTGAAGGAGCAGCCTCCCTGCATGGGGCACTCTCCCAGTCTGGCTTTATTTTTCCCTAGCCCTTTCCACCATCTGTCATGTCAAAGGTGTGTCTGTTTATTGTGTGACTTCCTTTGATCTTTGGCACCTAGAATAGTGCTCAGCATGTGGTACATGCTCAATAGATGGTCAAGGACTCACTGAATGGATGGGTGACCTCGGAGCCAGCTCATAGGCACCCCCAGGGTTGGCTGCATTTTGAGTTGTGGAAGAAAGCAATGCCTCCAGTAAGGGAATGACCGCTAACAGTGGCATTCCAGCTTGGCAGGGAAATCAGAGAGGGACTTAAGGAAAGGAATGGCTTCTCAGTCCCCTCAGAGGACACTGTGGGACAGTGGCTGGTCAATGTTCTTCTTGGGGATGCTCTGGAGACCGCTGCTGGCCCCGAGTACAGGGAGGGGACTGCCTATTTTCAGGACTACTCATTAGAGCCTGGGAGAAGGTGGAGAAGAACCCCTTGAGCAGCTAAGTCCCCTTTTCTTTCCCTGTCTCTCCAAGCCCCAGGGGCCAGAATCCACTTTGGCAGGGAGAGGGCCCTGGAAGGGTATCTTACCTGGCATTTTCCGGTGAATCTGCTGGAACATTCTCCGGTACCAGTCTCTGGGTCTGTCAACGCTCTGGGATCAGAAAATGCAAAGTCAGTCCTCCCTGCTTATTCACCCTCCCAATTTCAAGCCACAAAAATCTTTCCCTAGTGAGTCCCTTCTCTGGCCATCCCTGAACCCCCCATAGGTGGGCTGGGAAATGCTTCTCTTGCGATCTCTTTAATAACAATAGCTTCATGTAACACGTCCTATATAAGTAAGATATATGACAAGATCTCCATCGAAGTGTATGCAATAATGATGTTATGAGATTTGGGGCAATTTACATTTTTTCTCTTTGCTTTTCTTTATGTCTAGTGTTTCTACAAAGAACATTTTTCTTTTGTGGGGAGACAGGGTCTCCTGTGTCACACAGGCTGGAGTGCAGTGGCATGATCATAGCTCACTGCAGCCTCCAATTCCTGGGCTCAAGCAATCATCCTGCCTCAGCCTCCTGAGTAGCTGGAACTACAGTCGTGCACCACCTTGCCTAGCTAATTTTATTTTATTTTTTTTTTTATAGAGACAGGGTCTCACTATGTTGCCCAGGCTGGTCTGGAACTCTTGGTTTCAAGCAATCCTCCCGCCTTGACCTCCCAAAGTGCTGGGATTACAGGCGTGAGTCACTGCACCTGGGCCAAAAATGACAGCAATAATGTAGGAGTGAGATGCGTGTTTCACATCACCTGCTTCATCCAAGCCTCAAAACAGCCTCAAAACAGGAAGGGAATGTTACCAGCTCCAATTTCCAGATGAGAAAATGGAGCTGGCTCAAGACACAAAGGTGGATGGAAAAGGGCAGGGTATCCCCAGTCCTAACTGGACCCCCGGATCCTTCCACGCTTGCCACAGTGAGAGACCTTCTCACACAAGACTCACTCACTCATTCGGCCGGTCAGTCATTCATTCAGCAACCATTTCATGAGCGTCGTGACAGGCCCTGGGGATATGAAACTAAGAGAGGGTCCCCTGCAGCCTCAGGCCTTACAGCAGGGGTTCTCTACCTTTGAGGCCCTGATGAGAGTTCTAGATCTGTACCCCGCACAAACCACTTGAGCAACTCAGGCACACGAGGGTGTCTGCAGCTTTATGAGGTTTACAGCCGCTGAACCCCACCACGGTTGAACCCCTGCTTAATCTGGGATGGTTTGGGTGCGGCCTTTATTGCCCCACCCCCATTTTAATGCACAGAAGTGCAGCTCCCTGTAGATCCCTGGGCCCCATCTCTCCGTGGCCCCCAGCCCTGGACTCACGGATCGGGGGGCAATGGGCATGCCGCTCTCGTCCACGGGCCCGATTCCCTCGTACTTGACCCAGCGCTTGTCCCGACGCTTGCTGTCCTTGGTCCACGTGGCTGACCAGTTCTGGGTGTGCTGGGAGGCAGGGATCTTTGTGCTTGCAGAGGGCTTGCTCCCAGGGCCTGGCCAGGTCTGATACCACGCAGGGTCTGTTGGGTGCGTGCAGGAGAGCATTAGTGAAAGGCAGGGGTCTCCACCTGAACCTGTGTGTCCCTTAGCTCCTCAGAGCATGGATCTCTGTGGGTTCAAAGTTTCAACATCGCCTTGTTTGTTTGAGTGGATGACTCAGAGCACCACGGGCCTCTGTTTGTTTAAGTGAATTTAAATGGATTTGATCTTGAGAATGCCGTGCCTGGCCCTACCCCCATCCTTCTTTCCTGGGACTATCCTAAGTGCTTTCAGAATAAGGTCTGGAAATCATTACTTGTAGAGAATGCAGGGGACATCCCAGCTGGGGTGTGGCAGTAAAGATGCTGGGCTTAGAGGGGACAGACTTGAATTCAGACCCCAGCTCTACCACCTATTGGCTGCCATGGCCTGGGGTACATCAGTCACCTTCTCAGTGTCTCAGTTTCCACTTCTGTAAAACAAGGGTCATTGTGACAAGGATTCAGTGACATCTAGCGTGTGTGACTGTACCCAGCACAGTGCCTGGCACACAGTCGAGAGGCTCTCAGTGAAGGTCAGAAACCCATTCCCCAGACATGGTTGTGACTGAGTCCTCAACTTACCCATAAGTGTTAGCCTCTAAGTAGCTAGGGCAGCAGAATAAGGGCTTTGAGGCCAGATGTACAAGTGTGTGAATTGCAGCTCAGCCTCTATGGCTGAACATCTCTGCGAATGGGGTTCCTTACTGGGAAGCTGTCAGTCATCATCACCCCTACTTTGTCAGGATATCGAGGGGTTAAACGAGGTGAGCCTCGTAAAGTGTTTTTACAGTGTCCAGCACGCTCTGGGTGTTCCATAATTGTGTGGGTGTTTTTTTTGGTTTTGTTTTGTTTTTGTTTTTGTTTTGAGACAGTTTTGCTCTTGTTGCCCAGGCTGGAGTGCAGTGGCACGATCTCAGCTCACTGCAACCTCCACCTCCCAGGTTCAAGTGATTCTCCTGCCTCAACCTCCCAAGTAGCTGGGATTTCAGGCACCCGCCACCACACCCAGCAAATTTTTGTATTTTTATTAGAGATGGGGTTTCACCATGTTGGCCAGGCTGGTCTCGAACTCCTGACCTCAGGTCATCCACACACCTCAGCCTCTCAGTGTGTGTGTGTTTTAAGTGACAGGGTCTTGCTGTGTCATCCAGGCTGATAGAGACAGGGTCTTGCTATGTTGCCCAGGCTGGATAATTGTTAAATGAATAAATTCCTTTACACAGCACCTGTCTTAGGGGAATGCTTGATAAAGGATGTCACTTTAGGAGAGACATGTTCAGGGCTGGCCTGCACCCAGGAGTTCCCAGGACCTCTGGACTGGGATCTAGAACTGCCTCTCTAACCTCCTGCTGGGTAGCCTGTTGGGCCTGAATGGGACAGTCTCCACCCCTTCCCAAGCCAACAGATACCCACATCACCTCCACCCTTCCATCCCCAGTCCCTGTGGGAGGTCCTCCGGCGCCCAGGGCTCCTGCACGCTTCCTTTCCCTGGCACCAGGCTGGAGGGCAGGGGAAGGGATGCATCAGCCTGCTCTCCCCAAGCGGGTGTCTCTTGCAGAGTCAGCAGGCTCCGCAGGGAGGGGCTCATAGTGAGCCCAGAGGCCTCTGAGGAACCTCCTCATGGCCTTGAGAACCCCATCTCCAGCTGCTGCCCCTCCCGCTTGACACAGGGCAGTGCCAGATGGCAGGGCCCTGACCCTCCATCTCCAGCATGAGGCTCCTGAGCAGACCTACCCGGGTGCTGGGAAGCATCTCGTCTTGGTGTGTAGCCCCCATTGCACACAGTCCTGGGCGCGGGGTCGTGGAACTGGAAATTAAGGGTGTTGGAGCCACCATTCCGGATCACGGGCACCTGCGGGGAGGGGCCAGGAGCGGCAGCTCAGGGCCCAGCAGGGCGGGAGGGAGGGATGGCTACTAGGCACAGCCCACACCCCTCGGTGACAGTCCCAGGCCCGCCTGACGATTTTGTGGGAAACCAGCGAGGCCCCCCAGAGCTCTCTTCAGCCCTCCCTCCATCCCTTTCATCCTCCTGCCCCCACCTGACCTGCTAGCGTCCCAACCAACTCCGGGCCCGCAGGACACCCTCCTCCCTACTGACTCACTCACCCGTGTCCCCCGGGAGGAAGACCCTATGTGGGACTGGAGGTGGCCAGGGATGAAGTCGTCCAGGCTGAGCCCAGCGCGGAGGCTGCGGGGTGGGCCCTGCATGCTTGGGTCAAGGTGGGAGGACTCCGGGCAAGCCAGCTGCTCCTCTGCGTGTCCTCTGTGGGGAAGGAGGAAGGAAGGGAAAGCCCTGCTAGGCTAGGCTGCCCATGCCCTCTTGGCTCGACCCTGGGATAGGGGAGGAGGGGCCGGCTGTGGGAGGGGGTCAGGACCAGCTGGGTACTAGCTCAAGGACCCAGGAAACAGGCCACGCCAGGCACCCGCCTGCAGGCTGCCCGTGCCTGCCGGCTCCCAGGGGCACAATGGACCACTTGTTAGGCCCAGGGCAGGAGCTCCGGGTGGGAGTGGGGGAGGGGGAGCTTGGGTGAGGAGGAGGGGAGGGGCTGGCCAGGAGCCCGTGGGGCTCTCCCTGCACGGGTGCAGCTGGCTTCCCCACTCCCCCGGAGGGAAGGCGCAGGGGAAGTGGGGCAGCCGGCAGAGAGGGGGCCTGGGAACACAGGACTTTGTTTCAGTTCCCTCTGCCTCCCCCAGGCCGTGTGGGCATCTCTTGCCTGCGGGCACAAGGGATTACTCAGCCACCCGCCCACTGCCCTCCAGGAAGCAGTCAGCAGGGCCTTAAGCCCAATAGGGCCAAGGGGAGCGTCGGGGGCATTTCCAGGCAGCAAGACCCACTCTTGCGAGCTCACAGGGAGCATCGGGCCCTTCTTTGGCCTCCTTCACAGAATGAGGACTCAGAGGGCTCCGGGTGGGTGGAGACAGAAGCGGTGGGTGAGGGCAGAGCTGAACCTGCTCATGCCCATGGAGAGTTGGTGCTGAGTGCCCTGGGGTGTTCTGCATGTGGGCAAATGTGCACGCACATACACGCGCTCCCTGGCTCCACTTTCTCCCGCCCCTCCAGGCTGTTTTGTGAGTGCAGGGTCTTCCCTGGCAGCACCATGCCTGCCCACAGCCAGCTTCTTCTGCCTCATCCCAAGGCTGGGGAAGGGGAAGGGAGCCCTAGGCACCCAGGGAATGGAGGGGCAAGAGGGGAGCCCAGAGTGGGGGTGCAAGAGGACAAAAAGGGGCTCCCAGTTTGGGGTGTCCAAGGGGGCTTTTTGACCCAGAGCACGGTGCTACGGCGTCCATCCCTCCGCGTCTTGGCTGCTGGACTGGACCAGAAACAGCCAAGCTCTGCCACTGCCCAGGACTGGATGGAATCAGGTTTGCCTGTGCCTGTGGGGTCCTTGGGGGCTCTCAGGGAGGGCTGCAAATGCATCGGGAGGAGCTGTGTGTATGTGTGTGTTGGAATCTGGGTGCAGAGCTGCGAATATGACTTCTGGGGGGACCACCGGAGGGACCACATGAGCTGCATGGGGGTTGTGGGTACAGAGGGGTGTCAGCTGAACAGTGGTGGGAGGTGCAGTCATGTGAGCAGTGGAAGAGTTGGGGGCCCAGAGGGGATGAAGGTAGAATAAGGCTGGGATGACTCAGCCCCTGGACCCAGCTCCTGCCCAGGGCTAGCGAGGGTGTAGCCAAGGCTGGGGGCAGCTCCTTGTCTCTGGTTTGAGTTTGTGGGGACTCCTGACATTTGAGTTGCTGCGACACAGCTCTTCTGTGCCCATGCCTGACTGGGGGGAGTGGAGGGCTGAGGCTGGAGGAGGAGCAGCTCCCCAGCTGGGTCCAATTAGGACTCCCACCAAAGCAAAACAGGCAGACACACCCCAGTCCCCACACTCCACCTCCCCTTGCGGGGGGGAGTTGAGGCAGGGTGGGGTGGAAGGTCAGGAGACCTGGAGCTGGTCGGCTCCTCGCAGCACCCCTCCCTGCCCAGCTGACTGCTTCGGGCCAAATTGCAGCTCAGCAGCTGCCGCCTGGGCCATCAGCTGACAGCGCCTTCCTTCCCTGACCTCCCCGCCCACCTCGTGCTCGGTGAGAACTGCTCTCTTGGAGGATGGGTAGGGCAGGAGGTCCCCCACGACCCGTAGTCAGAGGTTGCTTACCCTTGGTGCCCCCATCTGCCCCTTCTCAACCCTGCCCCTTGTGTCGCCCCCCACCACAGGAACCTCCAGGGAAGGGTGGTCCGAGTCCTTCTCTTGGCAGCCAGGTCAGGAGACTTAGGGAGGACTTACAAGGAAGAGGGCAGCATCTGGGGACTGGTCCCCCATGTAGCAGAGAGCGGAGGGGTCCTCCCAGAATTCAGACCTCCCCTCCAGGCAGGCAGCCAGCCCCGGGAGCGGGGAGAGGCCCCTGGAGCGGGAGAGGGGAGGCGGCTCTGCTGGGGTGGGCACTGGCCTCCCTGCTCTGAACACTGCCCTGACCTTGGGTGCCTGGCCCTAAGAGCTTTCCCAGGTATTTCTCAGCGACAAGGCCACGTGGACAAGGACAGCTTTTCTTGAATTTCGCTTTTTCTGGTATGAGGGCTGGTGGGAGGTACTTCCCAGAGTTTGGGACGCGGACCCCGGGGAGGGGCTAGGTGCGATTCCCTGGGGTTGGGCACGGATCCCTCCCGCCGGCCTCGCCTACTCCCCGCCCCTCCTTGCCCGGACCTACCTTCCCCGGCGAGCAGGTGGCTGGGCCCGAGGCCGCCCGGGAGCGCAGGAGCATCCCTGCCCGGCTGCTGCCTGGCGCGGGCGCTCGAGGAGGAAGGGCAAGGAGAAGCGCGGGCCGTCGCGGCCCTCGTGACCGGGTCAGGACGGGCCGGGCCGGGCCGGGCGCCGGCGCAGGAAGAGGGAGGCCGAAGGGGCGCGCGCCGGAGGCCGGACCGTGAGAGTCGCGCGGCGGGGCGGGCGGAGTTTGGGTCTCGGATCTGGACTGCGGGCCGGGGCTGGGCCGGAGAGGAGGGACGTGCGAGTGCTCTCCGTCCGTCGGGGCGCGCGCGGGGACACTGGTGGCCCCCTGCCGAGGAGGCCTGGCCGGCGGGGAGGCGGCGCCGGGAGGGGCCGCCGAGGGTCCCCGGGGAGCCCTCTCTGGTTTCCCAGCTGCCATCCCGGCCCCTACCGCAGGGCTGGCGTCGGGGAGGGGTCGGGCGGCCCGACACGGGCCACTCAGAGTTTCCAGCGACATTTCCAGAGTGTGGGAAGCGAGCGGCCTCGCAGCGGAGCCAGGACAGGGGCAGGAGCGATGAACCGGGCGGAGCCAGGACAAGGGGGCAGGAGTGGTGAACTGGGCAAGCCGGGAGAGACGGACAGGCCGGGAGCGAGATGAGGGCGCCCCGCAGGCAGAGTGGCGGAGCGGACCAGGGGAAGGCCCCGCCGCCCCTCCGCGCTGGGGGAGAGGGTGTGCCTGCGGCGGCGCGCGGCCGGTCGTGTGCAAACAAACACGCGCGCGTACACTGCAAACGTGGGGACGCTCACACACGTGCAAGCACAGGGAGGAAATCAGCCCAAGGGAGCGGCCCCCCCGGGCGTGCCGCGCCCCTAAAGAGGATAAGGGTGGGGTCCCTTTGGCGGGGATGGGATTAGGAGGGTCTTGGTGTTCCCAGACACTGTGTTTGTTTTGATCTGCCTGCTTTTCCGCTGTTCTCGCTGCTCTGAGCTGGGTCCCCAGAGCCCCGGCCCTTCCGGCTCCCCATCCATTCTGGTCATCCCCTCTCCCTGTCTCTGCCCCAAGCCTCTGTATGGCACTTCAGAAAGTGGGAATGCTTAAGGAACATTGAAGGACCGTGGAAACACTCTGGAATCCTTTCTGGCCCTTGAGTTGGCTCAGGGATCCCCAAGCCCCAAACCAGCCAACCAACCAACAGTTACTGATCAACTTTAGCTACGAGCTGGGAGTGATCAATGCTAAATTATGAAAACTAACGTAATCTCCTGCATTCCTACTGGGTGTCAGACTGGTGCCAGAGGCCACGAGGAGTTTTGGAGTGTTTTCCAAGCTCACCACTCAACTCAAAGTTTGGAAAGAAAGAGAGTAGAGAAAAGACTAAGTGATTTTCAGTCCCTACCACCATTACTGCTTTAGTCTTATCTTCTCCCTCGTTCTGGTAAAGAAGCTCTCCCCGTTGCCTTGAAACATCACATGTGAAAGCTGGAGGAGATGTTTGGGTTGAGAAGCTTCAGATAGGCCTGCTGGCCTCTAGCGCCTGCGGGGCTGCCATGTGGACACACAGCTGCACCAGCAGCAGTGGGACCACTGGGGGACACGTCATAGGGAAGCAGGTCCAAGGCTTCCCAGGACAAATTTTTACATGATTCCAGGGGTTCTGAGTCTGCCAGTTGTGGGGCATCTATGTAAAGGCAACTGTTGCACTGAGCGGGGAGCTGAACAAGATGACCTTGAAGACTCCTTCCAAGAACCTCTGACTCTCCAGGAAGGCGGAGAGATGGGGATGGCAGGGGCATTGCTGTGGAGGACAGCTGAGCAGTGGGGGAACCCTGGGACACTTCTTGAGGGACGCAGCAGTGCACTGCCCCCCAACCTGAAGCTTAGAAACCTTCTTATCCACGCCAGGTAGCCTCTTCCCTCCCTCAGGGATAAAATAGGTGCCCATTTTCTTAGACACGCATTTTTCCCACCTGTCAGGGTCCTTGGGACTAAGAAGGACCACATCGCTTTCACTTTCTTCCTTCTTCTCCCAAGATGGTGAAGCTGAAGCTCTTCCGACTCCAGGAATCCTGGCCATACCCCCTCACCAGCAGCAAGCTTCTCTTATTCTCTAGGGCTCTGACCTGGACTCCAAGATAAATATTTAGTGTAGAGGGTGCAGCAGAGCTGACAAAGTTCCCCACTTCCTGTTTCTCACAAAGGGAGGTGGCAGCCATGGGTAAGGAGCTGGGGACTGGCTACCAGTTTCATCTCTATGGGAATCGGGCGTTGAGTAAACAGCTTTGCAGGAGGAGGCGGGGTAGGTCTACGGGAGACCTGAGCTTTCTTCCTGAGCCGCTTTGACTTCTGCCTGTCTACTTAGGCCTGGGCTCTGCCGGGTTTATCACCTCTCTCAGGTCAGAATCCACCATGTTCCGTGGTGCCCATCTGGCCTCACAGCCGAGAGGATGGGAGACAGTGGGCCACAGGGCAGGGAAAACATAAGGAAATTTGACTGATTCCTCCCTTTCTGCCCTTATCTAAAGAGAAGAATTCCTTCTCTTTGAAAAGTAGATTAAGGGGGGAAAAGTAGCAGGGTTTGGAGATTGAGCCAGGAACCAGGTGTCTGATTTCCCGACGCCTCCCTCTAGCGTCAGCTCCCCTTGCTGCCTCCACAGCTGGCACGGTTAGGGAGAGGCTGAGGCTGGGAAGATTGTCCTAGATAAGGCGGCTGGCCGGCTGGCTGTCAACAACAGAACAGATTCCTTTCCTTTCCAAATCCCACTGCACTCTCTCCTTTGCATGCACGACTCCCCTGTCTAAGAGGGGCCTCCCTCCCTGCAAGTCGCGGCTTCCCCACCTCTGGCACTGCCCTTTGTCAGGGGCTGCCTCTGCCTTCTCAGAGCCACCTGAGCCACAGTAAACACAGTTACATAACTGCCCTGTTTTCCCAGCTACCTGATCCCAGGCATCAGTATTCCCCGCTCAAGCCCTTGAGGCTGCACCTTTTGTTCTGTGGGTAGTCCCCAACATCACCGTCAACAGGGGTCTGTCCACAACCCCCACCCCCCTGCAGGGGAGGATTAGCCACGGGACTACCAGTAAATGTGGCTCTTCACAGGGAGGGGGAGAAGGCGGTGGAATGCGGGTCACTCTGAAAAGCAATCTCTGTCACCAAGGATGACAAATGAGGGGAAAGAGCACTGAAGTGAAGGCGGGGTGAGCGGGGTGGGCAGAGCACCCAGTTTTAGTTCTCAAGTGGGAAAAGGGAAGCCAGGGGTCCCAGAAGACATGAACCCGGACTCAGTTCTTGAGGAGCGCCTTGCTCTGGTGCTGGGAATCGGCAATTCAGATGAGTCACCCTCTGAGATCTACCCTGGGCAGCTAGGCGGCCCTAGCTCTGTGCCTCAGTACCCCCATGGAGATACAGGGCATCTGCTCTTCCTTTCTTCTCCTCCCCAGGGATGAACTTCAGGTGCTTTGAGTAGATTTTTTGGGGGGTTTTGCTCTCAGAATTCTGAGTGTTTTCTTCCTTCCTCTAAGCTGAGCAGTCAGACCAGAAGGGGTTAGCGCAGAAAGCACTGCCCGTTTCCAGCAGTTTGGACTTCTCTAGAAGGCCACAGTGACACAATGGTGAGGAATTGAAACCAAGTCACATGGACATACCAGCAGGAATCTGGACTATGTTTCATGCCCTGGGCTCCATCCCTTTCTCCTGGGTCCTCTGTTGATTCCTGCTCCTGCAAATGTTGCCAGCCAAGTTCTACTGATGGCCCTTTCCATGCCAACCACTCATGGGAACAGGAGCAGGCAGAAGAAGGGAGTGCAAATGACCCATTTTGGGGCTTCAAAGGGCCTCCTATGCTGACAATGGCATGACGTGGCTCATCTGGAATTCAAGATTTCTGGTAGAGTCACTGTAGAGTGAGGGATCTGAGTGAAAAAATACCCAGTACAGGTCAAGTATGATGGGTATTGGGGCCTGACAGCCAGGATGGGTGCATGGAACCCCATAGGAATAGCGAATTAGGCTCTCAGGCTTGCCTGGCACAGACCTTTCCATAGCACACGCATGATGTATAATGGGCATCTATTCTGGGTTCTCAGGGCCAATCTCCCAAAGGCTGCGGGAGAACTCAGCCGTTTGCCCAATTTATCCCGCCTGTCCTCAAGGAAGTTTTGATACTGACATCACATCCACGGCTGTTCTCTCTTCCTCTTTTCATGGATGAGCAAACAAGCACAATGCACAGACGGGGTGTCTTTGAGAAGAACTGAGCTGGGTGAACCTCTCTTAGTTCTCAGGAAAGATGAAACAAACAAGTGGCTGTCAGCTCTAGAAAGTAGATTTTATAAGGGAAGGATAAGTAAGTGATGACCTCAGAGGGAAAACCAAGCCAAGTCAACTCAGCCACAAAGGAGGGCACAGACCCAGGAGCTGGGAAATTAGGTCTGCATCAGCCTTCTTTCCCAGCTCAGGTAGACTGCGATGGGTAGGATAAGAGGGCTGATCTGTTGGCCCAGTGGATACCATAAAGTACGGCTCTGGCCTCCAAACAAAGAAGAACCTTGTCTTCCCACCTCCTTGAATTCTATGATGAACCTTCGCCTTAATAGCATCAACATTAAAAAGTCTGCTTCATTTACCATTAAATTATTCATCTACTGTATCAAAATTACATTTTCTTTCTAAAGCCTGAAAGTTGTGATAAAAAAAAAAAAGGCAAGACCATGCAATTACATGCAGCAGGCAACAAAGTGAGGAACAGATCTAGATGGAGCAACAGGTTAATATGAATTTGCATTGAAGTCCTTCATTTCCAGGCTATTAAAAATCTTTCCACAATTCCAGAAATATGGGCAAATCTTACCTAATTTTACTGAAGGTTTAGCTAAGGTGTAGGGACATTGCTACATCAGGATGCCACTGGGATAACAAAGAACCCAATGCTACTCAGCTTATTGGAAATTAGAAACCTGGGCCCGTTTTCTGGCCTGTAAACTGCACTGTGGCCCTTAATGTGGTTGTATTTAGTGTAAAAGTCACCTCACTTGGACCTGGCAGTGCTGGATTTAGCTTTTCTACCTCTACTGCCATAACCTGTAGAGTCCCCTCACTGACACACTTTCCTCTCCAGGGCCCTGGCTCTTTCCCTATCCCCAATTCCCCACTTGCCCAGGGGAGCTTGTTTTTCCTTGTGAATCCACAGCACCTCATGATATTTCTACTTTTCAGAGGCATGAAAAGGCTAGTCTGACACTTCCCGTTCTTGGTAGGCCAACTCCACATTCAAATCCTCTTTGGCTGCCTTGGCTTCTCCAAGATGGAATTCACCATGTCTATTATTAGGATCACATGCACAGTCATTAAATTACAAGAGTACAAAACTATTTTTATCCTTGGTAAACAATGTATGTTTTCTGGGATGTCTTTCTTCCTTTTCTTCAAGTAGTGGCCTCTATTGGAGAAGCTGCAGAGGGGGCTGGGACTTGGGTAAGAAGGAGGCCAGGGTTGGGGAGTGGATTCTGAGTTGGGAGAAACAGAAACACGTTGTGGCCAACCATAGCTGCTTTAAAATGAAAGGGCTGGAGAGACGAAAGAGAGAGGTCCTTTTTATTGTGATGGGATTCCCTCCCTTGGGAGGGGAATTCCTTGTTATCATCAGAGACCAGACCAGACATCAAAAGCCAGGCTTTCTCCTGGGGTCTGGAATTATTAAATGAGTAAAAGCCAAATATAAGTACCTCCACCAGGAAATACAGGAAATAAAGACACAGGGAGCCAATAAAGTTATCATTTAAGGGTGTTTTCTTCTTTTTTTAAATCTTAAGATTACCTCTAATTTATAGTACAAAAGTCCTAACAAATTAATTTCTTGTTCACAAAAAAGACATTAGATGATTTCGGCCAATAAGTAACATTTCCCTCGCCTTCTTTAACATAACTGAAAGCAAGAAAAAGTAGGCAATCTCTAAGCACAAGCAAATAATCCATCATTCAGAACCTTGAAAAAATATCACACCACCAACTGGTCTGACGTCTTGACCACCTCACCATTTAGGAAGGAATACTGGGGCCCCTTCTTGGAAAATGCCTGCTGACAGAACTATTGGGAAAAACAGCTATGGGGGTCACCATGCACTGAGAAAATAAAAGTTAGGGATTTACAGTGTCATCCTCAAAAAGTTCTGTGACAAAAACACATCTTTATTGCCCCAAATCAAGATCTATGACAGGCCTGCTCCTCATTACATGCATTTCATGTTAAGAGTATTTGGAGACATCTACGTCAAGGGAGTGAAGGAATGTGGGCAAGAACTTACTGGAAGGCAGTGTGCTTGGCCCTACTTCAGAGCTGCTCAGAGGGACAGTCCGCCTCCATGTCCTCACTTCTTAATCTTAAGCCACCTAGACTTGCCATGAGGGCATAGAAGAGGAGATGATGCATAACCCTGTCTCAGACAAAGGTGTTATTTAGCAGGTCTTGCCAAGGTGGCAGGGGCGTGAGGCCAAGGCCTCCCGGGAGGGAATATACTCTCCAGTATCATCTTTACCTTTGTGACTGCATAGATGAAGGCAGCTAACACTGACCCCATTCACTCTCGCTGGCTAGATATAGGCAGGTCAGGTCCCAAACCCCAATGTAATATAGGCTCCCTCTTTCACACTCTGTCAATGGCACAAAGCCCTATTGTTAATACAGTTCTCTACTCACACTCAAGATAAGAGTAAACAACACTGTCCTTCGACTACACAACTTTCTTCCTCTACACACATCTGCTCTGACAGCTTTCCTCCAGGCGTCTCATCACAGCAATACTGAAAGGGACTGTGGCAAGCCAGTTTTGGGACCCGTCCTCCAGGTAACCCGACCCTCCTCAATCCACTGCTGGGCCTTCCTAGGCTGTCCTTTACTCACCTTCTAGCAGGTCTCAGAAAAGATGTGGACCCGGTGCCAGACAAGGTGGAAGCCATGGTTATAACCACAAACAATTTAGGAAATTGGAGCCCATACCCACAGATGGGCCCTGGGTTCACCCTCCCTCTGCCATCTTTTCTGCCTGGGCAAGGAAAGCTGGGTAATGCTTTAGGAGAAACTTGGGTTCCACTGTTACTATAACAACTAGAATAAATATTGGGGATTCTAGAATGGTACCTCAACAAGTCTTTATGGCTTAGGAAATAATTTTCAATGCAGAGATCAGAGAGAAAAACCCAATAATTAATAAAAAGAAAAATTATGAAATCAACCAATCTAGGGCAAGCTCTTCCTAAACCAATTTAATTGATTGGTCACCCAGATTGGTCAGGATGAAAATTCTTTTTTTTTTTTTTTTTTTTTTTTGAGACGGAGTCTCGCTCTGTCGCCCAGGCCGGACTGCGGACTGCAGTGGCGCAATCTCGGCTCACTGCAACCTCCAACTCCCTGGTTCAAGCAATTCTCCTGCCTCAGCCTCCCCAGTAGCTGGGATTACACGCATGTGCCACCACACCCAGCTAATTTTTGTTATTTTTAGTAGAGATGGGCTTTCACCATGTTGGCCAGGATGGTCTCGATCTCCTGACGTTGTGATCCACCGGCCTCAGCCTCCCAAAGTGCTGGGATTACAGGTGCGAGCCACCGCGCCCAGCTTGGATGAAAATTCTTAAAAGGTTAAACTTTATAGATATGGTACAGTTGAAAATTTTGGAGATCAGCTACCATATTTACATAAAATAGGGCAGGGTAGAGGGAGCAGATTTTAGCTTTACTCATTCTGAGGCTGGAGAGACTCCTGAATAATGACCATGAACAGCAAGTCCAGCTGTGTCTCATGCAGGCATGGCTTATAATATTTTTCCTATAGAGATCAGCTGTGCCTCAAACCGTGTGTTTTTAAAGCACTCAGAGGGAAGAGGATCTAAGGGACAATGCCAAAAGGCAAAAAAGGCCCCGAAATTATCCAATTTTTAAAAATCTTCCCTTGCTCCTTAATGACATTCAATAATAGTCTATTGACAAAACAAATAAGGGTTTCTCTGTTCCTATTTTGAACAATGTCAGGAAATCATCCCTAAGTTATCAGGATGGCAAAGAAAGCTAATCTTAAGAAGGCAAATCTTTGCTATTGAGAGAAACTTGCTTCATTGAATTGTTCATGGAAGAACCAAAAAAGGCAATGAAAGACATAAAAAATACTGATGTTCCTGGAGAGGCTGAGTCTTTTACTCCTAGGCAAGGAGCAGTATCAAGCTCATCAGAGTGTGATAAGCAATTCTTACCTTGCCAATCAATATCCAGTCACAAAAGACCAGCAAATCAGCAATGCCTCTACTTGTAACCAAAGTGTCACCTTGAGAGTTTAAGGAAAACGGAGGCTATTTTTGTTTTATCATTCTATTAAAGAAACACACACACACACACACACACACACACACACACACACACCCCCTTGGCTTATTGTTTTGCTTTTGCTCTAAACATTCAGAACACGGAAATAAAAAAAGGATATATGTTTTGAACTTACATTAGATGAGTTTTCAAATTTGTAAAAGAAATAATCATCTGATCGATTTAAATGTCCTGTGATATGTATGTCACTAAAAGTGAGAAACCTGGTCCATGTGAAGCATCATTTTCAAAATGGCATTTCAGAAAAGTTTACAAAGGAGTCCTGACATGCCTGAGGAATTGTTTTGTTTTTGTTTTCCTAAATGGGAGAAGTTGCAGAAAAAGAAGGTCCCTGTGGGCCTTCCACAAGGAAGGTCCTGTGAAGGAAAACACAATGTAACTGTTTCCAGTATCTTTAGCACACACAGGGGGAAACATTCAATAAAACAGAAGAGACTTTGAAAACACCAAAACTGCAGAACTTTGACAGCAATTAAAATGTCTGTTTAATCATGGCCCTAGACAGGAAAAGTAGTCTTCGAGCAAACCCAGGGCAGGGTCCAGCCATCTTGGAAGTTGTTGTTTACATTAAAACAGCTACAGAACGGAAGGGATAACTTTATCTTTAGAATTCAACCGAATTTTCAAACTTAACCTCCTCTAAGAGTTAGTGCTGCTCTAAAACTTACTCAGGTTTTCTTGAACCAGGACCACCTACCTCTCTACTCTGGCTGATTCCTCCACAGCTCAGAGGGAACCAGTGAAATACTGTATATAATTTTGTGATGGTTCTGTCAAGGAAACTTGCTTTATCATTCTGCTTTTTGAGACAATAGTGAAGCCATTCCTAAATAATCATCCGTAATAAAATATTATTTTTTGCTTATAAGGATTTACAGTAACTATTTCTACTACTGCCTGCTTATGGAGGCCCCTAAGAGTGGTTTCTACCTGTGGATTGTATATATGTAACAGCCTTAATGAAAAGGAGAAAAGGGATAAGGTACTAGCAGCTCTGCAGTCTGTCACATGGAATGACTTTCATCAGTGAAATTTCCAAAGACAGGATCTTTTCTAATCCTGGGATTGGAAAAGAAAGGAGCATAAGGATATCTAGGTGCTTAATACCCGATTTGAGTTCAACAACAATCAGGAAAAGACAGTTACTAGAGACTTTTCCCCCCTTCTTTCACAGGTTTTACTCACAACCCATTCAGAGATCCTTTATCTCCTTCCTATCTTTTTATTAATGGAGCAATCTATGCAGGCAGATTCCATTCCCTAAGAGTGCCTTGATTTCTGCCATAAACAAATCAGAAACTGTTAGAAAAAAAGGTATAGGAAAACAGAGATAGATGGGCTAAGTCTTCATTCTTCTAATGAGAAGTATGGTTTTTTGGGGAAAAAAAAAAACACCACCAAAATTATGTTGTTCTTTGTTTTTCTGGTTTCCTGGAAACTCCCAATATGAAGTATTACTGTCTGAAATACTTGCTTTAGTGCTAGACTGCCGCATCACAAATGACACTAAGGAATGCCATAAATGTGCACGTTCCATGCTCTGATGTAATGTTCCCAGGCATGTACATTCACTGCAGAGCTGACCAATGACTATTATGACACGGCTCCTGCGATGAGGCTAGTTAAAATGGGAGCCTAAGTAGCCCCAAAATTTCCTTCACTAGTTGGTTGTGACTTGAAAATCAAACTAAGGGAAGATAATTCACACACTACATCTGAACACTTGCTTTTCGCATTCCAAAATATGCTAATGAAGGCTGAAATACCATTCAACCTAAAGAGTAACTGATATAGAAGACAGGAAATCCTCACTTATCCAATGTTCTTTAGCAAGACCTTCAATTCACAAGGGGACCATTGAACTCTTGTCAGTTTCTACTACCCCAGCTGGTTTCAGTAATACTGACAGGGAACAACAGAAGGATGATGGGAAGGCACATGCGAGAGCTGATGCCAACAGCCTAGAAGGGCATATATACATCTTGTTGTAGAAGGTGCTGCTGAGGGCATTTATCAAATATTTAGAAAGTGACTTCCTTTACAGAAGTCACCTGGGGTTCAAAAATGAAAGTAAAATAATCTGGCAATTGTGAAAGCTTTCTGAAAATCTTTCTCCTCCAAAGTCCTAAGGAAATTTAAACCAATCATGCCCATGGTCAGATGAACAGATTTTAAGTAAATCTAAGAACATCCCTTATTATTTTTTATTTTGTTTACTAGAACATATTTAAACGAACTGAGAGTCCAGAGAAAGTAGGTTATTATAGAAAACATTTCCCTTCGCCCTTAAAATCACTGGATTTGGGTTATTCACTTTGAAGTTCTACTATGATCCAGTTTCCCATCAAAAGGGAAGCACTTTTAGCCACTGAAATCTAAGAGGACTTTCTTCAATGGCACCCAGCAGAAAAGGAAAAAAATGAAAAGGAAAAAAATCTTCTTGCATTTGAAACGTTATTAGTCTTACATGAAAGACATTACCTTCCAAAAAACAATAATGAAGACTGACTAGTTCAAGTCAGAAACCCAGGTTTGAGGTTTCCAAGGCCCTTTTATTAGGGGAAGTTCCCCTTTATAGCACAAGACTTCACAAATGTGTTGACAACAATCAGATTCATTTCTTAAAATTATGGAGAAAAAAGGGAAAAACAAAACAGATGCACTTTTTATATATATTGAACATAAATTAAAAGAATTTATAAAACAGCCACCTTTTTACAGAATAAATGCAGACTGAATTATAAATGCACCTCCACGTTGAAGTTGTTTTGAGTTGCTTTTCATTTTCCAATAATAAATAAATAGAATTTGTTCTTGAGTTTTAGATCCACCTGAGCCACGGCAGGACTCTAAGTCATGAATGGGCTTTCTTCCCTTGGTCGCTCCTGTGCGCAGCATGTGAGTGTGCTGAGGTTACAGATTTCATTGGCCCACCAGCGTGTATGCTATCCTTTCGGGGTGGCATTCGCTCATTAATTCGGTCCAGACCTCGCGCTTCTTCAAAACTCCGGATCTTGTGCTGAAGCGAGAACCCTCTGATGGCTACAGAAAAACAGGAAGCAGGTGGAGAGAGCTCAATTAGGCAGCAAAGCAACAGGCTTAAAAAAAGTTTCTTAGCACACAGCAACCTCCTAGAGAAACACACAGAAAGGTGGCTATGGAGCACACGTCTAGTGAAAGTCATGGGCAATGTCTGACTGAATCAGTCTTGGCTGCAGCTACTGCTTCCTTAAAGCCCAAAGGGCAGCTGAAATTGTGAAAGTAATTTTCATAAAAGCTCTATATGCATAATCATGGTAGACATATACCTAACAAAAAGCTAACAAGTACTTACTGGGCCCCAGTACCTTTAAGAAAGAGTGTCTTATGCACCAGAAACATACTCAATGCTAGAACAAAGGCAACACTAGAATAATTGAACAAGTTAAACCCAGGGTAGTTGCTTTTCGCACAAAGGCCACATAGACCACAAAAAAAAGTAACAAAAGAGCTAATCTTTTCGTTTAGGACAGCTTTCTATCTTGCACAACCAGGAGCTGTACATAAGTTAAAAACTTAAAAATAGCTTCTACATATTTTCCTTCCGATTCAACTTTTATAACACCAAGTTAAGGCATTCGCGTTTTGAACCATCTTACCTAATAAAACAATTACAAGTATAATACAAGTTTATCAGTTCCAATGGTTTTCATAGAAACAAAGTTAATTTAACTTGCCTACCTTAGGGCAACCTCAGAAATGAATTGAACTAAATTCCAGTCTACTTCTGCCTCTGCTCTTGAAATCTTTTAGAATCGCTGAAGAGGCTGACCTATTTGGCTCTCTTGAGAATCAAATGGATGTCTCTTGTACATGGAAGGGATACAGAAGTAAACCACTTGACCTCTCATGACCAGTTGCTTAAGCTTCTGCCGTTGCATTAAAGCTGATAGAGCCCAGAAAAAAAACTGTAGCTGTGGTGAAGGTTATTTAAAATTAATGCAAAGATAGGACACAAAGGAAACACCTGCTTCGTTAACATGCCTAGAAACAACTATACCTTTTCTCACTGTTATAGTTCTGGTGATGCAATAATAAAATATTTGAAATGTTGATAAAGCTTCGAAAAACCAGTACACAGACACATGGATCACATCTATCAGAGTAATATGGCCATACCTTCCCGGGCCTCTACCGCTTCTACTGTGGCTGTAAGAGGGCAGGAGCAGTAGCATGCAAAAACGAAGACAGAAAAAGAGTGAGTAAACCAACAGCACTGATGGCAGCACAGCCATCCCAGGGGCCCGTTTTTTAGCCTATCCCCATCCATAATGAAAGTCAACTAGTTAGAGAAGCGAGAAGATTATTGCGAGAGACTCAATTGGGGTGGGAGGAATATGGGGTGGGGGAGAGTTTCTAATATTTTTAACATTTCAGGTGCCATGGAACATTGCTCTTTTCATTTTAGGTAGCCAACTGCTACTTTATATCTTGATATCCACGTATCGAAACAACATGTAGAATCAAATAGTTTGACATCACAACAATCCTTAGTTTGTAAAATATCTCAGGTGATATTAAATGAGCTACTGCTGGGTCCTATTCAAAAAGCTTATTTACAACTACATCTTACTGCTCTCAAGTGACTTATTTGGAGTCCAACTGCCCTATTAATTACTTCATTTAAAAAAAAAAGAGTGGCCTTTGAACAGCAGACTGGCATTTGGAAGGAGAGAAAAATAGGTTCCATGTGAAGGGTTATTTCTTGTCCAGGAGTGGAGTACAAAGCTAACAAAAGCATAGAACTATTGAATTCCTAATGCAAATGTGTGTACCCATCTGCTATAAAAATATAGCAGAGGCTAATGTTTCCAATCCATATGGCTTCCATACAGTGTTCAAGAGAGTTGGCCAGTAACTAAGAAAGCCCTCTTCTTTCTTAGCAATGGAAAAGGAAGCAACTTAAAAATTAGTACCAACAGGTAAACTTCCTTGCATCTCCTTTCTCAGACAGTAAAAACGCTAATATATGAAAAGGTACAGGGTGCCACAAGAAAGATCCTATTAGGAGAACCCTGTCAGTTACTCCAGTACCAATTTGCCAAAAGAAGGCAGTGAAGAATAATGAGCAGTAACAGTTTGCTGCTATTCCCAAGGCTTTATATATCAATATGAGAAGAGAAACTGAAAGAACTACATTAACTACCTAATGGAATGTGAAAAATGGATAACTGAAATCTACTTATGAAGTGCTTTCATTTGTCAACCATAGGCAGGCATGTATTAAATCACTGTCACACCCTCTCTAATCTCCTTAAGTAGAACAAATACCCTTGACAAGAAAGCTACAGTGCCTTCTCACAGCACATCACTGATGTAACTGTTAGGAAGTGGGAGAACAAAGCATTGCTGAAACTCTACACTGAGTGTTGGTCTAATTAGAGCTTAAAAGCTACACGGTAAAATGTGTATGATATTACCTTGTTTGGGGCCCTCCCAGAATTGCTATTCACATTGGGTATAAAGATAGCAGCCTGCAGTAAGGGCCATTATAAGAAACAGTCATATCAAATGACCCGAACTTTTGTTTTCCTTTTTAACATCTTAACTGAAATAGAATTCATATACCACAAAACTCACTTGTTTAAAGTATACAAGTCAATGGTTTTAATATAGTAGAGCTGTGCAACCATCACCACAATCTGTGCTTAGAATATTTTCATTGCCCCAATGAGAAATCCCCCACTTATTAGCACTCACTTCCCATTTCCTTCCCTCACCTCTTCCCCTTAATCCTGGTTGAACACGAATCTACTTTCTCTCTAGATTGGTCTGTTCTGGACATTTCAAATGAGTGGCATCATATAATATGTGGTCTGTAGTGACTGACTTCTTTCACTTAGCATAATGTTTTCAAGGTTCAGTCATGTTGACATGTATACCTGCATTTAATTCCTTTTTATGGCTGAATAGTATTCCATTGCGTTTACCACATTTTGTTTATCCAGTTTATGGACAATTGCTTTTTTCTGCTTTTTGGCTATTATGTTGAATGCCATTTATGAACATTTGTGTACAAGTTTTTGCGAGGACATATTTTCATTTCTTTGTGGGGTATGTAGCTATGACTGGAATTGCTGAGTAATAAGTCAATTCTATGTTTAATCATTTGAAGACCTGTCAGAATGTTTTCCAAAGCAGCTGTACCATTTTACATTTCCACCAGCAGTGTTAAGAAGGTCCCAATTTCTCCACATTCTCATCAACACTTCTTATTAACTGCTGTCTTTTCACAGCCATCCTACTGACTGTGAAGTGGTATCCCATTGTGGTTTTGATTAGCATTTTCTGAATGTCTAATGATGTCAAACATCATTTCATGTGCCATTTGTATGTCTTCATGGGAAAAATGTCAATTCAATTCTTTACCCATTTTTAACTGGGTTGTCTTCTTATTCAGTTGTAAGAGTATATTTTCTAGATACCAATCTCTTAGGAGATATATGATTTGAAAACATTTTCAACCATTCTGTGGGATGTCTTTTCATTTTCTTGATAGTACCATTTGCAGTACAGAGTTTTTAATTTTGATGTAGTCCAATTTATAACTGATCTGTTTTAATCTGATGGTCTTTGTGAATCTTGTCCTGTCCTTGGCTTTCCCCACTATTTTGGCTACTGGGATGCTTAGAGTCAAATTTGTGGCTATTGGCTTTATTTTTATTTACCTTTGTGCTTCAATTTCCAAGCATATTTATTTTACTCCACTATGTTTCATGTATACTGTAACTCACGCCAATCCCTCTTAGATCAAGGTGAGACATACATGAATGTATGTTACATGGCCATATGGGATACTGTTGGTTGAAAGCTCTCCAAGTTAAGTTATATGAACAATAAAAGGTCTTTTTTAGTTAATGCTCCAGTTAGCCAATGAGCTGGTGGAACTGAGACTCCAATGTGAAAATAACAAAATAAACTCACTTCCTGTGAATCAATAAGAATAAGAAACTCTAAAAAGTTGGCTCCAACTTTACCTTTGTTCTCACACATTACTGAAGATTTCTATCAACTTTGGAAGTATCAATCAATGGTCCTATCTTGATTAAAACACTCATATTCAACTCATACTTTGGGGCTGAGCCCAAAAGGTGACCAAGAATTAGAAACAAATTTCCAAATAACATAGCTATATAATTCTGTTGCTCAGCCCTGATTTGCAGATTTGCTTTCTCAAGGTTTAGACAAAGTTGGTTTCAATTAAAACAATTTTGTGGATCAGCAAATTTTCATAATGTTTACCTAAGGATGCTATAGGACATTCCTTTTTTTCTCTTAACTCATGTTACTGCCTATTACTCTATCTTTGTTGTCAGAGTTGCTCTCGGAATATCTCAGATGACTAATTACCAAGCAAAGCAATGGTGGGAACATATTCTGCTCACAAAAAACTGCACATTTATTTGAGAAAAATATTCAATCGGAAATAGTTTACTGATACTTTCTGTGAAACTAAAGGAACTAGGAAAATAAACTATACTTCCAAAGAGAAAATGTTCAGACTTCCTTCTAAATAGCTGAACTCTAATATCTCAGTATTCTATTTGAAAGAGAAGGAGGAATTCAATCTTATAAAAAGAAAAAAGGGCTGGGCACGGTGGCTCACGCCTGTAATCCTAGCACTTTGGGAGGCTGAGGCGGGCATATTGCCTGACCTCAGGAGTTCCAGACCAGCCTGGGCAACATGGTGAAACCCCATCTCTACTAAAATATAAAAAATTATCCGGGCATGGCGGTGTACGCCTGTAGTTCCAACTACTTGGGAGGCTGAGGCAGGAGAATTGCTTGAACCTGGGAGGCGGAGATTGCAGTGAGGCAAGATCGTGCCACTGCACTCCAGCGTGGGCAACAGACCAAGACTCTGTCTCCAAGAAAAGAAAAAAAATGGGTTTGTCCCTGTTAGTCAATAGCAATGAAATTTCTACAAAAGAAAAAGGACTCCTATAAATGGCAGGATGGCCAGGCACAGTGGCACATGCCTGTAGTCCCAGCCACTCGAGTAGCTGAGGCAGGGGGATTGCTGGAGCCCAGCAACCGGGCGCTGCCATGAGCTATGACAGTACCTAGCCATTACATTCTAGCCTGGGCAACTCTGTCTCTTGGGAAAAAAAAAGAAAAAGAAAAAAGGCCAGATGAACGATGAGGTGGGAAAAAAACTAAATAGAAACAATTCAACAAAACAAGGGGAGCAAAAAAAGCAGTTAAACTTTAGTTTAAGATATTAATGCTTCAATACCAATTTTCATACCTAGTGTTAGTCACCCAGTAATATGATCTCCTGTCTCTTCCCCTTGCATGTTTATTCTCACGAACATCAACCTTTTCATTCCGGGATTCCAGAAAGCCCTTTCCTAAGAAGTCAGCTCCTGGGTAAATTTCAGAATTGGTACTCTGATTGAAGAGGTGATTTTGGCACTGGAATAGAATATGGCTGCAGGGAAAGAGGCAAACTCCCTCTCTGATTGAGAAACTGCAACCCCCTCAAACTGTTTTCTTTAAGGTACAAAATATACACGAGGCACAGCAGGTGCACAAATCTGAAGTGTACAGCTCAACACATTCTTACATAAGTATACGCATGTCTAACTACCACCATGATAATGATACAGAACATTCCTAACACTCTAGATGTTCCCTGTGCCCTTCTGGGACAATATTCTCCCACCAGAGGAAGTGACATTCTGACTTTATTATCACTGATTAGTCCAATGGTTCTTAAATATTATATAAATCAGACAGTCTGTGCTCTTTTATGTCTGGCTTTTGCAGTTTTCTGTAATGTCTATGAGATTCAACCATGTTGTAGCATGTGTCCATAATGTGTTATTTTTTATTGCTGAGTATTATTCCATTGTATAAATAGAATACAGTTTATTTATTTATATTTCGGAATACAATTTATTTATGTAGTCTGCTACTGATGGACATCTGGGTTGTTTCCAGCTTTGAGCTATTATGAATAAAGCTACAGTGAACATTCCCATGCATAACCTTTGGTGAACACATCCAGTTTCTCTTGGATATACACCAGGTGTGGAACTGCTGGGTTACAGGGTAGACATATGTTTAGCTTTACTGCCCAGTAGTTTTCTAAAGCGCTTGAATCAATTTACAAGCCCTTTAGCAACATACCTAGTACTAGTTCTCCACAAACACACCAATACTTGGTATTGTCAGACTCTTTTTTTTTTTTTTGGAGACAGGGTCTCGCCCTGTTGCCCAGACTGGAGTGCAGTGGCACAATCATAACTTACTACAGCCTCAAACTCCTGGCCTCAAGTGATCCTCCCACCTCAGCCTCCCAAAGTGCTGGGATAACAGGTGTAAGTCACCATGCCCTGGCCCAAACTTTTAATTTTTAGCCATTCTAGTGGGTATGTAATGGTACCTCACTGTGGTGTTTGTTTTTTTTTTTTTTTTTGAAACAGTCTTGGTCTGTGATCCGGGCTGGAGTGCAATGGTGTGATCTTGGCTCGCTGCAACCTCCACCTCCCGGGTTCCAGTGATTCTAGTGCTTCAGCCTCCTGAGTAGCTAGGATTACAGGAGTATGCCACCATGCTCAGCTAATTTTTGTATTTTTAGTAGAGGTGGGGTTTTGCTGTATTGGCCAGGCTGTTCTTGAACTCGTGGCCTCAAGAGATCTGCCTGCCTCAGCCTCCCAAAGTGCTGGGATTACAGGCGTGAGCCACCGCTCCCGGCCCTCAGTGTGGTTTTAATATCTATTTCCTAGATGAAAAACTATAATAATATTAAGATCTTTTCATATGTTTATTGGTCACTTTGGTTTTTTTTGAGATGGAGTCTCACTCTGTCGCCCAGGCTGGAGTGCAGTGGCGCGATCTCGGTTCACTGCAACCTCCGCCTCCCGGATTCAAGCAATTCTCCTGTCTCAGGCAACCGAGTAGCTGGGATCACAGGTGCCCACCACCACACCTGGCTAATTTTTCTATTTTTAGTAGAGACGGAGTTTCACCATGTTGGCCAGGCTGGTCTCGAACTCCTGACCTCAGGTGATCCGCCCGCCTCGGCCTCCCAAAGTGCTGGGATTACAGGCGTGAGCCACTGTGCCAGGCCTATTGGCCACTTTGATATCCTCATTTGTGAAGTGCCTGTTTAAATCTTTTGACCATTTTTGAAATTTGTTTTTTCCTATTGATTTATAGTTCTTTATATATTCTGGATACAAGGGCTTGGTGAGACGTGTATTGCAAAAAATTTTCTTCCATTTTGTGTCTTGCCTTTTTCCTCTCTTAATCATGTATTTTTAAGAAGAGAAGTTCTTTATTTTAATGAAATTCAACTGGCTTTTTAAGGTTAGTACTTTTTGTGTCCTACTTAAGGACTCTGTCTACCCCAGTGTCTACTCTCCATACTTTCTTCTTGTTTTACTGTTTTGCTTTTTACACTGAAGTTATAATAAGCCATTCTGATTTAGGTTTTCTGTATGGAGGGAAGTAGGGGTGAAGATTCATTTCCCCGCTTATGGTATAACCAACTGCTCTCGTGGCATTTTCTGAGGAAAGCCCCCATTTGTAAGTGTGTGCTGACTGTTAGGTAACGGGAGCACACCTTCCATGGAGGAGCACTCTCATACTCACCTGTCTCGATAGTCTGCTTGCCTCCTGAGAGGACGCCCAGAGGGAGTGTGCCTGTGGGAGTCAGGCCCTTGAGAGTCAGCACACTCTCACTTTCTTGCCTGCAAAGGGAGACCAAACCCTGGGTTAATGCCCGAGAACTCTCCATTCAGCAACTTAAAGATATTGAAGGAAGTGAAGAAAGACAGCAGAGATGGAAGATAGGTTCTCCTACCTCCTACGCCTTCCCTGACTCAAAGAAAGGGATGTTTTCCACAAATATTTTCATTTTAAACAATCAGCCAGTTCTTGTTTTTCAATTAGAAGTGTTTAACAGCCAGGCACTGTTCTAACATTTCCCATATTGTATCCCATTTAATACACCTAACAACCTGTGCGCTAGGGCCTATTATTACTTTACAGGCAAGGAAACTAAGGCACAGAGATGAAACCCAAGATCACACAGGTAAGAAGAGGTAGAGCCAGAATTTGAACACAGGCAATCGGGTTGGAAAGTCCACACTAAACCACTACATTCACTACATCTAAGCTACTAACAAATCAATGTTTGCTGGAACATTTTTAGTCGCTTAAACATGTTCATTGAATTTGCACTCAACCTAAAGACCTGCAGTTTCAATACTACATTCCAATTATAAAAAAACTGTTCTGAATTCGACGTCTAATTTACTCTCAAAATGCCTTTAATCCGCACTGTAATGACAGACATCCTTACCGAAGAATTGAAAAGACCCGTGCCATCTTCCCAATGGCTCTGATCTTATTCCTGATGATCTCCTTACGAACTGTAGTGCTTCCTTAGAGAATACAAAGAATAAGTAAGTTAAAGGGATGTGTTAATAGGCTGCCTTTAAAAAATTCAGGATGAAGTGTCTTAAGTTAAAGAAACAATTGTTTTTAAAAAACAGAAATGAAGGCTTAAGTTTGTTTAAACAAACAAAAATCTCAGGAAGTTCTAAGGAGCAAGAGAAAAAATGACTCAGAAGATAAAAAGATGAAGTAAAAAATGAGAGGCCACAAAAAAGACAGACTGGGTGGATCTATGAGAGGTAGGAACTTATTTGTGGTTGTGAAACGTAGAGCACAGCAAAGAATAAAACACACACATACATAAACAAACCTCACAAAGAAAGCTGCTACAGCAAAGATGTCTTTTGATAATGCTGTGGGCCACCTTAGGGTGCAGGGTTCGGCCTGCCAAATGGCAAGTGATCATTCCAGCAGCTGTCTTCTGTATGTAAACACAACACCCAGCTAGCTCTCCTGAACTTAGTGAGGGCTGCTTTCATTCTATAAGCTTCACTTATATTAGTGAGTTATTGCCTCACGATACTACTTACAACTGTGCACTATTTTAAAAAGCAACAACAGAAAAAGTTAACTTAAGACTTTATGGCTTTTTCTTATCTAAGATTCTGAAAATAGCCCACACATGAGAAGCCAAGGTCCAGCATGCACCAGGTGACTACAGTCAAAAGTCAGAAAAAGAAACATGGCCTCTCCTTCCTCACATCCAACCCTCAGCACCCTGCCAGATCACGCAACAGGTCCAGAGAAAACATATACATTAAAACTGAAGGGGCGGATGGAGAGCCTTTCTGAAATTATTCAACTACCAATTTTAAGTCTAACCAATAGACTATGGTGGGACAGAGAGTAAGCATTAAGCTCTTAGCACAGTTTAGTCGGATACCTTTCTGATAGCTTGGAATGTAGTGATCTTCAGGGAGAAGAAACACCAAGAAACAAGGAGATGAAGACAGAAATATGAGAAGAGAAATTTATGTTTACATGGAAAAGAGAAAAAAAAATCAAAGTGAAATGCAATGAGAGAAACAGGCTATTATCTTTACCAGCTCATAAGAGATATCCTTGGAATCATGATACAACATTAAATTGCAAATTTATTTTGTCAGTAGTTTCTTCCATTTCTTAAAAGTTTATGGTTTTACATTAATTCACATCTATGAGCATCCAATATTTTCTAACCCCACAGATCATGAAAATAACATTAAACAAAGATATTATTTGCAGAATAAATGATGCCAAAAACAAGGAACAAAAACGGAGGACAGAACAGTTTACAAATCTCTTCACAGGAATAGTATGTTTTTTTGTTTAATGGATTCTATAGCTTCTCTTTCAGGGGATATAATTGTTCTTCCTTTTTTTTTTTTTTTTTTTTTTTTTTTGAGATGAGTCTCGCTCTGTCGCCAGGCTGGAGTGCAGTAGTGCGATCTTGGCTCACTGCAACCTCCGCCTCTCAGGTTCAAGCAATTCTCCTGCCTCAGCCTCCCGAGTAGCTGGGACTACAGGTGTGTGCCACCACACCCCAGCTAATTTTTGTATTTTTAGTAGAGATGGGGTTTCACCATGTTGGCCAGCATGGTGTCGATCTCCTGACCTCATGATCCACCTGCCTCAGCCTCCCAAAGTGCTGAGATTACAGGCGTGAGCCACTATGCCCGGCCCATTCTTCCTTTTTATTTATTTATTTATTTATTTATTTATTTTTATGTTTGTGGTGGGAAAGAATAGGAAATATATGTGTTTCTGTTTGTTTGTTTGAGACAGGGTCTCCCTCTGTTGGCCAGGCTAGAGTGTAGTGGCAAGATCTCCGCTCATTGCAACCTCTGCCTCCCAGGTTCAAGTAATCCTCCCACCTCAGGCCCCCAAGTAGCTGGGACCAGAAGCACTCGCCATCACATCTGGTTGATTTCTGCATTTTTAGTAGAGATGGGGTTTCACCATGTTGCCCAGGGGGATATTCGGTTTTTCTTTTGTTTTTCACTTGGCTGCACTATTTCCTCAAGAAGAACTGGTTCCTTGTAGTCATCTCCTATACCATAAATAAAAACACTCGCAAGCTATCTTGCATATGCTGTTGATCTTCAGTGCGGAACCTGAAGCATGAGTGCAGAACCTGAAGCATGAGAGTGTATGGTAATTTCCTCTAGATTCCCAAAGGGAGTTGTGTTTTCTCCACGATGGAGATGGTTTATCCTCACAGTTAAGGGAACCACCTTAGCACAGAGCCTGGATAGGATGAGGCCGGTTTGTGCTTGGATGACCACCACTTTTCCAGAATCTCTTGCATTGTCAGACAAGTCAGGACCTACCTTTATAATCAAACCTCCCACAGCACACTAGGAAAAAAAGTACTTGGCTACATATATAATAAAATGTTACTGTATAAAAAGATCCCTCACACACCAATAAGAAAAAAATCAAAATGGGGCTGGGCATGGTGGCTCATGCTTGTTAATCCCAGCTCTTTGGGAGACCGAGGCAGGCAGACCACTTTGAGCTCAGGAGTTCCAGACTAGCCTGGGCAACATGGCGAAACCCCATCTATACTAAAAATACAAAAATTAGCTGGTCATGGTGGCACGCGCCTATAATCCCAGCTACTCGTGAGGCTAAGGCAGGAGAATCGCTTGAACTCGGGAGGTGAAGGTTGCAGTGAGCAGAGATCGCGCCACTGCACTCCAGCCTGGGTGACAGAACAACACTCTGTCTCAAAAAAAGGATAGAAGATATGAATTGACAAGTCACAAAAGAGAGATAAACATTGCCAACAAACACAAGAAAAAATTGTCCATTAGTCTCATAAAAATATAAACTAAAAATTTAATTAAAAACTTAGTAACACCAGACTATAACAAGTATCATAAACAGTATTGGAGACAGCACTGTGACTATGCATCCTGCAAAATGTAAAGTGGTACAGCCTTTCTAGAGGCTGTATCAGAAATTTCTATCTGTATCAGAATTGTAATTTTAAGTACTAATTGACACAGATATTCAATTTCTACAAATTCATCCTATGGAAATAATCAAGAAGTGTTATTCCTGATTTTCTAATATTGCTTTACTTCCTTTCATCTGACATATTTATTTACTGTTTTTCCTCCCTACACTAGCAAATAAGCTTATTGAGAGCAAGGACCTAAACAATACAGTACTTGGTATATATCAAGCATGTAATAAATATTGGTTAAGAGAATGTGCACATTTTTATCTAAACAAATGTTCAAAACTATATGGGTTTTGTCGGCAAAAACTTGGGAAAAACTCCAATAACCAACACCACCGGGATTAGTTACAACACTGATCAACATGGACAACTACAGATCCATTAGAAACTAGTCTACAAAGAAACTCCACAAAAATAGTGTACTACAGAGGAAAGCTATGTGCAAAGATAAAAGACAATTAACACAGTATACATTAAGATGTTAACTGTGGATATCTATAAGATGATGGGATTATGGGTGACTTTTTTTCCTTATTTATGGTTTCTCGTATTTTTCAAATTTTATTTTTCTACAATGAACTAACTTTATTTTTAATAAGACAAAGAAAATCATTCAAAATAAACTAAAACAACTAAAACCAAAACCAAACCTCTTTCTAGTTTTAGTTCAAAGGAGGAAAAGTTTACCTTCTGCTTCATCATCAGAAATCAGTTCGTCATCAGAGCATATGTTGAGCACATTTACCAGCATCTCTGTGACTAAGTAAGACAAAATAATCCAAAATTTACGCGATTAATGAGGTACTTTCTCTAAAATAATGTGGATATCTAAATAAACACACATGTTAAGTAAGCATAAGCAAAAATTATTTATCATTATGTTAGTAAGAATAGCTATAAAAAGTAGCATAAATGTAAACTTTCAGGTTTAAAAAGAATTTGGGTAGATTACTTGCTCCAGTAAAAGTCTGGAGTCTTTGAAGATCTATTGCCTAATTACTTGATTTTACCGGATTGCTGTTCAGAGCTTCTTCCCACACTGATACACACGTGAGAAAATTTTTTTCCCACTTTACAAAGTTAAGCCAACAGGCCTACGTCCAACAGGCTTAGCTAATTTGAGTAGCTGTACAAATAAAATTGTAAGGACAATAAATTCTGTTTAAATCTCTTCAGTACTGAAGAAATCTGAGGGAATGACAAGTAACTATGTTATTTTAACATCTTGATCATAGTAGGTCAGCTACTTTAAATTGATATTTACAATAAAAAAACCATAATATATTAAAATTTAAGAACCAATTACATGCCATTTACAAATCTATGTAGAGGCTGGGCACGGTGGCTCACACCTGTAATCCCAGCACTTTGGGAGGCTGAGGAGGGCGGATCACTTAAGGTCAGGAGTTTGAGACCAGCCTGGCCAATATGGTGAAACCCTGTCTCTACTAAAATGCAAAAATTAGCCGGGTGCAGTGGCACGTGCCTATAATCCCAGCTCCTCAGAAGGCTGAGGCAGGAGAATTGCTTGAACCTGGGAGGCGGAGGTTGTAGTTAGCTGAGATCGTGCCACTGCACTCCAGCCTGGGTGACAGAGCGAGACTCCATCTCAGAAAAAAAAAAAAAAAATCTATGTAGAGAACAAACAAAATTAGAAAACATTTCTGAATCATGGAGGGGCTCATGCAAATATAAGGTATGCTCAGTCACCAAACAACTGATGAGACATGTGCTTTAGTTCTCTTACCTTTTTCCCCAACAAAAGGCAAAGACCATGTGAAAACATCCATAAAGTTTGGAAGCCAGTAGGGGTGTGGAGAACAGTTAAACTGCCTGATATTCATGACATTGTTTTCATATTTCAACACAGCAGCTAAAAAGGAAAAAAGCAAGAAAATCTGGCACAGAGGAACATGGCATGGCAAGTGGTATGCTTTGTACAGCTGTGTACCTGCTACACAGAATTCGAGAACTTTCCATTTGTAAAGTCAGGACTTGACTAGGTAAAGGGCAGATGGAAAATTTTAAAGCCTTTTATTCAGTTCATTCTCTTAAGAATTATTCCAAGGAACAAAGTTACCTGAAGAGCTCATATAATAAAAGTACAAAAGAAACTGAAACTTTGGAGTCACTGCACAGTAACTATCTATATAAACCTCAAGATCCACGTGAGGAAAATTTCCCCATAATTTCCTTTTATAGGCCAAATGGTTATAATTACAACTCTCCTTTGAAGGCAAAAATTACTCATTAAATGGACACAGCCTGTTTTGCTAGTCATTAGCCAGAGTCAAAGATTGTATACACTCTCTGGGAGTTTATATATTGCAGTTATCAACTCATACTGGAAGATACAAATGGCAAACTTGGAGCAATTTACAATTAAATGTTCAAAATTAGATTAAGTCATCTCTGTATTCAATATAGCGGATTTTAAAATTGCCGATTTCTCCAATACACAGCAGTGTATTGCCAGCATGCTATGTTTAATATTAACCATTCAGATAGTCGCACACATACTTTGATGCCAAACTGATTTTCTTTATATTTTGAAAGTCTTAAAATCCAATTCCTTAGCCTTTATCACCAGCAATGTTGTTTGCACTATTCTCTTAATTATTCTGTGGTCATAAAATAAAACAGGGTGTAACAGTTCTCCAGAAATGACAGATATAGGTCACGTCCTCATTCCTGTTTCTTTGCTACAGGATAATCTAGTGTTCTTAAAATTTAAGTTATTGAATGTCTAAAATGTACACCATATATTATTAAGAAAATAAATTAAAATATAGTTTCTAGCACTTAAAAAGCCTAACACTGGCTATGATGTACATGTTCCATTATTTTCACGTGTATGTATTTTATTTAGTTTAGGTAAATATGTCATATATCATTATTCAACAACTCCCTCAATTTCTACCCAGGAAAAAGAAGTGGGAGGTGAGTCTCAACAGTGAATGACTGGAAACAAGAGCTTATAAAACTGCTTTTGGGTGTGTTCCCAGTGGACAGAAGAAAACAAGAATAAGAATCTTTAAAAATCATGATTAAAGGTCTTTCGTGTAACTAGTGGAACTAGGAAATACCTGTAGATACCAAGAAGTCTAAAGAATATGAAAGAGCACTCCTAGCACTTTGGGAGGCCGAGGTGGGCAGATTGCCTGAGCTCAGGAGATTGAGACCAGCCTGGGCAACATGGTAAAACCCCGTCTCTACTAAAATAAAAAAAATTAGCCAGGCGTGGCGACGTGCACCTGTAGTCCCAGCTACTCGGGAGGCTGAGGCGGGAGAATTGCTTGAACCCGGGAGGCAGAGGTTGTAGTGAGCCAAGACCGCACCACTGCACTCCAGCCTGGGCAACACAGTGAGACTCTGTCTCTGAAAAAAAAAAAATAATATGAAAGAGGCCAGGTGTGGTGGCACACACTTGTAATACCAGCACTTTGGGAGGCCGAGGCAGGAGGACTGCTTAAGCTCAGGAGTTTGAGACCAGTCTGGGCAACATAACGAGACCCTATCTCTATAAAAAATATTTTAAAATTAGCCAGGTGTAGCGGCATGCACCTGTGGTCCCAGCTAGTTGGGAGGCTGAGGTGGGAGGATCACTTGAGCCCAGGAAGTCGAGGCTGCAGTGAATCAAGTTCCTGCCACTGTGCTCCAACCTAAGTGACAGAGACCGAGAGAAAGAGAGAGAGAGAGAAAGAAAGAGAGAGAGAGAGAGGGAGAGAAAGAAAGAAAGAAAGAAAGAAAGAAAGAAAGAAAGAAAGAAAGAAGAAAAGGAAGCAGAAAGAAAAAGAAAGAAAAGAAAGAGAGAGAGAAAGAGAGAGAAAAGAAAAGAGAGAAAGAGAAAGAAGAGCAACAGTAGAAGAAAAGGAAGAAGAAAAAGAATAATAGAGTTCCCTTTTTCAGAAAAGAAGGCACTTGTATGGGGAGTAACTGAGTACCCCCAGGGACTGTTTCAAATGCCACATTTTCTGCCTTTTTCCTTCTAAAATGCCTAAGAAACAACCAATGAAAATAAGACTGTTTTGAGATAAAAGTTACTAATTATGTCAAAGCCGACAGAATACTCAGGTAGAATGAACTGTGGCTTTTACTTTTTTTTTTATTTTTTAGAGACAGGGTCTTGCTCTATTGCCTGGCTGGAATGCAGTGGTGTGATCACAGCTCACTGCAGCCTCGAACTACTGGACTCAAAGGATCCTACTGCCTCAGCCTCCTGAGTAGCTAGGACTATAGGCATGCTCCACCTTGCCTGGCTAACTTTTAAATTTTTCTTTGTAAAGATGGGGTCACATTTTGCTGCCCAGGCTGGTCTTGAATTCTAGGCCTCAAGTGATCCTCCCCTTGGCCTCCCAAAGTGCTGAGATTACAGGCATGAGCCACTGTGCCTGGCCAGGACTGTGATGTTAAAAGTTTGCTAAAGAAATAATCAAGAACAAAACCAGGTTAGATTGAGACAAAAAACAAGCTAGCAGTGAGTGAGCTGTATAGTGCCTGCTGACTTAGGTGGCGTGTTTCAGCTTGGCACACTGATAAATCCATTGAGCAATCAATAGATACTCTTTTTGATGAAGTTAAAAAAGAAAGTGAGAAAGAAACACCTTCATTACAAATAGGAGATCTAGGGCCACAAGAGTCCTTGAAGACGTTTAACAACACAAACAGTCCACACCATTGATAAGAGAATAAATAAGAATAAAACCTAAGTTGCTAATATACTGGAAATATCAGGAAAAAGGAAATAACAAATGAACTTAGGGAGAAGCAGAGCATTGTAGGACAGATAAGGCTCAGAGAAGAATGCTAAGTTAAATGAAAACATAAGACTAGGACAGAACTTAAGTTAAAGACATGCTTTTTAAAATAGACAAGTCACTGGAGGACACACTAAAATGACTGACCCAAATCGGATTTAAATGAGATGTGCCATTCCATGGTTTACTTTTAAATAGAGTAAATATTAATTATATTTTGGCCATCTTTGAAACTTATCTCCCCAACTGCATATACAAGGTATAACTATAAAGTAATGAGACTTAAGAAACCACCAGCTACAAACACACCAGACCTTTTTATCAGATGAGTGTGGTCCTTTGATATTATCACATCAGGTACAATAACAGTAAAATCTGTATTATTATAGTAATTTATATTTTGAACAACACTTTAATATCCATTTTCCTTATTCCAACTTATCTTCAACAACCCCATATGACAGATATTTTAAAGATGAGGCTCAGAGAAGTATCTTGTTAAATGTGACACACTTAAAAGTGAAGCAGGACTAGACTGACTCCTTGCTTTGTGTTCTTTTCAGCACAACTTGTTGCCTTACCATATAATTAATCCAGAGATGCTGCCATTACTCAAAACGTTTTTGGAACTCCTCTTTTGGAAGTGCCTCCAGAGCCACTGTATCAGCAACACGAGAAAAACCAGTCTCATTACCTTATAATCATACCTTGTTTCTGACCCCAAATGGTATCATCTAGCTTGATCACTCACCTTATTTATCAGTCTTGACTCCGAATGACTTTTGGCTGTCCAAAAATCAAATCCACCCTCAAAGGACGAAGATTTCCCATCATTGAGGATAATCAAAAGAATGTGTCGCAGACTCTGAAGGCAATGCCAAAAGAGGAGTTCCAAAAATGTTTTTGAACAAGGACAGCATTGTTGGAATAGGTGTGTAGCCTCCCAAGGTAACTACTTTGAAGGGACAATACTCATTTGGATATGTTTGTTCTGGCATGTTTATTTTCAAAGTCCTATTAATTTATAGTCATACTTTATAAACAACAAAATAGTTACAGAAATATGAAGTTTTTAGTAGGACCACTGCCTCGATAGAAAACTTATAAACTATTAATCATAAAAGTTTTAAATTAAAAAAAAGACTTTAACAGGATAAAGTCTTAGAAGTAAAATTTCTGGAACAAAAGGCATGTATATATCCATTCTTCTTTTTTCATATGGGAAACTGAAGATTAGAAAGATAATGTGACTCACTCAAAGTCACAGTATTCGTTTCTGGCAGGGTTTAAACTAAAAATGAAGGTTTTTTTTTGACTTTGTACACTAGGTCACTCTACCTAGACCATATCTCAAGAAAAACAAAAATAGTTTAATAATTCACAAAGATTAAAATACCAATGGTGACTTTGAGATACTGTTATAAACACATTAAATTCACCAAAACCAATAATTTATGCTAACTATTCTGGCATGAGCCTGAAGCAATTTATTCTTCTTATACTTTGATTCTGTAGTATCAATCTGACCTATTATGATCATTATTTATACTCACAAAGAAGCCAGTAATCCTTAGGAGATAAAGACCAAGCAGCAGCATAAATTCTAAATTTCTTGGCCTTTGTTTCAACTAAGACCCCTTTTTTTCTTATTTAAAATTTATGTTTTAAAATGACACAAACACACATACGTACATACAATTAAACCAGAGCTCACGTTTACTCATAAATTCAAACTCAAATATTGCTGGATTCCTTTACCTTTATTGTTATAGACATCTAGGTAATTGGGGGCAGAGAAAATTGTAATAAGTGATGGAAAGCCTGTGGCTTGGCTCTTCCTGTACATTCGATACCTGAAAAAGAGATGAAAGTCCATCTGTCTGCATATTAAATGCAAAGACTCTGCAGCGATATTTGGTACAATTTTAATGTAACTTACCCAGCATCTTGGGCTTCATGGGCTCTGATAATTGATAGTAAATTATTGTTCTGCAAAAATTCACAAACTGCAGGGTAACTGGAAAAGAAAATTAGAAAACATAAATCCAGAATTAAAACAATTTTTTTTAATAGGAAGATGGGGAAAAGTCAAGGTGATATTAGCTGATTTTGTTTCAAAACTACAAGTATTACACACTACTGAAATTTTATGAATAGCTTAGTACTCATCATTCTGTTTCTCTATTTCACTAATATACTTCACTACAGATCAAACATGAAAACAATAGATAATCCTACAATAGAAAGAGCTCCTCCATCTCATCTTTTAATTTTTTTGTCTTAATCCATAACAATACAACACCAAAACTTTTATCAGTGTCTTGATATTACAAAGTACAACAGTAGTGTGTGTGTGTGTGTGTGTGTGCGTGTGTGTGTAGTAGATGCTAAAAATTCAACACATACTTTTCTTCAATTGTCAAATTGTTACAGAAATAAAAGAATATACTTACAGCTTCACAGGTAATATAAACACCAAGATAATATTATGCAGGAATACATATATACATATATATGTATATATATAGGTTTGTTTTTTTTTTTGAGACGGAGTCTTGCTCTGTCGCCCAGGCTGGAGTGCAGTGGTGCAATCTCGGCTCACTGCAAGCTTATGCAGGAATATTTTAGGAGCAGATGTAAATATTTTAGCCAACCATATTCTAAAAAAAGATACAATATTCTCATATACTCCTAAAATATTCTTTTCATACTATTACCTCTCTGAATGACAAATACCTGATAGGAAGAACTGGAGTATACAAAATTAACCTGGAATTACTTAGGCATTAATTATTTAGTTTATTTTTAAAATCTTTGTTTCTCATTATGCTCATTAGAACAAATTTACTTTTAAAGTAGGTTGTAGGTGACGTAAGCAAGATAGCAAAAGAGAATGTCCCCAGCCCTGGTCCTCCTACAGAAACAATAGTTTGGAAGCCATCCATGGCCATAAGTGCCATTGTAAGAACCTTAGGATTGAGGTAGGTGGTTATGAAACCTTGGTGGAGCCCAAGACTAGGAAGGGCTGCTTGGAGAAGGCAGGCCCACTGACCTTTCAGCTACAGACCCAGAATCAGCCTGTCCCTTGTAAACCCGGCTCCAGTCCCACTTGTCTGCAGTCCTACCACCAGCCTCATCCATCCTGGGAAGGAACCATGTCTGTTGATGCCCCTAGTAACAGATCCACCAACCAGACCCAACTGCAGACTCAAAGCAGCACTCTGACCTGGCTCCAGCCCTGCTCTACTGTGGCCAAGAGGAAGTCCTGCCTTAACAGGGGCCTTGTGGAAATCATGCCTGTCCATTCCTCTGGTAAAAGGGCTGCTGATTGGACCCAAACATAAACCCAAACCAGCCTGGGACCCAGCTTGGGTCCCACCCTATTGAGTTCCAGAGACAGCTCTCCCCATCCATGGGACATACTTGTCCATGCCCCTAGTGGTACGCCCACTGACTGTGAACCCTAATGTAGCCCCATAATCTAGCTTCAGCCCTGCTTAATCACAATACCACAGGCAATCCCATCAACCCAGGGACTCAATAGGAGAAGGTATTTACTTGGCGAACGAGTCCATAAAAACTGGAAGGCCCCTGCTCCTTCAAATGCATAGACTCCATTGCAAGGCTATATGAATTATAAAGAACCAGGCAAAAATGACACCACCAAAGGAAACTAATAAACCTCTAGTAACTGGCCCTAAATAAATAGAGATGTATGAATTGCATGACAAAGAATCCAAAATAATCATCTTAAAGAAGCTCAATGAACTACAACTAAACAAAATCAGGAAAGCAAATAAATGAATAAAGAGAGATGTTTAATAAAGAAACAGAAACCATAAAAAAGAAGCAAATAGAAATCCTGGAGCTGAAGAATACAATGACTCAACTGAAAAGCTCAAGAGACAGCTTCAACAGCAGACTCAGGCAGAAGAAAAGAACTGGGAAACTTAAAAGACAGGTCATTTGAAATGATAGCATTAGAGGGACAAAAAGAAAAAAGAATAAAAAAGAATGTGGAAAGTATACAGGACTTATGGGACAACATCAAGTGAAAATAATACAGGCATATGGGAGTTAAGGAGAAGAAAAAGGGGCAGAAAGCTTCTTATTTTTAAAAACTAAAGGCTAACAGTTTAACAAATCTAGGGAGGAAAAGGGACATTTCAATTCATGAAGCCCAAAGGTCTCCAAATAAGTTAAACACCAAGACTCATTATAATTAAGTTGTTAAAACTCAAAAAGAAAAAATCTGAAAGCAGCAAGAGAAAACCTACTTGTCATATAATATACAAGGAAGCTTCTATAAGACTATCAGTGAATTTCTCAGCTGAAACCTTGCAGGCCAGGAAAGCGGGAGATAATATATTCAAAGTACTAAAAGAAAGAAAAAAAAACCTGCCAACCAGGAATACTTTACTCATCAAAATTGCCCTTTAAGAATGAAGGAGAGATAAAGACTTTTCCAGACAAACAAAAACTGGAGTTTGTCATGACTACACCAGCCTTATGAGAGCAACTAAAGGAAGTTCAAGTAGAAACTAAAAGATGCAGCTGGCCACAGTGGCTCGTGCCTGTAATCCCAGCACTCTGGGAAGCTGAGGAAGGCAGATCACTTGAGGCCAGGAGTTAGAGACCAGCCTGGCCAACATGGTGAAACCCCATCTCTACTAAAAATATAAAAAATTAGCCAGGTGTGGTGGTGTGTGCCTGTAGTCCCAGCTACTCAGGAGGCTGAGGTAGGAGAATCACTTGAACCCGGGAGGCAGAGGCTGCAGTGAGCCAAGATCGCACCACTGCACTCCAGCCTAGGTGACAGAGCAAGACCCTGTCTCAAAAATAAAGTAAAACCTGAAATTAATTACATTAGGTGTGTGAATGGGGACTAAAGTGTAGAGTTTCTATACGTCATTGAAAGTAATTTCTTCTCAGCGTAAGACAGAGTGCTATAACTATAAAATGTTTGATGCAAACCCGATGAACAAAAAAGCACAGTAGATACACAAAAGATAAAAAGAACCAAAATACCCCACTACAAAAATAAAAATCAAATCACAAAGAGAAAAAGAGAGGAATAGTAGAACCACAAAACAGAAAGCAACCAACAAAATGGTAATAGTAAGTCCTTACCTATCAATCATTACTTTAACTCTCAAATCAAAAGATATAGTATGAGTGAATGGATGAAAACAAGACCCAACTACATGCTGTCTACAAAAGACTCACTTTAGATTTAAAGACACACATAAGCTGAAAGTAAAAGGGTAGAGAAAGGTATTCCATGCAAGTAAGTAACCGGAAGAGAACATGAGTGGCTAAACTTTTATCAGACAAAATAAACTTTAAGTCAGAAATCATCACAAGAGGGAACAAAAGTCATTATATAATGATAAAAGGGTCAATACAACAGAAAGATGTAACAATTATAAATATATATGTGCCCAACATCAAAGCACCTAAATATATAAAGCAACAACAGATCTGAAGGCAAACATTGACAGTAATAAAATAATAGCAAGTAGGACGGGCACAGTGGCTCACACCTGTAATCCCAGCACTTTGGGAGGCTGAGGTGGGTGGATCACCTGAGGTCAGGAGTTCGAAACCAGCCTGGCCAACATGGTGAAACTCCGTCTCTACTAAAAATACAAAAATTAGCTGGGCGTGATGGTGCATGCCTGTAATCCCAGCTACTTGGGAGGCTGAGGCAGGAGAATTGCTTGAACCCAGGAAGCGGAGGTTGCAGTGAGCCGAGGTCGCGCCACTATACTCCAGCCTGGGCGACAGAGCGAGACTCCATCTCAAAATAATAATAATAATAGCAAGTAACTTCAATACATCATTCTCTGTAATGGATAAATCATCCAGTCAGAAATCAATAAGCAAACAACAGAACTGAACAACACTATGAACCCAATGGACCTAATACGCATATACAAAACTTTTTGCCAAATAACAGAAGAATAGAATTCTTCCCAAGTGTACACAGAATATTCTTTAGGCTATATAATCACAAAGAAGTATCAACAAACTTAAGAAGATGTAAATCGTCCTAAGTATCTTTTCCCACCATAATGGAATGAAACTAGAAATCAATAACTTAAGAAAACAGGAAAATTCACAAATACATAGAAACTACACACCACACTTTTGAACAACTATTGTGTCAAAGAGGAAATCAAAAAGGAATTTTAAAATTATCTCTAGATAGGTCAGGAGTTCGAGACCAGCCTAAGCAACACAGCAAGACCTCATCTCCTCTAAAAATTTTAAAAACAATTAGCTGGGCATGGCGGTACATCCTGTAGTCCCAGCTACTCAGGAGGCTGAGGCAGGAGGACTGCTTGAGCCCAGGAGTTCAAGGTTGCAGTGAGGTATCATTGTGCCACTGCATTGAGCCTGGGTGACAGAGCAAAACATCCTATCTAAAAAAAAAAAAACCTCAAGATAAATGAAAACAAAAATATACATATCAAAATGTATGGGATGCAGCAAAAGCAGTACCTACAGGAAAGTTTATAGTAATAAATGCCGATTTAAAAAACAAAAAAGATCTGAATTAAACAACCTTATTTTACACTTCAAGAAACTAGAAAAAGGAGAATCAAATAAGCCCAAAGTAAGCAGAAGAAAGGAAAGTTTAGGGCAGAAATGAATCAAATAGAGAATAGAAAAACAACAGAAAAAAGTCAACAAAACTAAGAGTTGGTTTTTGAAAAACTAAACAAAATTGACAAACCCTTAGCAAGACTAAGAAAAAAAGAGATACTCAAATAAATAAAACAAAAAATGAAAGAGGAGACATTACAATAGATGCCTCAGAAATAAAAGGGATCATAACGGACTATTACGAATAATCACACACCAAAACACTGGAAAACCCAGAAGAAATGGATAGAGTCTGGAAATATACAACCTGCCAAAACTGAATCATGAAGAAATAGAAAGCCCAAACAGACCAATAGCAAATATGGAGATGGAATCAGTAATCAAACAGCTCTCAACAAAGAAAAGCACAGGACCAGATGGTTTCATGGGTGAATTCTATTAATCATTAAAAAAAAGAATTAATACCAATCTTTCTTAAACCTTCCAAAAAATAGAAGAGAGAATTCTTCCAAACTCACATTATGAGGCCAGCATCACTCTGATACCAAAGCCAAAGACACCAGAAGAAAGAAAAGTACAGGTGAGTATCTCTGATGAACATAGATTTTTAAATCCTCCATAAAACACTAGAAAGCCAAACTCAACAACATACTAAAAGTATTATATACTGTGGCTAAATGGGATTTATCCCTGGGATAAAAGAAGGCAGAGTATCACTTTGTTCAGCCTCAGCTGGGAACATGTGTGCTGGGTGAGTCAAATTTTTTATCTCATTATTCCCAGTAGCTACATTCTATAATGTTGCTGCAAAAACAGAATTAGCAAATAATGAAACACTACTGCTAAGGGAAATACAGGGTGAAGTTCCTGTGAGGCTCCGGTCATAACATTTTCACCCACCAATTAATATATAACCTTGTTTCAGATGTGTTTCTGTGTAATAATACTTTAGGTCATTTACACTGTTGATTCATTAACATTGAACTCATGGCCAAAACCACCATAACTCATGCCTAAACAAAGCTTATATCTAACACTCGCATATTTTCTCTGTAAGACATACCACAGCCTTTTTGTGCTTAGGGACCCTAGACAGCAGCACTTCAGCACTACACTTGGTGGCCATTCTAAACAGTGAAATCACTCATGAAAAGCACAAAAACATAAAACATCTTTCACTAAATAAAACTCAAAAGAATGCCTGTTTACAACATGAGGGCTGCAAAAAGAAGGTAGGGCATCATTTTGTTCAACCTCAGCTAGGAACATGTGAGTGAGGTGACTCAAATTTTTTGTTGCATTGCACACTACATTCCCATGAATGATTATGAAACCTCTGTAAGTACTGATTTGGGTGTTACAAATACATCTTAGTAAGTGGGGGAATTCACAAATATGAAATCCACAAGTAATGAGAATCAATTATATATCTACAGGATTAAGTTTTAGAAGTAGAATTTCTGGATCAAAGGCCATGTACAAATACCTTTGAAAGATATTGCCAAGTTGATGTCCACAGAAATTGTACCAATTTCTATTCTGACAACAATGAATATGTATTATGCTCTTTATTTTAAGCAATGTAAAAAGAAATAAAAGTTAAATGATTTCATCACATTAGTCACTGGAAAAGTTGGCATGGAGGAATGAAAAATGGTTGTTGGCTGGGTGGGGCTCATCCCTGTAATCCCAGCACTTTGGGAGGCCAAGTAGGGAGGGTCACTTGAGTCTAGGACTTCAAGACCAGCCTGGGCAAAACAGCCAAGACCTTGTTTCTACAGAAAATAAAAAAAGCAGCTGGGCATGGTGGCACATGCCCATAGTTCCAGCTACTCAGGAGGCTGAGGCAAGAGGACTGCTTGAGTCCAGAAGGTTGAGGCTGTAGTGAGCTGTTATGGTGCCACTGCACTCCAGCCCGGGTAACAAAGAGAGACCTTGTCTCAAAATAAAATAAAATAAAATAAAATAAAATAAAATAAAATAAAGAAGAAGAAAGAAAAAAAGACTTTTTACTATCCATCTGACAAGAGATTAATAACCAGAATATGTAAGGAGCTCAAACAATTCAATAGGAAAAATCCAATAATCCAATTTAAAAATGAGCAAAATATCTGAATAGACATTTCTTAAAAGGAGACATAAAATGGCAAACAGGTATATGAAAAGGTATTCAATATCACCGATCATCAGAGAAATGCAAATCAAAACTTCAATGAGATATCATCTCACCCAGTTAAAATGACTTTTATCCAAAAGACAGGCAATGACAAATGCTGGTGAGGATGTCGAGAAAAGGGAACCCTCATATCCTATTGGTGGGAATGTTTAGTACACTACTATGGAGAACAGTTTGGAGTTCCTCAAAAAAACTAAAAACAGAACTACCATGTAATTCAGCAATCTCACTACTATGTATGTATATAAAAGAAAGGAAATCAGTATATTGAAGAGACATCTGCACTTTCATGTTTATTGCAGCACTGTTCACAATAGCCAAGATTTGGAAGCAACCTAAGTGTCTATTAACAGATGAAAGGACAAAGAAAATGTGGTACATATACACAGTGGAATATTATTCAGCCATTGAAAAGAATGAGATCCTGTCATTTGCAACAACATGAATGGAACTGGAGGTCATTATGTTAACTGAAATAAGCCAGGCACAGGAAGACAAACTTCACACGTTCTCACTTATTTGTAGGAGCTAAAAATTAAAACAACTGAACTCATGGAGATGAGAGTAGAATGATGGTTACCAGAGGCTGGGAAGGGTAGTAAGAGGGGAAATGGGATAGTTAATGGGTCGAAAAAAACAGTCAGAAAGAATGAATAAGACCTAGTATTTGATACTGTGAGATTTAAACAACAGGGTGACTATAGTGAATAATAATTTAATTGTAAATTTTAAAATAACTAGAAGAGGCCGGCCACAGTGGCTCATGCCTGTAATCCCAGCACTTTGGGAGGCTGAGGTGGGTGGATCACTTGAGGTTAGGAGTTCCAAACTAGCCTGGCCAACATGGTGAAACCCCATCTCTAAAAAACACAAAAATTAGCCAGGCATGGTGGTAGGTGCCTGTAATCCCAGTACTCAGGAGGCTGAGGCAGGAGAATTGCTTGAACCTGGGAAGTGGAGGATGCGGTGAGCTGAGATCACACCAGCCTGGGTGACCGAGCAAGACTCCGTCTCAAAAAAGGAAAAAAAAAAAAAAAGGTGAAAAAAAAAACAACAAAAAATAAAATAAATAAAAGAGTAATAATTGGATTGTTTGTAACACAAAGGATAAATGCTTGAGGTGATGGATAACTCATTTACCTTGATGTGATTATTATACATTGTATGACTATATCAAAATATCTCATATAACCCATAAATATATATACCTACTATGTACCCACAAAAATTTTAAAAAATATTTTTTTAAAGAAAAAAAGGTTGTTTAGAAGAATGCTAAAAGTAATGGCGAAATCAAAGTTTCATGTGTGTGTGCATGTGTGTATTCTAATGAACACATTATCTTAGCCAATTAACAGAGATTTTTAGGGAAATAAACATATGTATTATTTGCCACAATAAAATACTGGGATTAAAAATAATTTAGATTTCCAACTTCTCTTATGTCTTCCTTTTTTTTTTTTTTTTTTTTTTTGGAGACAGAGTCTTGCTCTGTTGCACAGGTTGGTGTGTAGTGGCACAATCTTGGCTCACTGCAACCTACACCTCCCAGGTTCAAGTGATTCTCTTGCCTGAAGTCTCCCAATTAGCTGGGATTACAGGCGTGTTGCCACCACATCTGGCTAATTTTTTTATTTTTAGCAGAGATGGGGTTTTGCCATGTTGGCCAGGCTGGTCTCGAACTCCTGGCCTTAAGTGATCCGCCCGCCTAGGCACCCCAAAGAGCTGGGATTATAGGCGTGAGCCACCACGCCCTGCCTGTCTTCCTATTTTTGAGTGTCTAATCATAATGAAAGCTCCTGTGAAATTTAAAACAACAGCCAACTTCCAGGAAATGTACTGGGCTTAGTTCACAATGTCCTGTTCTTTTTATATCTTAGTCTATACTAGTGGTTACAAAATTTGGAGAGCTTTTGAAAATACAATAGGATTCCTCTCAGACCTAGTGTATTAGAATCTCTGGGGAAAGAGCCAAGAAAGCTTTAATTTTTTTTAAAAAAGTGTATAGATAATGTTTAGGAACAAATAGTCTAGATCACTTAGAGTCAGACAAAAATATCAGAGCACTGCAGGATGTCCAATCATGTTTGGTGTATTACACTTCTTAGGATATATACCTAAGAAAATATAAAAAGCCAACAAACAAACAAGTTTCTTGCCTCCTATTAATCGAAAAATTAAACAGGAGTGCTTATACTACATAGATTTGAAATATAAAATGCTGAAAAATCATCTGATAAAATGAATTACAGTTTCCTTTCATAATTTTCGACCTCAAGGACTAGCTTACCTGTAGAAATAAGAGCACCCTCGGACAGTGTTGTGGGTATAGTGCTCCAAGGTCTTCTCATTGCCATAATCCTCTGAGGGATCAGACCAAAGCAGGTCACACACAGGTCCAAAGGCGGGAGGTTCCGTAAACCTGTCTAACTAGAAGACACACAAAAGCCAAAAGAAAAAAATCAGGAGAGCAAAAGGCTTCTTGGAAACTAGTATGTGTCAAAGAAAAACCCCTTTCACCCACAAGAATGTATTAGGAGAGAAGCCAGTGTGCCCCTAAAGGACTTTCCTGCAAGAAAAGGAACACTTAACAATTTTAGATACATAATTTTTATTATTTTTCTGAAATAAATTTTTTTTTTTTTTGAGACGGAGTTTCGTTCTTATTGCCCAGGCTGGAGTGCAATGGCACGATCTCGGCTCACCGCAAACTCCGCCTCCCAGGTTCAAGCGATTCTCCTGCCTCACCCTCCCTAGTAGCTGGGATTACAGGCATGTGCCACCACACCCGGCTAATTTTGTATTTTTAGTAGAGATGGGGTTTCTCCATGTTGGTCAGGCTGGTCTCGAACTCCTGACCTCAGGTGATCCGCCCTCCTCGGCCTCCCAAAGTGCTGGGATTACAGGCGTGAACCACCGCGCCCGGTCTGCAATAAATTTTTATAAACATCCCTGTCATCTAACCATACTGTAGTAAAAGACCCTCTTACATCCTAATCGTAAAGCAGTGCTAATTTAATTCAAATGTGAAATCAACCACTATAGAGATATACTATTTTAGAAAGACTATGACTATATAAAATTAATTTTATTTGTCTAGGTGAGCCAATGTTACCATGACAGCAGAAATGTTTTACAATGGTTCTGTTCATTGCAAACCTCATTCCAGTGGAGATTTCTTTATTTTAAAGAATGCTAATTTTGTAAGGGCATTTATCCTTTCCAGTCTATGCAGTTGAGGTATTTCAATATGAGTTATTAACTTAAGCCTTTAGTCACTGCTGCTTTAGTTGAAAGCATAAAAACCAAGAGAAAACAAGTAATAGAATAGCTGAATGCCAAGAAGAGAATTTCTACTGCGTGAAAGAGCTTTTTATTGATACAATTGATTCAGAATTATAAAATTCATATTTTACTATGTAAAAGAGAAATGCTGGTTACTTAAAAGACAGTAAGGCAAGAGGAAAGCCAGTACATATAGGTACACCCTCTTACCCTGAGGAGACTTTCTTCAGAGAAAATAGTTTTATAAACAGAAAAATTTTTAGTCTCAGTACCTGTAAGAGAGGATGAGTATCTATCACTTTGATTAAAAAAGACAGAGAGACAGGTAGAAGAATTCAAAGGTAGAGAAGATAAGACAACCATGTACAATAAAAATTGGTCATCTTTTTCCATAATGAAGATACAGAATCTTGGAAATAATAATCACCAAGGAAGGCAAGTAAAACAATGAAACCGTTATCATCTAAAATGTCAAAGCCAATGCATTTCGGAGCTGGCAGTGTCCTCAGACCATCCCTTCCAACTTCCTCATTTCATAGAGAAGAAATGTGACTAAGAGGTTCAATAACTTGGTTAAGGTTACACAGTTAATGGCAGGACTGTGATTAGAACCCTGGTTTCCTTCCTTTTGCACTGCGATATAATTCAAAGTTTCAGGACTATACTACAAGAATGTTAGCTTTCTAGTTGGTAAAAACATAGAGCTCATTAAAAATTATAATTTGTGGTAGGTACATATCAAAATGTTAACAGTAGTTATAGTGATGAAATCAGAGGTAACTTCCATTTTCTTACTTTTCATTATCTATATTTTAAAGATTTCAGCTAAAGATATATTGGTTGACTGCAATAAGAAACAAATTTTAGGCCAGGCGTGCGGTGGCTCACACCTGTAATCCCAGCACTTTGGGAGGCCAAAGTGGGCAGATCAGTTGAGGTCAGGAGTTCAAGACCAGCCTGGCCAACATGGTGAAACCCCGTCTCTACTAAAAATACAAAAATTAGCCAGGTGTGGTGGTGTGCACCTGTATCCAGCTACTCGGGAGGCTGAACCAGGGAGGCGGAGGTTGCAGTGAGCTGAGATAGCACCACTGTACTTCAGCCCGGGTGAAAGAGAGAGACTCTGTCTCAAAGCAAACAACAACAACAAAAAAACCCAACACATTTTAAAAATATTCCCTGTGAGAATAATAAAAGATTACTTACTTTCCTAATGTCATCTAAAGAAGTAATTTCAGGTGACATTCCTCCATGTACACAGAGAAACTGCTGGTTTAAGAGGGCAGCAAGAGGAAGACAGTCAAATGTCTCCATACAGGCATCATACACCTGTTCCGAATATTTGATTCGACCTAACAAAAAAGGAAAACCAGTCAATGGAAGAACTAAAACGTATCACATTTGAAAAAGGATATAGGCCAGGAGAATATGAAGCTACTTTAGAGCCATTTATTTTAGATGATTTGAAAGCACAATTATCTTTGTAAAGATACTTTTGAAAAGTTGTGGATAATAGGTTAACAATACCTCTCTCCTCTTAAAGACAAGTGTGACCTTGGATTAACTTTCCAGCTCTGTTGCTTGGAAATGTGATAAGGTGACTGTCCACTGTGTTATTAGGCAACATGGCTTGTGGTAAAAATTACCCAGTTACCTGGTGGGAAGCTATAGCTTTGGGCTCCTCTGAAGGTAGTTTTACAACACACATTGACATTTTTGATGCACGAGGCTTCTATACCAGGATGGCTCCCTAATCTTCCCACTGTGGATATTTCCTTGTACCTGAGCTGGTGAGAAGATGGGAGGGGGCAAGAGAGATGGAAAGCTGCTGGACTGCGGTATGCACTCCTGTGAGGACCACTCCACTGAAAAGGAATGCCCAGTGCTGCCCTTCCTGACCTATATCCTTTTAAGTATATGGATGACAACTAGGGTCCATGGTAGTCTTGTGAGTCTGAATATTTTATTGGGTCTTAAAGATCTCTTAGGGGTGTTGAAGATATATAAGTGGAAACTGGAGTCTTAAGAGACATCAATAAAATGTCAATAATGTTTTTGCTCATAATTTTTAAGGTCTGTAAACAAATTATGTCTTGATTCTATTTTCTCTAAAAACATTTGGCTTAAACTGGTGTGGTGGCTCACGCCTGTAATCCCAATGTTTTGGAAGGCTGAGGTCGGGGGATTGCTTGAGGCCAGGAGTTTGAGACCAGCCTGGGCAACACAGTGAGGCCTCTTTTTTTTTTTTTTTTTTTGAGACGGAGTCTTGCTCTGTCCCCCAGGCTGGAGTGCAGTAGCGGGATCTTAGCTCACTGCAGCTCTGCCTTCCGGGTTCTTGCAATTCTTCTGCCTCAGCCTCCCAAGTAGCTGGGACTACAGGCACACGCCACCACGCCCGGCTAATTTTTGTATTTTTAGTAGGGACGGGGTTTCACCATGTTGGCCAGGCTGGTCTCAAACTCCTGACCCCGCAATCCGCCTGCCTTGGCCTCCCAAAGTGCTGGGATTACAGGCGTGAGCCACTGCGCCTGGCCAAGGCCTCGTTTTTACAGAAAATTGAAAAACAAAATTAGCTGGCTGTGGTGGCACACACCTGCTGTCCAAGCTACTTGGGAGGCTGAGGTGGGAGGATAGATTGAGCCCAGGAGTTTGAGGCTGCAGTGAACTACGATAGTGTCACTGCACTCCAGCCTGAGCAACAGAGTGAGCCTCTGTCTCTAAACAATAAAAAATAAATGTTTGGCTTAATAAATTATATTTTGATGTGGCTGTCAACTTGGGGCTACAGAATAAGGAAATACATCAGTGGGTGGAAGGAGGAGTCTCTACAAATCTCTGGAAAGGAAAAGTCATGAAATAATAGGTGGGAAACTGGAAAATGGGTGTTTAAAGAGAAAAAGGAACATTTTCTTCTTCCTTGGCCTTGGTTTCAAAAAGTCAAGCTGTGCTCAGGGATGTGTGTGGGTAGAGAAGACGAGAAATATAGTCAGGCAACCCTGCAGAACCGTGAGCTCCTTCTCCTCTTCCAGGATTCTGGGAAGATGAGGTGGCCTACAGGACCAAGAGACCAAAGCTGTATCGAGTGAGTCAGACTATCTAGTTGGTAATTATTTCTGTGTTTATTTCCTTTTTGTGATCTCTAAGCCTTTAGAAAGACATATTTAAGGATCAGAGCCTGGTCCTGGCAAGGTTTTGGGGAATAAAGTGAAGAATGATGGGTCCAGATTTGGGCCAGACTGCAGTACTATATGGGTGGCAGGAATGATTAAGAGAGAGATCCCTAAGGAAAGTGTAAACCAGTAGACCACGCTTGAGGTTGTAAGGCCTTCCATCCCTGAGTGTGAAGATTTCTCTTTAACGCCAATACTGGGTGATTAGGGTTTGAGTTCATTAAGGGAGCCTGTGGGTTTCTTTGAGGTTTTCAGAACATTTTGTATTGCTGTTGTAGCAGTCAGCATAATCTATTCCACAACATATGCTAACTTTATTAGGAGCTCAAAGTTCACAAGAACCATGTCTTATGCATCATTGCCTCTCCTTACAGTTACATCCTTATACTCTGCTTTGTTTTAAATTTTGCCCATTTCAAAGTAGATCCAGCATTGGCCATAAAGTCTGTTGGAAGTAAAAAACAAACAGAAAACTCTTTAATTTGTGGTCAGTGATTGACTTTTTCTCCTGAAAATCCTAGGAACCAGAGTTCCCTCTGTTGCCAGTGTCAGTAAGGAATTCCTCCATGGGAGTTCCACACTTGAATAGAGGTAGGAATTTCAATTACTTATTAATTTATGCTCCATAACATCTTACATTGATAAATGCCTTTCAATCCCAAGAATGACTCAAAATAATTCCTTAGCCTACTTCCAAAAAAGAATGCCAAGTCTGGACAAGTAAGGAAGTGTATTGTCATTTTGTAAATTAAAACAGGAGGTCAAAAATTAAGCAAAAAGAAGTTCATGTTATATTAATATGTGAATAAAATAGGCTATGAAATATCACCATGTTTATTTTTTCAAAGTATATGAATTGCATATATAATTACCAGTATTTAATTTTCTGAGGGGTTAGACTGACAATGGTATCTATATTTTTCTTAGTTTAGCTGTTCTTTCTTTTTTATGATGAATATGTAATCTTTATATAATAACATTTATTATTATACCACCTTTTAAAAAAATTTTTTTAGAGACAGGATCTTACTGTTGCCTAGGCTGGAGTGCAGTAGTGCAATCATAGCTCACTGTAACCTCAAGCTCCTAGGATCAAGTGGTCCTCCTGTCTAATCTTCTAAGTAGCTGGGACTACAAGCGCACACCACCACACCCAGCTAATTTTTAAAAATTACTTGTAGAGACAGGGTCTCGATATGCTGCCCAGGTTGGTCTTCAATTCCTGGCCTCAAGCAATCCTCCTGCCCCAGCCTCCCAAAGTGCTGGGATTACAGGCATGAGGTACTGCACTTGTACCTGGCCTATATTACCTTTATTATTTAAATGTATTGAAGGCTCATGATGTGTCTGTCAGTGAGTTAAGCATTTGGCATGGCATGGTGGTGAAGAGAATGGAGTCTGGAACTTGTTGCCTGATTTGAAGAACTGCAGCCCCCTCCACATACTAGCTATGGGACCTTGGATAAAAATTTTAACTCTCTGTGCCTTGGTTTCCTTATCTATGGTCATAATAATAATAACACCCTAAACAGTAGATTCAGGGTTGCTGTGAGGATTAAATGAATTCATTTATGTAAAATATGCAGAATAATGCTGGCACTTAGTACATACTGTGTTAACTGATGAAAGTATTTAATACTCACAGAAACCCTGTGAAGTAGGTATTATTACTGTCTTCATTTAAAAACTGAGGAAATTAGGCTTACCTGCCCAAAGCTGCAAGCAAGTAACTGGCAGAACTGAGACTTAAACCTGTTCATGCTCTTAATGACCCTCTAATATTCCTCCTAATCATTATTTTTAAATAAGATTTTGAATAGGAGAATCTAAATAGCCAAATACATAATTCCCAGAGGTTAAATTAGCTGATTCAATTGCTTTATTTTCAAGACAAATTTTAGGATATATCCCATAAAACAGTTATTTCTATAGTGAAGGGAAAATGCATTACAGCCACAGGATGACACTGATACAAGTTCTAACTAGTATCAATAATACAACATTAACAAAACAAAATTTTCAACAAAATTATCTGAAAGCAATTTTGAGAGTCAGCACTACTTGCAAGAAATCACAATCTGGTCTAGTCACTGATGATATATTTGTTTCAATTTTTATTTGCTTTATTTATTTTTTATTATTATTGTTTGAGACAGGGTCTCATTCTGTCACCCAGGCTGGAATGCAGTGGCATTATCATAGCTTACTGCAACCTAGAACTCCTGGCCTCAAGAGATCCTCCCACCTCAGCCTCCCAATGTGCTGGGATTACAGGCGTGAGACATAGCTCAAATTTTTTATTTTTTATTTATTTAATTTAATTAATTAATTAATTAATTTATTTATTTGAGAGACTGGAGTGCAGTGGCGCAATCTCGGCTCACTGCAAGCTCCGCCTCCCGGGTTCACACCATCCTCCAGCCTCAGCCTCCCGAGTAGCTGGGACTACAGGCACCCACCACCACACCCGGCTAATTTTTTTTTATTTTTAGTAGAGACGGGGTTTCACTGTGTTCGCCAGGATGGTCTCAATCTCCTGGCCTTGTGATCTGCCCGCCTCGGCCTCCCAAAGTGCTGGGATTACAGGCGTGAGCCACTGTGCCTGGCCCCAACATAGCTCAAATTTTAGAAGCCACAAAAGGGTATAATGTGCCTCCTGCCCTCTCTCTGCAGGTAACCAATATTACCAGTTTCCTGGGTGTCTTTACAAAGATGTTCTATGCATACACATGCAGACATATATGTTTCTTCTCTTTCCAAAACATCCTTTTGGTTTTTACATAAATGATAGCATATATGTACTGTTCTTTACTTGCTTTTCGTACTTAAGAACGTATTTTGGCTATCATGCCACATCTTCAGATGAAGAGTGGAGTTAAGAATATGCCACCCCAAAATACACCACTCTGGCACACTGACAACTTTGAGTTAAAGGCACTTGAAAAACCACACGTACAAGAAGATCACTCTGGCCTTCATGCTGTTTCTTCTTTTTTTTTGAAATGGGGTCTTGTTACATGCCCAGGATGGTCTCAAACTCTTGGGCTCAAGCGATCTTCCCACTTCAGCCTCCCAAGTAGCTGTGATTACAGGCACGTGCCACAGTGCCTGGCTCATGCTGCTTTTTAAAAGCAGGAGATGAAATTCCCATTTGAAAGATGCCCTCCCAGAACAACAGACACTGAGACTTACTTAAAAATGGAGGGTAGGAGGAGGGAGAGGATCAGAAAAAATAACTACTGGGTACTAGGCTTAGTGCCTGGGTGACAAAATAATCTGTATAGCAAACCCCTATGACACAAGTTTGCCTATATAACAAACCTGCACATGTACCCCTGAACCTAAAATAAAAGTTAAAAAAAAAAAAGAAAAGATGCCCTCCCTGTACTAGAAGGAAAATAACATTGTTATCACCAAGGATTAATAGTTGAGACTGAATTCAAATAACTCTTATCTTCTAGCCTCCTCACATCATTTAGTTACTTTTTCACAACTTACTACTTTTTGTCCGATTCAGCATGTAAGTGTTCAACTCTGAGTCTCTGGATCTTCATTTCCTTATAGCGGCTCCTATGTCATGTAGAACTTATATTAAATAAATTTATATGCTCTTCTCCTATTAATTTATCTCATGTCAATTTAATTCTCAGGCCCAGCTGAAAAACCCTGAGAGTAAAGGTAAAATTTTGCCTCCCCTACAGGAGAGCTTTGTAATTTTTTTAACATTTACCTAGTATTTCGCTTTATGGATATACCACAATCTAATTAGATCAATCTTTTGCTACTCTAAAAAATGCTGCAATGAGCAATGACAAACAGTATTTATTTTTTTAAAAAATCCAGTTGTCATAACAATACTGCTTTCATTAGTAAAATTACAGGAGTTTCTGGAACTTGTCAGTAAGCTATTTAACTATACATTTAAAAAAATGGTTCATGGAAGGGCCGGGCATGGTGGCTCACGCCTGTAATCCCAGCACTTTGGGAGGCCGAGGCAGGTGGATCACGAGGTCAGGAGTTTGAGACCAGCCTGACCAACATAGTGAAACCCTGTCTCTACTAAAAATATAAAAATTAGCCAGGCGTGGTGGTGCGTGCCTGTAATCCCAGCTACTCAGGAGGCTGAAGCAGGAGAATCACTTGAACTTGGGAGGCGGAGGTTGCAGTGAGCCGAGATTGTGCCACTGCACTCCAGCCTGGGTGACGAAGCGAGACTCCCTATCAAAAAAAAAAAAAAAAAAAATAGGTTCGTGGAAATAAGAAATTCATTTACTTTAGAAACTCTGATCCAGAGCTATGAGGTTGCACCCAGAGTATTTGTGGAATAATATAAACACGAGGTTCCTTCAAAGAAAATAAATAAATAAATACATAAAAACATAAAAATAGGCTGGGCATGAGAGCTCGTGCCTGTAGTCCCAGCTACTCAGGAGGCTGAGGTGTAGGGACCACTTGAGCCTGGGAGGTTGAGGCTGTAGTAAGCAATGATTTTACCAGTGTGTTCCAACCTAGGGAACAGAGCAAGACGGAAGGAAGGAAAGAAGGGAGGGAGGGAGGGAGGGAGGGAAGGAGGGAGGGAGGCAGGCACTATGTTTCTTGCTTTCTAAGTACATAACAATGAAGAAATATTTTTGCAAAAACAAATGATATGTCAAAAATTAACTGTTAGGGGCTAGGCATGGCAGCTCACATCTGTAATCTCAGCACTCTGGGAGGCTAAGGCGGAAGGATCCTTTGGGGAGTTCAAGTTCAGCCTTGGCAACATAGGCGAGACTCAGTCTCTACAAAAAATTTAAAAATTAGCCAGGCATGGTGGCACACACCTACAGTCCCAGCTACTCGGGAAGCTGAGGCAAGAGAATCACTTAAGCCCAGGAGTTCAAAGTTGCAGTGAGCTATGATTACACAATTGTACTCAAGCCTGGACAACAGAATGAGACCCTGTCTCTTAAAAAAATAAATTTTGTTTAACTGTTAGACAAAGAAAAAATAAATGTTTGAGGCGATGGATACTGCAGTTACCCTGACTTGATAATAATTATACATTGTATACATATAGTAAAAATATCACATGTACCTCAAAAATACGTACAACTATTATACATCAATTTAAAAAAAAACATTATTACTTTTCCATAAAGAAAGGAATATTTTTTAAAAAATCTCTGCATTATAAAGCAATTTAAGATTGATACAAGAAAAGCCTTCACCCACCTCCCTCTTAAAAACATGAACAAGATTACAGCTGCACAATCTGAAACTAAGCCTCCCTTATTAATGATAAGATGCTAGTTCTAAAAGCCACAGTGGCCACTGAAGAGAGATCAGCTTATCAGTAAAAACACCCATGCAGAGCAACACACATGCTCTCTCCTTATACAAGAATAAAATTTTAAACTTATACTTGAATCTGTGTGCTTGTTCCAAGATTTATTTACATTTCAGATGCAGCATTATAATAAAAAAGAAGGAATATCTTGGTAGATAGGAGAAAAAGAAAGCCATCAGGTTTAACTACAGTTAAATCATGTGAAAAGCAAATAAAAACCTAAGGTAAGAAATTCTGGGCAAAAGGAGATACTTAAAATGTTTCCAGGACCTATTGTTCCATCTTCTAAAAATAGTCTGTCAAAAAAATCCCTGATGTTATTATTACACATTGCATCCCTGTATCAAAATATCTCATGTATTCCATAAATAGATACACCTACTATATACCCATAAAAATTAAAAATAAAAAAAATCTGATAAGACAAAAGAATAATTAAGAAAAATGTCACCTAAAAAACCCTCTGAAACTTAATTCAAAACAAAGGCAGCCATAGGCAGCTTTCTTCACTACGTATCTACTCCTAATTCATAAAATTAGCTTTTATCGAGTATTACATTCCAGGGCATTTGTTAACTTATACACATTATTTAATTTTCCCAGGTAAGAAATGAAGGTGTTAAGGAATACCCTAAAATTTGGTTTAGAAAAATAATATAAAATAAAATATTTCCCATTTTTGTATTTGGTGAAGTGGTTCCCAAACGACAGATAGTAGAAGCTTCCTAAAGACTCCAGAGCCGTCGTTCTTAACCAGCAGCACACAGCTGAACTACCTTGGGTGCTTACAAAGCTTTTCAAATGCTTGGGCCCCAACTGGGTAATTTTTAAATTACCAATTTGAAAAATAATAATAATTATAAAAGTAGTACATAGTGGTGGTAAAAAATAATTCAAACAATACTAGAGAGGATATAAAATTAAAAGTAAGCCATGCGCGATGGCATGCACTTATAGTCCCAGCTATTTAGGAGGCTAAGGCTGGAGGATTGCATGAGTTTGAGATTAGCCTGGGCAACATGTCAACACTGCATCTAAAAAAACAAAAACAAAACAAAAACAAAACAAAAAAACCCTCTAAGTCCTCCTAACCCAACCTCCCACTGTTAATGATTTCTTCTGTACATTATATATTTTTAATTTACAAAGGAGATGACCATTTACATGCTCTGCAAATGCCTTATAAAATATCTTAGCATCTCTCCATATCAGTACATATTATGGGTCTACCTTGGTCTGCCTGTCTTTTGTTTTTGGAGACAGAGTCTTGCTCTGTCACCCAGGCTGGAGTGTGGTGATCATAGCTGACTGCAGCCTTGAATTCCTGGGCTCATGCAATCCTCCTGCCTCAGCCTCCCAAGTAGCTGCAACTATAGGCACATGCCACCACACTCAGCTAATTTTTAAATTTTTTGTAGAGAGAGAGTCTTACTACTGTGTTGCCCATGTTAGTCTCGAACTCCTGGGCTCAAGCAATGCCCCCATCTCGGCCTCCCAAAGTGTAGGATTATGAGCATGAGCCACTGCACCCGGCCACCTTGGTCTTTCAATAGCTGCCTAGCATTCCATTGTTCAAAAGCATATTATCACTTATTTCATCACTGTCTTGTTGACATTTAGATTACCTTTTTGTTGTTGTTGTTGTTGTTACAATTAACACTGCAGTGAACATCCTTAAGCATCCATATTTTACTATCTTTTTGTGAGTATATCTGTGTGGTAGACGAATTCTAAAATGACCTGCATTGACCTACATCTTTGTATGTATAATCCACTCCTCTTTCAGTGGATGAAAACTGTAAGTATGATGAGACTCCCATTATTTTGTCCCATTATATGGCAAAAGAAAGATTATCTTGGGAGGGCCTGATCTAATCAGGTGAACATTTATTTACTTATTTATTTATTTTTAGGGACAGGGTCTCACTCTGTCACCCAGGCTAGAGTGCAGTGGCACAATCATAGCCCACTGTAATCTCAAACACCCAGGCTCAATCTATCCTTCAGTCTCAGCTTCTTAACTGGCCGGGACTACAGGCTTGTACCACCATGCAGGCTGACTGAATTCTAGTTTTTTAATTTTCTTTTTGGCAGAGAGGAGGTCTCACTATGTTGCCCAGGCTGGTCTTGAACTCCTGGCCTCAAGTGATCCTCTCCCCTTTGGCATCCCAAAGTGCTGAAATTACAGGCATGAGCCACCATGCCTGACCTAAGGTGAGCCTTTTAAAAACTGAGTGAGGGTTTTTTTCCAGCTAGCTGATCACAGAAGAGAAGGTCAGAGAGATGCATTCAGGCCGGCCTGGAAAAAAGCAAACATTCATATTGGGAACTACCACTGGTGGCGACATGTTACCGAACTGCAAGCAGTATCTGGAAGCTAAGAGTCATCCCTGGTCAACAACTAACAGGACAACAGGGACCTTAATCCTACAGTTACAAGGACTGCCAACAAGTGACCTTGGATAAAGACCCTAAGCCCCAGATGAGAACTGAAACCCTGGCAACACCTTGATTTCAGTGAGATCCTATACAGAGAATCTAGCCACACTGTGGCCTGGACTTCTGACCTACAATAACTATGAGATAATAAATGTGTTCTTTTTAGCCACTAAATTTGTGATAATTTTTTATGCAGCATTTAAAAAGTAACACAATCTGCATAATAAATTCCTACAAATGAAATTGCTAGATCAAGGGGACATGCACTTAAAATTTATAAATATATTACAAAATTGCTCTTCAAATACCTCACATCTTTGTTGTTGTTGTTGTTGTTGTTGAGACAGGGTCTCACTATGTCTCCCAGGCTGGAGTGTAGTGGTGATCACAACTCACTATAGCCACAAACTCCTGAGCTCAGGTGATCCTCCCACCTCAATCAGCCTCCTGAGTAGCTGGGACTATAGGTAAGTGCCTCTATGCACAGCTAATTTTTTGTGTTTTATTTTGTAGAGATGGGATTTCAACATGTTGACCAGGCTGGTCTTGAACTCTTGGGCTCAAGTGATCCACTCACCTGAGCCTCCAAAAGTACTGGGATTACAGGCATGAGCCACCATGCTCAACTTACACCAATTTAAACATCCACCAACAGTAGATTTAAAACTTCCTGGTAATTAGCTGCTGATTTAAAGTGTTTATTCCAGTAAGTCACCAAGGGCTGGAAGGATTTGTATCTTGCCCTCTTGCAGCTGACTTTTGACAGAGGGACTTTTTAAGAAGTGATTATCCTCTAAAATTTCTTTTAATAACAAAGACCTTTTCTTTGAGGCTCTACTAGGAGGGATGTTTTCATTACAACTACTATCTCCAATGTAAGAAGATACTGGTAGCAAGAATTCATATGAGCATATGAAACACTATAAATAGCAATCTACCTATCAGTAAAGGGATCTGTGGCAGATTAATAAACTTTGAGTCTCTGAAAACAAATGTAAAAGTTTTTTTAACTTTGAAAATTATTTTTGGAATAAAAGTTTAAATATTTTATAATATATTTTTCTAAGATAATAATCTGCAGAAAAATCTGGATACAAAATGAAATCCATGATCAAAATATCAACCATATGAACACTAAAGTATATTTATATATTCAGGATTCGTTAAAAGGGGTAGATTTTAGAGCCAGATGGGACCCAAGATATTTAGTTTAGCTTCCTTATTTTATAGAGAATATGCTAAAATTTTAGAAGTCAAAACAGGTAAAATTTTGCTTTTATTTCAGTACTTTCATCACAAAAATAAAAAATTTTTTTGGCGTATAACCCAATATACATATTTTCTGGAAGACTACTTTAGAGTATGCCAAAAGTCTTTAAAATGTGCCTGCCCCCTAACCCAGAAATTCTTTTTCAAGAGTGTGTTCTAAACATACAAATCACAGATGCTCATTCATTCAAATGAACTCAACCAATATTTACTAAGCAACTTCTATGAGCAACTAATACTGTTGTGGGTGTTGGGGAAAACAACAGTGAACAAAACACACCCCTGCTAGCATGGAGCTTACATTCTGGTGGCAGAGAAAGACAGTCAACAAATAAATACACATAAATCTCAGGTGTTGATAAACACTATGAAAAGAAACAGGGTATGAGGGTAAAATGATGAGATTATGATTTAGAAAAGCAACTAGAGGAGAAAATCTCGGAATAAATGACATGAATGAAATAGAATGTATGTCTTATACGCAGATAGAGATCTGGGAAAAGAAGAACTAAAAATGCAAATGCCCTGGGGCAGGATCTCCCAAACATCCCCAACATAGTCAGCATCATACTGTTTGTTAGTGAGCAGCCAATTATGAGTACTAGATGCTAGTCAAGGAAATCTACGAGTTTGTTTTTTTGAGATGGAGTCTCGCTGTATTGCCAAGGCTGGTGTAGAACTCCTGGGCTGAAGGGATCGTCTAGCCTCAGCCTCCCACCATGTTATCTGTTTTTTAAAATCAGCTAGTAATGTTTTGACTTTCTTTTTTTTTTCTTTTTTTTTTTGAGACGGAGTCTTGCTCTGTTGCCCAGGCCGGACTGCGGACTGCAGTGGCGCAATCTCGGCTCACTGCAAGCTCCGCTTCCCGGGTTCACGCCATTCTCCTGCCTCAGCCTCCCGAGTAGCTGGGACTACAGGCGCCCGCCACCGCGCCCGGCTAATTTTTTGTATTTTTAGTAGAGACGGGGTTTCACCTTGTTAGCCAGGATGGTCTCGATCTCCTGACCTCATGATCCACCCGCCTCGGCCTCCCAAAGTGCTGGGATTACAGGCGTGAGCCACCGCGCCCGGCCTGTTTTGACTTTCAAAATAATTCTATTTCTTTTTTTTTTGAGTCGGAGTCTCGCTCTGTTGCCCAGGCTGGAGTACAGTGGCAGGATCTCACCACAACCTCCATCTCCCGGGTTCAAGCCATTCTCCTGCCTCAGCGTCCTGAGTAGCTGGGATTACAGGCACGCACGACCACACCCGGCTAATTTTTGTATTTTGAGTAGAGACAGGGGTTTCATCATGTTGGCCAGGCTGGTCTTGAACTCCTGACCTTGTGTTCCACCTGCCTTGGCCTCCCAAAGTGCTGGGATTGCAGGCGTGAGCCACCGCACCCGGCCAATAATTCTACTTTTATATTAAACTTATTTTTACTATTACAGCAGTAGTCACAGTTAGAAACAACCTAAATATCCTATGATTGTTACTAAATTGGCTACATATATGATTGTGTGTTCGTAAGATGGAATACTTTAAAAAAACTAAAATAACACTTACAAACCATGTTGTCAAAAATACTTAATGATATGGAAAAAATGCTACTACATTAGGTGAAACAGAAATGTATTAAACAGTACATATGAGCCCAATTTTATTTGTAAAATATATACAGATATATGTATACCTGAACTATTTCATAATAATAAAAAAGAATGGAAGACCATATTTCAAATAGTGTGATAACAGTGATTACCTCTAAGTGGCATGATTATGGACACTTTTATTTTATTTTATTTTTTGAGATGGAATCTTGCTTTGTCGCCCAGGCTGGAGTAGAGTGGCGTGATCTTGGCTCACTGCAACCTGATTATGGACACTTTTATCTTCTTTAGACTTCTCTGTGCTTTCCAAATATCCCGAATTATTTATTTTATAAACAAGGGGGAACCCAAAAGTTATTTTCAAAATAAATGTTTTAGAAGATAGAATCTTAGTTCTTTGCAGGTGAAAAAAATAACAACAGGACAGGAAGCATTTAAATTCTATTAGTTTCTTTTTTCTTTCTGTTTGATTTACTTCGGACAGGTTAAAGGGTAACTAAAAAGGTTCTAGAGGAGTGATTATACTTACATTCCTGTTTGAAGGTGAAATAGTCTGTAAGATGCCTGCATTCATGATTTCCCCGAAGCAGAAACAATGTTTTGGGATGATTAATCTTTAAACTCCATAAATACAGCACACACTACAAGACAAATTCAAGCATAAAATTTTCTTTGTGACCATTATAATGCATAAACACAATTTATATAATTCAAATGACTTGCTGTAATGGCATATCTCATTGTTACTCCCAAATTGAAAAATGAAACCTTTTGAATGTGATATACTTATTGCCCTAGAATTTGACAAGCCTTCATAGAAATCTCTCTCTAATCTCTGTTCCCATGTTCTATCTAAATATCTAGAACTCTCTCAGCCACTCACACATATATATTAGTCGTAAAACCTGTATTTTACTTAATTCCAAAACACTAACGGCATTTTCACTAAGACCAGGAACAAGGCAAGAATATTTACTATCTCTGCTACTGTTCAAAACTGGTGTAAGGGTATCAGCCAATGGGATTACACCTCAATTAGAGGGTTAAGAATGGGTAAAGAAAAAATAAAACTATCTCTATTTGCAGATATAACCCCCCAAAATCAATGATAAAACTAACTCAAATAATAAAATAATTCAGTAAACTAGCAGGATATAAAATTAACATACAAAATCAATAGCCCTGGGGCACAGCGGCACACATATGGTTCCAGCTACTCAGGAGGCTAAGGCAGGGGGCTCACTTGAGCCTAGGAGTTCAAGGCTAACCTGGGCAACATAGGGAGACTCCATCTTTAAAAAAAAAAAAAATAGGGCCAGGTGCAGTGGCTCATACCTGTAATCTCAGCACTTTGGGAGGCCAAGGCGGGCAGATCACCGGAGGTCGGGAGTTCGAGACTACCCTGACCAAAATGGAGAAACCCCGCGTCTACTAAAAATACAAAATTAGCTGGGTGTGGTGGCACATGCCTGTAACCCCAGCTACTCGGGAGGCTGAGGCATGAGAATCGCTTGAACCCGGGAAGCGGAGGTTGCCATAAGCCAAGATCATGCCACTGCACTCCAGTCTGGGCAACAAGAGCGAAACTCTGTCTCAAAACAAACAAACAAAAATAGACCTTTTATACAGAAAAAATCAACAGAACATCACGGTGGAGAAATCCCCATTTGTAACAGCAACAAAGAGGCCTAAAGACACAGGAATAAATTTAACAAGAAATGTGCAAAATCCATACAAGGAAAAAATTTAAATGTCCCTATAAGACATAAAAGTAGACATGAAATAATGGAAAGACATCCCTTGTTCTTAGATAGAATAAATCAACATGAAAAGATTACAGTTCTCAGCCGGGCACAATGGCTTACACCTGTAATACTAGCACTTGGGGAGGCCGAGGCAGGTGGATCACCTAAGGTCAGGAGTTCGAGACCAGCCTGGCCAATATGGTGAAACCCCGTCTCACTAAAAATACAAAAATTAGCTGGGCGTAGTGGCAAGTGCCTGCAATCCCAGCTGCCTGGGAGGCTGAGGCAAAAGAATCACTGGAACCTGGGAGGCAGAGGTTGCAGTGAGCCAAGATCATACCGCTGCACTCCAGCCTGGGTGACAGAGCGAGACTCTGTCTCAAAAAAAAAAAAAAAAAAAAAAAAAAAAAAGATTACAGTTCTCCCTAATTTAACTTATAAGTCATGAAATTCCAAGAAAAATACAAACAAGCTATTTTATGGAGTTAGACAAGTTGACACTAAAATTAACATGGAAAAATGAACATGCAAGAAAGAATAACCAGGAAAACACTAAAAAGAGACACTATGAGGGCAGACTATCCCTACCAGATGTTAAAACATACTATAAAATGTCTATAATCAAAACAGTGGTACTGGTCCTTATGTAGATAAACATACCAGTGGAATTTTATACTACAGATATAGTATAAAAGTACCTACAAAAATTTGGTAAATAATAAAGGTGGCATCTCAAATCACAATAATAATGATGAACTTTTAAATAAATGGCTCTGGGACAAGTGGTTGCCATTTTAAAAAAAAAACATAAAGTTAGATCCACATCTCACACAAAGCACAATAAACAACAAAAGGATGAGCAATCTAAATGTAAAAAGAAAAAGCCACACAAGTTCTAGAAGAAAACATGAGTGAGTTCTTCTTAAGCCTGGTGTAGGTGAAAATTTGGTGTAGGTAAGAACTGTGTAACTAATGACTAAAAATCCAGAGGCAATAAAATAAAAGATGGGTAAATTTGACCACACAAAAATGAAAATAGGCCAGGCATGGTGGCTCACGCCTGCAATCCCAGCACTTTGGGAGGCAGAGGCAGGCAGATCACCTGAAGTCAGGAGCTTGAGACCAGCCTGGCCAACATGGTAAAACCTCTTCTCTACTAAAAATACAAACATTTGCTAGGCCTGGTGGCAGGTGCCTGTAATCCCAGCTACTCAGGAGGCTGAGGCAGAAGAATCGCTTGAACCTGGGAGGTAGAGGTTGAAGTAAGCCGAGATAGCGCCATTGCACTCCAGCCTGGAGAGAAACTCCATCCCAAAAATAATAACAATAATAATAATAATAATAATATAATTTGCATAGTAAAAAAACAATTTGGCCAAACTGACAAAACTACACATTCATTTAACTTTTGACCCACTTCTAGGAATCTACCCTGAAGATACACTTCCAACAATACGAAAATAAATATGCACAAGGCTGTAGCATGTGTGTAATAGTAAAATATTAGGAACAACCTAAATGACCATACACAGGAGAGACGCTAAGCTATGATGCACTCACACAATAAAGCACAAGGATGAGAAAGATCTCTATAAACTGATTTAGAGTGATTTCCAAGATATATTTTTAGATGAAAAAAGCAAAGTATGGCTGGGCACAATGGCTCACAAATGCAATCCCAGTGCTTTAGGAGGCCAAGGCAGGAGGATCGCTTGAGACCAGGAGTTTAAGACCAACCTGGGCAATACAGCAAGACCCCATCTCTACAAAACATTTAAAAATTAGCCAGATGTGGTGGTCACGTGCCTGTAGTCCCAGCTATTCAGGAGGCTGAGGCAGGAGGATCCCTTGAGGCGAGGAGTTTGAGGCTGTAGTGAGCTATGATCATGATCGTGCCACTGCACTCCAACCTGGGTGACGGAGTGAGACTCTTGTCTCTTAAAAAAAATAAAAAGTACAAGAGTAGCTGTAGTATGCCACCCTCTATATAATAAAGAAGATATATGAAATTCATATGTATGTATCTACTTTGTACATAAAAAATGCAGGAAAGATAAACCAGAAACTGAAGAGATTGGTTACCTATAGCAGGCATTCAGGCACTAAATAGACTATGAAAAGAATACTTGTTTAAAGCATGAGAGCTAAAACAAGAAGGGAGAGTGTGGCCTTATTTGGTCTGAGGTGGCAACATGTGCATTGGGAGACTCAAAGTAGTAGATCACTCTCCACATGTCTACCAGTGACCACAAAAGCACTGTATTGATTTTGAGTTTACAAATCAATTTTAGCAAGGAGACATAGGCATATCCACAAATACAGAACGCATGAATGATGATAATCAATTGTATACACCACTTATGAAATATTCTGTATATATTTCACAGCCTCAAAACACAAGCAAAAACTGAGAGGCTGATATGGTTTGGCAGTGTCCCCAGCCAAATCTCAACTTGAATTGTAGCTACCAGAATTCCCACACCCAGGGGACAGTAACTGAATCATGGGGGCCGGTCTTTCCTGTGCTATTCTTGTAATAGTGAAAAAGTCTCATGAGATCTGATGGGTTTATCAGGGGTTTCCACTTTTGCTTCTTCCTCATTCTTGCCACCGCCATGTAAGAAGTACCTTTTGCCTTTTGTCTCCTGCCATGATTCTGAGGCCTCCCCAGCCATGCGGATCTGTTAAGTCCAATTAAACCTCTTTTTGTTCCCAATTTTGGGTATGTCTTTATCAGCAGCATGAAAAAGAACTAATACAGAGGCCTATGTTGAGAAACAGATAAATCAATATAGTCATGCACCACATAATGCTGCTATAGTCAACAACACACCACATACAGGACAATGGTCCCATAAAATTAAAATGAACTGAAAAATTCCTACACCCTAGTGATGTAGCCATCATAATGTCTACATGCAGGCATTACTTACATGTTTGTGGTGATGCTGATGTAAAAAAACCTACTGCACTGCCAGTCATATAAAAGTATAGCACATACAATTATGTACAGTACATAATACCTGATAATAATAAATGGTACTGGTTTATGTATTTACTATACCATACTTTTAATAATTACTTTCAAGTTTGTTCCTTCTATTTACAAAAGAAAAAGGCTCATTGTAAAACATCCCCAGGCAGGTCCTTCAGGAGGGATTCTAGCAGAAGGCACTGTTATACGACATGACAGCTCCATGACTGTTACTGCCCCTGAAGGCCTTCCAGTGGGACAAGATGTGGAGGTGAAAGGCAGTGATATTGATGATCCTGACCCTCTGTAGGCCTAGATGCGTGCGCACGTGCATGTGTGTGTGTGTGTCTTCATTCTTACCAAAAAATTTTAAAAGTAAAAAAAGGTTTTAATAAAGCTTATAGAATAAGAATATAAGGAAAAAATATTTTTGTACAGCTGCATAAGTCTTAGGCCTTCACATTCACTCATAATACCACTTGTAAGCTAAGTGGTATTACAAAAGAGTCAAAAAGTTAAAAAAATTAAAAATCTTTTTTTTTTTTTGGTATACTAGGCAAAGAACTTTATTAACCTTTGTTTCAAACTTGATTCCCAGGATTCTTCAGCTTAATTAGCTGCAAAGAATGAATTGTATATAAGCAAAAACTGAAAAGAGCTGCAGTGTCCAAGGAGCTTGGGCTTAAAAATATTAGAGATCTAGATTTTATCAGATCCATAAACAAAAATTTCTTAAAAAGCAGTCATAATATAAAATAGCAGCTCCCAATAACTTCTTCAAGTTTTATCTTCAGAAGTTGACTCAATTCAGTTTGCCTCATTCTTGGAAGCCTCATCAAAATTCTCCATCTTGGAAGCCTCATCAAAATTCTCCACAAGAGCTGGAACTTCATCGTCATCCTCTCCAGTAGCAAGTGGTGCTTTTCCATTCACAGACTGTTTGGGCAGAGCTTCAGCCAGTCTCCTTAAACTAGTCAGACAGTGTGCACCAAGCTGGTTTAAGATGCTGGGTAGCATTTCCATCAGCTGCTTTGTCTCAGCATGGCCTGTAATGGTGAAAGAGTTTGCTGGCATCTCTGCTGTTAAAGTGGATCACTGTTCCTTGGTTTGTAAACATATTCACCTCTTCAATACCAGAGACATTGTTTACCTCTAACTTCTTTAAGGAGAACTGAAGTTTTTTATCATCTGCTGTGGCTGTTCTATGAACCGCCTTCTTCTTTCTGTGAACCATTTCTTTCCCACCAATGCGCACTTGTGCCTGCAGTTTGGCAAGTCTTTCCTGGCTCATAACTGTTTGTTTCATCTTCTCAGAGCAGATAAGGGGCCAACGTGGGGGGCTAGGGTTGGTGCTTGGGGGTCTCGGGTGGACCACCAGCTGAGATTAGGTGCACACACATGGGGACGCAAGATGGCAGCTCAAAATTAAAAATCTTATAAAGTAAAAAGTTACAATAAGCTAAGGCTAATTTATTATTGAAGAAGGAAAAATACTTTTTAATAAATTTAGTATAGCACAAGTGTACAGTGTTTATAAAGCATCTGGTAGTATACAGCAATGTCTTAGGCCTTCACATTCACTCATCATTCACTGATTCACCCAGAGCAACTTCCAGTCCTGTACAATCCATTCATGATAAGTACTTTATACAGGTATTCCATTTTTTCTCTTTTTTTTTTTACTGTATCTTTTCTACATCTAGATATGTTTAGACACACAATACTTACCCTTGTGTTACAACTGCCTACAGTATTCAGCACAATAACATGCTGTACAGGTTTGTAGCCTGGGAGCAACAGGCTATACCATATAGCCTAGGTGTGTAGCAGGCTATACCACCTAGGTTTATGTAAGTACACTCTATGATGATTTCACAACAGCAAAATCGGCACCCATTTCTCAGAACGTACCCTCCTTATTAAACGATGCATGACACTGTAATGGTAGTTGGAAATTTTGACACAATGCTGAAAGTAACTGATAGTTCAAGCAGACAAAAATAGTCAAAGTTATAAAGAATAGCTCAACAAGTAGAGAATATACGTTCTTTCCAAGAATATATGGGAAAATCACAAAAATCTACTCTGTACTATACCACAAGGAGTCTCAATAAATTTCAAAGAATGAGTATTATTCCAATCATTTTCTTTAATCAAATTACATCAAATCAATAATCAGTAACAAAATACTAGCTCTAAAAAAATCCCATATGACTGGAAAGAAAAAACATACTACTTCATTATTTTAGGGTTAAAGAGAATTCTTAAAATATAAAATACTGAATGATAATGAAAGCAATACATGTCCAAATCTGTGGGACTCAGATAAAGCAGCACTTAAAGGGCAATGTATAGTGACAAGTACACTATTTTCTCATTAGATTTGCAAATATGCTTGTATATGTTTAACCTATCTCTGAAAGGTCACATAAGAAACTCCTAAGAGTGAGTGCAAGAGCTGAATGGCTGGCATATGAGATGCTTAATTTCATCAGTAATTAGAGAAACATTAATTAAAACAGTAGAATACTACTTTATACCCATTATATTGGCAAGTATTATAATATGAGATAAAATCATATTCTGGAAGGAGGGATGTGAGGAAATAGGAATTCTTCAGTGCTGCTGGTAGGAATAGAGACTTGCACAGCCATTCTGAAGAGCCATCTGGCAACCAATGCTCAGTTCAAGTATGAATGCATACACCCTTTCTCCTGGCAATCCGATTTTGTTCATAAAACCTAGAGACATTAAATCATGGTAGATTTATATGAGGGTGTTCATCATAGCAGTGTTCATGTTAGAAAGAAACTGGAGGTAAACTAGGTGTCCACCAAGCAAAAGAGAAAACTAAAGTGTCATACATAAATACTGTGAAATTCTATACAGCAGGCAGAAAGCAATCAACTAGAGGCACGTATAGTAGTAACCTGGATATATCTTATCCCATTACTGGATATATACCCAAAGGATTATAAGTCATGCTGCTATAAAGACACATGCACACATATGTTTATTGCGGCACTATTCGCAATAGCAAAGACTTGGAACCAATCCAAATGTCCATCAATGATAGACTGGATTAAGAAAATGTGGCACATATACACCATGGAATACTACATAGCCATAAAAAATAATGAGTTCATGTCCTTTGTAGGGACATGGATGAAGCTGGAAACCATCATTCTCAGCAAACTATCGCAAGGACAAAAAAACCAACCACCGCATGTTCTCACTCATAGGTGGGAATTGAACAATGAGAACACTTGGACACAGGAAGGGGAACATCACACTCTGGGGCCTGTTGTGGGGTGGGGGGAGGGGGGAGGCATAGCATTAGGAGATATACCTAATGTAAATGACGAGTTAATGGGTGCAGCACACCAACATGGCACATGTATACATATGTAACAAACCTGCACGTTGTGCACATGTACACTAGAACTTAAAGTATAATAAAATATATATAAATATAAAAAAAGTGGTAAGTGAAAAAAGTCAACAGTATAAATAGCACTACAACAGTGGTTCTCAAAGTATGGTCACATTCATCTCAAAGTGTGGTAAACAGCATCACCTGGGAACCCGACAGAATACAGATTGCCAGGTTCCACCCCACGCCTGATGAGTCAGAAACAGGGTCAGGGTCCTGCAACCTCTGTTTGCACAAGCTTTCCAGGTAATAATGGTGTATGTTAACATTTCAAGACCACTGGACAGCACCATATCATTTATGTAAAATTAAAATATTTTATCTGTAAAAGCTCTATACATTAAAAAATTAATATATTAGATGTATTGGCTCAGCACGGCAGCTCACGCCTATAATCCCAGCACTTTGGGAGGCCAAGGTGGGTAGATCACGAGGTCAGGAGATCCAGACCACCCTGGCTAACATGGTGAAACCTCGTCTCTACTAAAAATACAAAAAAAAATTGCTGGGCGTGGTAGCATGCGCCTCTAATCCCAGTTACTGGAGAGGCTGAGGCAGGAGAATTGCTTGAACCTGGGAGGCAGAGGTTGCAGTGAGCTGAGATCGTGCCACTGCACTCCAGCCTGGGAGACAGAGCAAGACTCCATCTCAAATTAGTGAATATATATATATTTATTTGTTATGTATGTATATAATATATACTTACTATATATATAATATAAAATATATACTTATATATAATATATACTTATTATATATATAATATATAATATATACTTATATATAATATATAATATATACTTATATATAATATATACTTATATATAATATATACTTATTGTATATTATATGTAATATATACTTATTATATATTATATATTATATACACTATTATATATAATATATATTTGTTATATATATATATGCTGTACCTCTCACTAGAAAATACAGTAAAGGACTTTGCTTGTGCATCTCCATGTTAGATCCCTAGAATCTAACACAGGCACTGTTGACAATCTGAGAATCATTCATTCATATATACATTAGATGTATTCTGAATCATATATTAAATACAGTAGAAGCATGTGTATACTGGGGAGAGGGAGTAAGGAACTCAGAGATCACAGATAAGCACAAAAAGAATAAAACAAAAAAGAGGGACTTTGCAAAGACTGATGAGAAATGTGCCATGACCTGAGGAGCTCGATCAATTCAACTGAGACTTTCCCACCTCCTCAAAAAGGAAAGACTTTGAAATCCTGAATCCAAATGTTTCTCAGTATGCCTAATCTAATTACTGACATCTCTTACCTATATTACTAGATTAAATCCTCACTGGTCTCCCTGCACCTGCTTTTGGGCTCCAAAAGTCAACTGACCTTCTAACAGCCAAAGTAATTGTTTTAAAACATAAATGTGAATACGTCACTCCCCTGCTCAAAAAAAAAAAATTCCTCCAATAACTTCCTAGCACATTCAGAATAAAACCCAAATGCACTGACATGGTTTACTAGGCCTGACATCATCTATCTGCCCCACTCTCTGCACCTCTTCCATCTCTCCCTTACTCATTATTCTGTCTAGCCTCGATAGCCTCACTACTATACATGGACTGCCCTAGACTTGCTTCTGCCTGTAAGCTTTTACACTGGTTGTGCCTCTGCCTGGAATGTAGTTCCCCTGATCTATGCACAGCTTGTTCCCACAGGTCATTCTGTTCAACAATTGCCTCTTCAAAAGAACCTGCCCTGATCACTCCATCTAAGTTAGCTGCTCCTGTCCCGCTTTAGCTCCTTCCTCTGATTTGGTTCTCATGGATGGTAAACAAATACATGATGCTGTCCCTCTCACTAGAAAATACAGTAAAGGACTTTGCTTGTGCATCTCCCTGTTAGATCCCCAGAATCTAACACAGGCACTGTTGACAATCTGAGAATCATTCATTCTTTGTTGTTTAGGTGTCTCCTACACATTGCAGGGTATTTTGTATCCCTGAAGCCTGTTTATCAAATGCCAAAAGAAACTTTCAATCATTGTGACAAACAATTCAAACATCATTGTACGTAATTATGAGTGCATCTAAAGCATAGGTTCTGAAAAATGGAATTGTTGCATTAAAGCATATACACATTTTGAAACAGGCATTGCAAAATAATCATAAAGCTTAAACATGTAGACACATATAAATAACCTTGTGTGGCTTTATTCTTTTGAGGGGTTAAATTTCATTACCAAGATAACAATTTTCACAAAATATTCCAAGGAAAAATTATATTAAATCAATATACAAATTTAGAATGCACTTCTCTTTTCTATACCTACCTTTCCCAACCAAGAACACAATATATCTTTTGATTTATCTGGGTATACATTTGTGCCTTCTAACTCACCTTTTTGAGGTAACGAGATATATAAAGGCACAATCCACCCATAGTATAATGTCATTTGGTGATGTGCTTCTTGGCCTCTAATTTCAAGTTTTATTTCCTTATTTTATACATCAGGATGCAACTGTACAATTGTCTTGTATAATTCAATTACAAGGTCATGATTATCAAGAGATCTGTTCAACCACTCAATTACTTTTTACTTCTGTGTGAACAGAATTTTTACTCTGCCTCCAGAATCATTTCTATGTGTCAATACCTGTTCATCAATTGGTCATCTAATAACATTTATATCACCTGCTCATCTGATAACATTTTTCTCTTTGGCAGCTTCTGTGCTTTTAATACAGTATATCTTTGCTGAAAATGTTCCCTTTAATCTTTTCTTTTCTCACAAAATCAATTAAAGAAACTAAAATTTAGCTTCTTCTCTCACAGAGGAAGAGGAAGCACTTTGTTTTTATTTTTTTTTTCTCTTTAGACAGAGTCTCACTCAGTCACCTAGGCCAGAATGCAGTGGCATAATCTAGGCTCACTGCAACCTCTGCCACCAGGGTTCACACAATTCTCCTGCCTCAGCCTCCTGAGTGGCTGGGACTACAAGCACACGCCACCACGCCTGGTTAATTTGTTGTATTTTTAGTAGAGACAGGGTTTTACCATGTCATCCAGGCTGGTCTCGAACTCCTGACCTCAGGTGACCCACCCTCCTTGGCCTCCCAAAGTGCTAGGATTACCGGTGTGAGCCAGGGCGCCCAGCCAGCATTTTGTAATAGGTACAAATGAAGAGGGAACACCAAAAGTCTCAAAGATAAATAAAACTTTACTATTTTGTTTTATCAGCGGCAGAAGTCTTAAAAATGTTCTACTCTTTGATCAGTTACTTCATGTGTGAGAATCTGATCTAAGTATCTGAAATGCCATCACAGATATATTCAAAAAGATGTTAACTTTAGCAATGTGCAGAGTGGAAATAATTGGAAGACAACTTTGTACCATTTAAATACAAGTGATATCAAATCCAATTTGCTGTTGTGTAAGATATTTAAATACCTCATAAAACACAAAGTCTGGGCTGGGCGCGGTGGCTCATGCCTGTAATCCCAGCACTTTGGGTGGCTGAGGCAGGCAGATCTCCTGAGGTCAGGAGTTTGAGACTAGCCTGGCCAACATGGTGAAACCCCATCTCTACTAAAAATACAAAAATTAGCCAGGCGTGGTGGTGGGTGCCTGTAATCCCAGCTACTCGGGAGGGTGAGGCAGGAGGATCACTTAAACCTGGGAGGCAGAGGCTGCAGTGAGCCGAGATGGTGCCACTGTACTCCAGCCTGGGCAACAGAGTGAGACTCCGTCCCAAAAAAAAAAAAAAACAAAACAAAAAACACATCAAGTCTGGAGATGAGATGTCCAGGTTTGGTGTACTAGTTCAACATCTTCACCAAGAAACCAAGCCCTCTGTACCTCTGTGATCAGCGATTCACAGGTCTGCTTTTCCTCCTTAGTCATGTCACCTCCTCATAGTCACAGCATGGCTGCTACAGTACACACATCCACATATGAAGTGAAATGGTAGAATGGGGGTCCAAAAGCTTCAACCTTGCAATAGTCTTTTCATCAAGAAAGAGTGTTTCCAAAAGCAAACAAACAAACAAAAACCCAGCAGAGTTCCCTTTATATATTACTGGTTAAAAGAAAATCCAGTGTTTACCCCTAGACCAATCATTAGTGACAGGAAATTGATTGGCTTGAGTAGTTCAGACCACCCAGAATTCATTCCCTGGGGCTGGGATAAGGGCCTTCCTTCCCTGAGATCAAAGCTTCTCCCTGCAACCCCAATCCCATCTATCTGAATAAAATAGAGATATTGTTTGTAAGGAAGACAGAGGGAAAATGTATGCAATAGCATGACCTGCTATAAACCTATTTTTCCAACAGTAGAGGAATGGTGAAATAAATTAAGGTATTTATATCATTAACTACTGTGAAAGTTGATCATATGAACTGGGTTATTCCTGTCATACCCAACTAAAACAGAGTCAAGAGGGCGGGGGGGAAGCACTCAGGACATATAACATTGACCCAAAAATGTAATTCTCTGCAAGCATGTCTGCCGAAACTGCCTGCTATTACTGGAAACCAGTTTTATCTAATGGCTACTGAAATGATCTGCTGAAATTCTAAGGCTAATTTTACCCACTGCCATCACTCACCAATCAAAACTGGCAAGCTCTCCAGAACCTTACTAGTGCCAATGAACTTTCTCAAAGAGCAACACATAACATTTCGCTTTTTCATAAAACCTCTAACCTTCTCTTTGTTCTTCGGACATACCATTCTGTCTGCATGCATGCTCTAAATTGCAATTCTTTCTTCACAAATAAAACATCTTAATTTCAGAGATTCATCTCTGTGTTTCATTTGACTTTGACATACTTGGTCAAGTATGAGTCTAAGGCTGACTCATCTCAGAGAAGATCAGCAGCCATTGGAACTATAGTACAAGGTAGCCACACTGGGGACCTCTGAAAGTCACCCCCTCCTCTAACGGCTTCTGCAAGTTGCCTCTTTTTCCCTTAGTGAGTCATTCTTGGACTGAACTCCCGATTTTGGTTGAGTTCTGTTTTATCTGGGATTTGGATGGGATGGTGTCTTTCCCCTTCCCGTCTGATCTGGCTGAGGGATCTCCTATTAAGGAAGACTCTTTTCCTCCTTGTAGACCCTGGCTGTGGGGTCTCAGGGAAGGGATTTTTCCCTTTGGGTTGAGGCCTTGGGATCTCTCTTTTTTCTTTCAGTTGGAGAAGGCTTCTTATCGTCCTTCTTGGTAAGTGGGTACTTTATTTTCCCATCTGTGCTTGCGTTTATTTGGCCTTTGCAAATTCAGTGCTTATATTTAATTGGTTTTTGTGTATTTGGGATTAAACCAGAGCACCCACAATAAAATGGGCTCTCAAAATTCAAAGGCATGCCAAGATATTTTCTGGGATTCCAGCCGGTAACATGTTCAAACATCGTAAGGATCATTCAAACAGTCTGTTGTTCCTTAAACTAAAAGACCACAGTTAGAAAATAATATACTCCAAATAAGATATGCGTATCTCATTGATATTTTGAGGCTAAAAAAAAGGATTCAGGACTCAAAGAATGACTCACTACAAAACACTGCCTCAAAGCTAGCTGAATCACTTTCCTCTCTAGAGCTTTCCCCTCCCGCTCTGCCTCCTCTTATCTTTTTCTAAACTCTTTCTTCAAAACTCTTCAACTATTCTGGCATACTGACCATTTAAGTAAAACACTTAAAACCAGCAGATATTAAAGAAAATCATTTTGACCTTCATGCTCTTTCCTTTGCAAAAATGAAATTCCCATGTAAAGATAGCCTGCCCACAGTAAAAGGAATGGCAACACTTTTATCTTCAAGGATAAAGAATTGAGACCAATAAAATACTGAACAGACCTTGTTAGAAGATAATTCAGTCATATTTCCACAATTAACTATTCTGTGTCGAATCCAGTTTATTGGTAACTGACTCAAACTACTTTACTCAAAATTTAGTTCACAACCCTTATAATATTGCCTGTTTTAAAAAAGAACATTAAGTTTGGCCTTATTCCATTTTGTCAGAAAGATAATCTGGATCCTACTGTTTTTTATAAATTGGTGAGTGTTTTACTATTTCATGACCAAAACTCTAAAACAAAAGCCATAAGAATTTATTTATAAGTATGTATATCTGTGTAGATATGCTTATATTATATATATATACTATGTTGTATGCTGTGTCTACATAATAAAATCTCATATAGTCAGCCAGAAATCCCTAAAAAAATTTATTCTGATTAGTTTAAGTAAACAAGTGCTCATATAAAATATGTAGTAATTAACCCAAATGTTTTTTCAGTTCTTGTGACTTAAGTAAATCTTTGATAAATTAATTGTTTTTAAAATTGTTGATACAAGCTGGCTGTGGTAGCACATGCCTGTAATCCTAGCACTTTGGGAGGCTGAGGTTGGAGGGTATCCTGAGGCCAGAAGTTCAAGGCCAGCCTGAACAACACAGTGAGACCCAACTCTAAAAAAATTAAAAAAAAAAAAATTAGCCAAGTGTGGTAGCACACACCTGTAGTCCTAGCTAATTGGGGTGGCTGAGGCAGGAGGACTGCTTGAGCCCAGGAGTTCAGGGTTATAGTGAGCTATGATTGCACCACTGCACTCCAGTCTGGGTGACAGAGCAAGACTCTGTCTCTTAAAAAAATTTTTTTTAATTACAAGATAGGCATTAAAATGTGTCCTTTATTGAGAAATAGAATAATTTTGTATGACAAAGAATCTTATGTGGCAAATTTTCATCCTAAAATAAAATGGTTATTTAAGAAAGGAAATACAGGACAAAGCAGAAAGTCCAAGCATGTCATTAATGGTCTGAGTGAAATTGTAATAGGGTTTGTGAAAACGGAATTTATAAATGGAATTTTGTATGTGATCAAGCTGGCTATAATTAAAATAAAATGACATATGGGACTGGGCGCAGTGGCTCACACCTATAATCCCAGCACTTTGGGAGGCCCAGGCAGGCAGATCACAAGGTCAGGAGATCGTGACCATCCTGGCTAACACTGTGAAACACAGTCTCTACTAAAAATACAAAAAATTAGCCGGGCGTAGCGGCACATGCCTGTAGTCCCAGCTACTCAGGAGGCTGAGGCAGGAGAATGGCGTGAACCCTGGAGGCGGAGCCTGCAGTGAGTCGAGATTGCGCCACTGCACTCCAGCCTGGGCAACACAGCGAGACTCCGTGTCAAAATAAATAAATAAATAAAAATTGAAAAATAAAAAAATAAAATGACATGTGGTCTTCCCAAAGATTGAGCTTTGATAGTAAAAAGACACTAATACAAAACTATAAAATTTGGTCTCCTATTGTAGAACAGGGCTTTTCTTAAAGTATTGACATTCTCTTAGTAAAACTGCAAGAGGTTTTGATACTTAATTCTGAAATCTGTTTCTTTTTGAAACTTCTCAAATGTATACCTCAGAAGTTCAAATTCTGCTGTCCTTCACTGTACATGATTGCAAGTCATATATTATTCCCTTCTGTTCTTTCTCCACTTGAAAAAGCGTATCTTTTTGCTTGGCTAGAAGGTGACTCTCTCCAACTTTTTCATCTGCTCCTATAACTTTTTTTCTCCTATTCTAACTCGACTGTTATGATCTGACACTAAGAGGTTTATCTTAAAAGCCTAAAAAAGCTATGTTTTCCTCTACTGTATCTTGGCTTTTCTTGACGTAGCTGAATTGAAACATTCATAATCTTGGGCACATTCTTCCTCTGTCTGATTAATTCAAGTACTCTTTTCATCCGGTTTGATTTCCAGGTTATGTAAGTGAACATCACATAAGAAGAAACAATCATACTACAGAAGGTTTTTCTTCACCTTTTTGGTAGCCTGTTTAAAAAACAAAACTTTTATATGCTTCATTCAGGACATAGGCATGGGCAAAGACTTCAAGACTAAAACACCAAAAGCAATGGCAACAAAAGCCAATATTGACAAATGGAATCTAATTAAGCTAAAGAGCTTCTGCACTGCAAAAGAACCTATCATCAGAGTGAACAGGTAACCTACAGAATGGGAGAAAATTTTTGCAATCTATCCATCTGACAAAGGGCTAATATCCAGAATCTATAATGAACTTAAACAAATTTACAAGAAAAAAACAAACAACCCCATCAAAAAGTGGGCAAAGGATATGAACAGACACTTCTCAAAAGAAGACATTTATGCGGCCAACAAATATATGAAAAAAAGCTCATCATCACTGGTCATTAGAGAAATGCAAATCAAAACCACAATGAGATACCCTCTCATGCCAGTTAGAATGGCGATCATTAAAAAGTCAGGAAACAACAGATGCTGGAGAGGATGTGGAGAAATAGGAATGCTTTTACACTGTTGGTGGGAGTGTAAATTAGTTCAACCACTGTGGAAGACAGTGGGGTGATTCCTCAAGGATTAGAACCAGAAATACCATCTGACCCAGCAATCCCATTATCGCGTATATACTCAAAGGATTATAAATCATTCTACTATAAAGACACATGCACACGTATGTCTACTGCAGCACTATTCACAATAGTAAAGACTTGGAACCAACCCAAATGTCCATCAGTGATAGACTGGATAGAGAAAATGTGGCACATATACACCATGGAATACTATGGAGCCAAAAAAAAGGATGAGTTCATGTCTTTGCAGGGACATGGATGAAGCTGGAAACCATCACTCTCAACAAACTAACACAGGAACAGAAAACCAAACACCACATGTTCTCACTCATAAGTGGGAGTTGAACAATGAGAACACAGGGAGGGGAACATCATACACTGGGGCCTATTGGTAGGTGGGGGGCTAGGGGAGGGATAGCATTAGGAGAAGTACCTAATGTAGATGACAGGTTGATGGATGCAGCAAACCACCATGGCACATGTATACCTATGTAACAAACCTGCATGTTCTGTACATGTATACCAGAATTTAAAACATTAAAAAAAAAAAAAGAACACAAAACTTCCACATTTCATCAAGATAATTTCTGTGTTGCCCTCATTAGGTATCTTATAACTTAGGAAAACTAAACTTTAAGGAAACTAACGTTTTTACATCCATGTAACTTTCTGTATTACTTTGGAAATCTTTTATCACTGGCTGAATGAATATTATCATTATTATTATTATTATTATTATTATTATTATTATTTATTTTTCTTGAGACAGAGTTTCGCTCTTGTTGCCCAGGCTGCAGTGCAGTGGCGCGATCTTGGCTCACTGCAACCTCTGCCTCCCAGGTTCAAGTGATTCTCCTGCCTCAGCCTCCCAAGTAGCTGGAATTACAGGCACCCACCACCACGCCCGGCTAACTTTTTGTATTTTTAGTACAGACGGGGTTTCACCATGTTGGCCAAGCTGGACTCAAACACCTGACCTCAGGTGATCCACCTGCCTCGGCCTCCCCAAGTGTGGGATTACAGGCATGAGCCACTGCGCACAGCCAAATGACCATTATTTTATAGTGACCTGTGTGATTCTGTTTTGATCAGATGTTCTGAGCCTTTTGACATCTTTGACAAACGTCCCCAAAATCAAATCCTCAATTAAGTCTTTTTTTGTTTTTTATTTTTATAGAAACAAGGTCTTGCTCAGGCTGGTCTTGAACTCCTGGACACATGTTAGCCTCCCATCTAGGCCTCCCAAAGCAGTGGGATTACAGGCTTAAGCCACTGTGACCAGCCTCAATTAAGTACTTTTGACCTAAAATTAACTTTGGGGCTGGCTGCAGTGGCTCACACCTGTAATCCTGGCACTTTGGGAGGCTGAGGCAGGTGGATCACCTGAGATCAGGAGTTGGAGACCAGCCTGGCCAATATGGTGAAACTCCATCTCTATTAAAAACACAAATATTAACTGAGCATGGTGGTGGGGGGCTGTAATCCCAGCTACTTGGGAGGCTGAGGCAGGAGAATCACTTGAACCTGGGAGGCGGAGGATGCAGTGAGCTGAGATTGCACCACTGCACTCCAGCCTGGGTGACAGAGCGAGACTCCGTCTCAAAAAAATAAAATTAAATTAAATTAACTTTGGGATTTTCCAGTTCAGCCCCTGGAAAGCCTCAAAAGATCTATATCTCTCATCTTACAGAGATATGAAATGATCAGGCTCATTTAGTAAATTATATAAGAAACTGTTAAATGGTAAGTGATACTAGATCTTATTTTAGTTGCATTTAGGGGTATGTTGTTAACATAAATGTTTCAAAAATTGTATAACTCATAAAAATTGTATAACTCATAACTCAGTCTTAATTCTGATTATTGTATCCTAAAATGCTATCTATAATAGAAATAACAAAATTCCTTATCAATCGTAAACTTTCATCAGATTTTTAACCATGGCTGTTCTAAGCTTTTGTCATCCACAGTTACTGTTTTGTCTCTAAAAACATGCACAATCAGATTCATGGAAAAGACTTCAACAAGTACTCTTAAATATAGGTTGCTGATAACATTAAGTGCAATAGGCTAAATAAAAATTTCCACAACTCTAATAAAGAAACTGACGGACTCATGAAACTATTAACGGAGATCAAGCAGAATATAAATTGATTACATGAGATTAAGTAAAACTTGTCAGCCCTCCAGAACCTTACTAGTGTCAATGAACTTTCTCAAACAGCAATACATAACATTTTTCTTTCTCATAAAACCTAACCTTCTCTTTTCTTCAGACATACCAAAGCCCGCTCAGTCTGTGTGTATGCCCCAAATTGCATTTTTTCTTTTCTTTTCTTTTTTTTTTTTTTTTTGAGACAGAGTCTTGCTAAGTCACCCAGGCTGGAGTGCAGTGGGGCGATCTGGGCTCACTGCAACCTCCACCTCCCAGGCTCAAGCCATTCTCCCGCCTCAGCCTCCCAAGTAGCTGAGATTACAGGCGCCCACCACCACACCTGGCTAATTTTTGTATTTTTAGTACAGACGAGGTTTCACCATGTTCGCCAGGCTGGTCTTTTTTCTTCTCAGATAAAATGTTTTAATTTCAGAGATTTGTCTCTATTTTATTTGACTTTGACACTACACTTCTGGAGAAAACAATACAGAAAAATGCTTTCCATACAATCTTGAGTGGAAAAAGAAGATCAGAAAAGGAGCGTACAAAATGCTCTCAATTTTCTTGAAAACAAAATATATACAAATGTAAAAGAAGAAAAAAGGCTGCAAGAAAGTATAATAAAACATTAACAGTGATTATCTCTGATTTGTAGAAAGTTTTTGTTTTCTAGATTCTGCATTTCCCAACTTTTCTATTAAAAATAAATTATTTATAACAAAAAATTTTAATAAGAATTCCATGACCTTATTTTCATCTATTAAACAAAAACATCACACTCATGGCTATCAAGAATATTTATTAAAAAATTATTTTTCAAGTGTATACTTGCAACATGTTAGAGTAAGCTATAGCCTATAGAGGTTTATAATCTTAGTGGTTTATAAATAAGTGACTTCCAATGAATACTCGATAGATCTCATACTTTGGTTTTAACACTGGTATAAAATGTCATTGTCACCTTAAAGTTTTGATTCATTTATCTCTGAAGTTATTGCAGAAAAAACCCTTTAAGTTAGCAAACATCTAATTAACAGAATAAAGCTAAATACAAACTATGATTTATTAACATTCATTCATTCAACAAATATTAACTATGTGCCTACTATGTGTTAGGCACTGTGCTAAGTCCTAATATGAAAAACGCTGTTAATTCAAGAAGCACATTTTATATTATAACAAAAGTCTATTCGTAAGTGCATCTTTTCTATTAGACTGGAAGCTCCTACAGAGCATAAATTTTATTCTTTATTTTATTCTCACAGCCTGCCCATAAAGTTGGCACTCAAGAAACTTTATTGATGAGTGAGGAAAAAAATGCATAACACAAAATATTCTGAACATGATGTCTGTGCACAAAATCATTGTTGATATTTTCTATGTGCTTTATTGAATGTATTAATGAATTAAAACTATTTTAAAGCTATTTTAAGTTATACGAGTTAATCAGAAGATAATTTGGCATAATAATTTATCACTAAAAAGTTGTTTTAGGCTGGGCGCGGTGGCTCATGCCTGTAATCCCAACACTTTGGAAGGCCAAGGTGGGTGGATAACGAGTTCAGGAGTCCAAGACCAGCCTGGCCAAGATGGTGAAACCCCATCTCTACTAAAAATACAGAAATTAGCCGGGTGTGGTGGCAAGCACCTGTAATCCCAGCTACTCAGGAGGCAGAGGCAGAGAACTGCTTAAAACCCAGGAGGCATAGGTTGCACTGAGCCAAGATCGTGCCACTGCACTCCAGCCAGGGCAACAGAGCAAGACTCCATCTCAAAAAAAAAAGTTGTTTTATTGCCAGGCGCAGTGGCTCACACCTGTAATCCTAGCACTTTGGGAGGCCAAGGTGGGTGGACCACGAGGTCAGCAGTTCAAGACCAGCCTGGCCAAGATGGTGAAACCCCGTCTCTACTAAAAATACAAAAAATTAGCCAGACGTGGTGGCAGGTGCCTGTAATCCCAACTACTTGGGAGGCTGAGGCAGAAGAATCATTTGAACCTGGGAGGCGGACGTTGCGGTGGGCCGAGATCGTGCCATTGCACTCTAGCCTGGGCAACAAAAGCGAAACTCTGTCTCAAAAAATAAATAAATAAATAAATAAATAAATATTTTAAAAGTTGTTTTATTAAATACAATGACTAGCCAGGCACAGTGGTGTGCATCTATAGTTCCATATACTCAGGAAGCTGAGGCAGGAGGATGGCTTGAATCCAGGAGTTGGAGGCTGAGGTACGAAATGATCGCACCTGTGTATAGCCACTGCACTCCAGCCTAGGCAACATGGCAGGACCCCATCTCTAAAAAAATAAAATAAAATAAAATGCCTAATTAGAAATTCAGTAATTTTTGTATTCTTCTAATCTTTACCGTCTGAAACCTTCTCATGCTAGCAAAAACACAAAGAAATAAACTGAACTCAATGTGTCTTTCTAACATCCATACTTTCTTTCTTTCTTTCTTTTTTTTTTTTGAGACAGAGTCTTGCTCTGTCACCCAGGCTGGAGTGTAGCGGCACAATAGCCCACTGCAACCTCTGCCTCCCAGGTTCAAGTGATTATCCTGCCTCAGCCTCTCAAGTAGCTGGGATTACAGGCGCCCACCACCATGCCTGGTAAACTTTCGTATTTTTAGTAGAGATGGGGTTTCACCATGTTGGCCAGGCTGGTCTCGAACTCCTGACCTCAGGTGATCCACCCACCTCGGCCTCCCAAAGTGCTGGGATTACAGGCATGAGCCATTGCGCGCAGCCCCACATCCATACATTTGACTTATGTCTACTGAAACATGAATGATATGAGTGGCAACAGGGAAGCTCCTCAATGATACAGTCTGCAAGGATAATCTCCACCTATTCCCAGTACCTATTTAGAGACCTTGGACATTTACGGAGCAGAAGGAAAAATGGGCTTTACTATTTTGTCAGTTTATACCTTTAACTTTTGTCCTCACATTTGACACTAAATGAATTTTGTGCACTGGCAACTAACATTGAACTTTTTTTTTTTTTTTTTTGAGACAGAGTCTCGCTCTGTCGCCCAGGCTGGAGTGCAGAGGCGTGATCTCAGCTCACTGCAAGCTCCGTCTCCCAGGTTCACGCCATTCTCCTGCCTCAGCCTCCCAAGTAGCTGGGACTACAGGTGCCTGCCTACACACCCGGCTAATTTTTTGTATTTTTAGTAGAGACGGCGTTTCACCATGTTACCAAGGATGGTCTTGATCTCCTGACTTCGTAATCTGCCTGCCTCGGCCTCCCAAAGTGCTGGGATTACAGGCGTGAGCCACCGTGCCTGGCCAACATTGAACTTTTCTGATTCATGAATTTAGATTGCCTATCTAACAGAAAACTAAAAATCCATTTTTTTGCTTATTTTTTCTACAGCAATAGAGCAACTGCTGCTCCTTTGCTTGGGCATCAGGTGAGAGAGCTGACTTGCATTTAGGAGTGAGGCTGCAAGACAATAAACCTTTAACCACCAGAAACACACTTAGTACAGTGAGATTCTCACACAATGAGGGCAGGCAGGACTATAGACAGCAAGACAGAAAGCAGACTCAATTTCTCAGCTCATGCTTATTCTTGGTCACATTACAAATCCTATTACCCACGCTATTTCAAAAGTTTTTTTCTCTTTTATTTGCCAGCATGTAGAGTTGAATCAATGAACATTAACTAGGAATGTGCTGTGGTTCCACTGTACTCAAGTCCTTGCATAAAGTTCTAAAGTAGTTTTATCTTTTACACATTAAAGCTTCTATTTAATTCTAAACATGTTCCTATCTTTCCATTTTCAAAATATATAAAAGGAAAGTATAAGTTTTAATTAACTACAACTCATTTTTCCCCTTCAGTGAACATTTATTAAGTGCTTACTATGTGTACCAGTACCAGACATTATTCCTACAAAAAGCTTAGTGTTTATTTAGCACTGGCAGTTAATCTAAGTGTTAATTGTAGCTCAGCAGCTTATGGTCTTATAATTAAGGTCAGCTAATCTAAACCCCATTTAGGGTGAACAGCAATTTATGTCATTTTTATACAATCCTGTATACTATCTTCAAGAGGAAAAGTTGGTGAACATTTAACTATTTGTAAAATTGGGTTAATATTAATATATAGCCTATTTGTCAGATTTTCGACTGGTTTTAAAAAAGGAATAACTGTTCTATCAATTAAAACATTTCTACTACTTTAATTTTGAAAGTAACAAAGTTTATAAATTCTGCCAGAGTTCTCATTTTAATTTCTTCTACTGAAGAATGGAAATCATCTTTTTTGAAAGACAATATAATAGTCCCAACATATCCAGTTTAATTTTTACCTCTATACTGAAATAGCCTCTGTCCACATAGTCACCCAGAAAGAGGTAGCGTGTGTTACTAGGTGATCCTCCAACTTCAAATAACTTCATTAGGTCAAAGAATTGTCCATGAATATCACCACATACTAGGAAAAAAAGCATAAAGTGATGTGAGAAATTATACCTTAGAAGACGAAGGGCATTACACCAAAAGGGATCACAGTTTAACTTCTAACTTAAATCACTCCAGCTTTTGACAGGACTGCTGTAAAACTGTAGTCAATCTACTCATACTAAATAGTTCTACTGGAAATATGAGACACTTAAAATTGTATTTCTTCAATTAACAACAAATATCCTAACCAATCCTGACTGTCTCATAATTTCTAGAAAAATTACCACACCACTTTTTAGCTGGTTATTTGTAATTATTTCTCAAAACTGCTCATGCAAATCTATACTGTAAAAAAGTATCATGCAAAGACTTTTTATACCTGTGATTGGAGCATCTACTTCTATCATAGTCTTCTCTTGCCTCAGGATGGCAGCCCCATCATTGATTATCTTTAAGGCTACTTCCTCTTCCAGTCGTCCTTCCTTTACCAAATGGTTTTTTAAAACATCAACTTTAGGTTTCCCATTCTCAAATACTTCCTTGAAAGTAAGCCGTTGGGTTGGAGGAAAGGGGACAGCTACAAAAAAATAATAATAATAATTTAAAATATTTAAATGTATAGAGAACAAACAGAACACAATTCTTTTACATGACAAATTAAACCTAATAAATCACCATGATTTCACATCCACAGCACCAGTACGTGGGGAAAAAATTCTAAGATACTATGTATCATAAATGATCAATTCTAAGTATAAAAAGGTGACAGTCATTTTAAATATTTGTGTGTGCATAAATTATAATGGTTTTTGTTGTTTGTTTTTTTGAGATGGAGGCTTGCTCTGTCAACCCAGGCTGGAATGCAGTGACACGATCTCAGCTCACTGCAACCTCCGCCTCCTGAGTTCAAGCGATTCTTCTGTCTCAGCCTTCTGAGTAGCTGGGATTACAGAAGCATGCCACCACACCTGGCTAATTTTTGCATTTTTAGTAGACACAGGGTTTCACCATGTTGGCCAGCCTGCTCTCGAACTCCTGACCTCAGGTGATCCACCTGCCTCGGCCTCCCAAAGTGCTGGGATTACAGGAGTGAGCCACTGCGCCCAGCCCTATGTTTTACACATAAACATGAAAGACTTGAAGCTGATTCAGGGAACAAGTTATAAATGAGACAAGACACTAGATGACATGAGTATCTTTGTTTTTCTATCTATAGAACAGGTGTTAAAAATGAAACTATGGTTAAAGAAAATGAAAGAAAAGTAGTCATAATACTAAAATGGCATTTATTTCTCCTATAGAACTGTCCTAATGACACCTATGTTTTAGAAGTCTCGGCCGGGCACCATGGCTCACGCCTGTAATCCCAGCACTTTGGGAGGCTGAGGCAGGCAGATCACTTGAGGTCAGGAGTTCAAGACCAGCCTGGGCAACATGGCAAAACTCCACCTCTACTAAAAATACAAAAATTAGCCAGGTGTAGTGACAAGTGCCCATAATCCCAGCTACTCGGGAAGCTGAGGCAGAAGAATCGCTTGAACGTGGGAGGCAGAGGTTGCAGTGAGCTGAGATCGCGCCACTGAACTCCAGCCTGGGCAACAGAGCAAGACACTGTCTCAAAATAAAACAAAACAAAACAGAATAAAACAAAAGGCAGTAGCTTAATGTACTTTGTTACTGATAATAACAAGAACACTACTACCAAGATGGAGCTATGTCTGAGAATAATTTGCTGTAGTAACAGAGCATAAAAGAATGGATAAGGGGCCGGGTGTGGTGTGGCTCACGCTTGTAATCCCAGCACCTTGGGAGGCCAAGGTAGGTGGATCACCTGAGGTCGGGAGTTCAAAACCAGCCTGGCCAACATGGTGAAACCCTGTCTTTACTAAAAATACAAAAATTAGCCGGGTGTGATGGCACACACCTGTAATCCCAGCTACCTGGGAGGCTGAGGCAGAAGAATTGCTTGAATCTGGGAGATGGAGGTTGCAGTGAGCCGAGATTGTGACACTGCACTTCAGCCTGGGCGACAGAGCAAGACTCCGTTTCAAAAAAAAAAAAAGTGGATAAGGGAAGTCCAGTTATGTTTTCTAACCTGGAAATGCTAATAACTACCTTCAGTTTACATTAGGTACAAAGTTTATATATATAATATCATGGAGAATTAGCAAGTTCATTTAATATTTTTAAATTGGCTGTTGTCTTGTTATGTGCCTACTTTATAACACAGTCTACTTTAGATCCCCTGGGATCTAAGAGCCACAAGTCTGTAAACCATAAATTTAAAAGGAGGCGTTCAATTGAATTTCTGATATATGTCCAATGTTTCCACTTCCAGCTTTATGGAACCAAGTTGAAATCTATGAGTATTTTTAAAAGACTTAATCTAGCCATACCATATTGTATCATTTACAAGTAAAGAAAGTCCTATTATAAGTTTCGTCATGCTTTCAGCTACTACTTGACTCATTTTAACTACTCAAATTTCACTGAAAAAACGATAGCAGCTACCCAACCACTAAAATAGCTAAATACAGTTGTGTGCCACAAAATGATGTTTTGGTCAACAATGGACTGTAGTTAAATGGAGCTGAAAAACTCCTGTCATCTAGTAACGTTATAGCCACAATAACATCGCAGGAATTGACTAATGAGTGGGAACTGGAATAGGAATGCAAAGCTGAAGAAGCAGCAAGAGAGAAGGAAGTTTGCTGGAGAAAGAAAAAGAACCCCCAACAAAACTCACAGTGAAGGGTTTGGGAGAAGCTTTTGCACACCTCAACAAACTCCTTAGGAAGTGTGAAAACATGGACCCCCAAAAACAGAAAGGTTTTCATTAATACACAGGAATGTTCATGCTGCATTAACTGCTTACAAACAAATCTACAATGAAAAATAGAAATAAACCAAGCAAAACACCATGGGCAAATTTCTGAAAAGAGTGACATCTCCTCAAGAGCCTCAGGCAGGTCCTTCAGGAGGACTTCCAGAAGAAGGTATTGTTATCCTAGGAGATAACAGCTCCATGCCTGTTACTGCTCCTGAAGGTGTGCCAGTGGATAAAGATGTAGGGGGGCAAGCCAGGGATATTCATGATCCTGACCCTGTGTAGACCTAGGCTCAGTGTGTGTGTGTGTGTGTGTGTGTGTGTGTGTGTGTGTGTGTGTTCATTTTTACCAAAATATTCTAAAAGTTAAAAAAAAATTTAAACTTTTTAAATAGAAAAAGCCTATAAAGATATAAAGAAAAATTATTTTCTATAGCTATACAATGTACTTGTCTTTTAAGCTAGGTGTTATTACAAAAAAGTCCAAAAGTTTTTAAAAACTGAAACATTTATAAAGTAAAAACTTAACAGTAAGCTAAGTTTAATATATTATTAAAGAAAAAAAATTTGTTTTTGAGATAGGATCTCGCTTTATTGCCCAGATGGGAGTGCAATGGCACTACCATGGCTCACTGCACCTTCAACCTCCTGGCTCAAATGATCCTCTCACCTCAGCCTCCCAGTCCTCAGCTGGGACTACAGGTGTGCGCCACCATGCCTGGCTAATTTTTGTATTTTTTGTAGAGATGGGGTTTTGCCACGCTCCCCAGACTGGTCTTGAACTCCTGGACTCAAGTGATCTGCCGACCTCAGCATCCCAAAGTGCTGGGATTACAGGAGTGAGCCACCATGCCCAGCCAAGAAAAATTTGTTTTAAATTTAGTGTAGCCTAAGTGTTCAGTGTTTATAAAGTTTATAAAGTCTCCAGTAGTGTACAATAATGTCCTAGGCCCTCACATTCACTCATCATTCACCTCCGACTCACCCAGAGCAACTTCCAGTCCTGTAAGCCCCATTCATGGTTAAGTGCCCTATACAGGTGTACCAGTTTTTGCCTTTTATACTGTGTTTTTATTGTACCTTCTCTATGTTTAGATATGTTCAGATACTCAAATACTTAGCACTGTGTTATAACTGCCTACAGTATCCAGTACAGTAACCTGCTGTACAGGTTTGTGGCCTAGAAGTAATAGGCTATATCATATAGACTATGCATAGTAGTAGTTACACCATCTAGGTGTATAGCAGTTACACCATCCAGGTTTCTGTAAGTACATTCCATGGTGTTCTCACAATGACAAAGTCATCTCATGACACATTTCTCGGATGCATGACTGTATTACCTTAGAATAGGGGACCATATATACATCTATCACTCCAGCCTAGGTGACACAGACTCAGTCTCAAAAAAAAAAAAAAAAAAGAATGATCAAGGAGTAAGGGAATATTTGGAGCTGGATGTAGATAAAAGTTAGCATTTTAATAATTTGTGCTTTGGGCCATCTGTGCAACAAGCTCTTTCTTTTAGTCTTCCAAAACCAAACTGATGTAAAGAGAAAGGTTTTAAGAAATTTGAAACCATAAAGTTAAAAAATTGGGGGTGAAATCCCCTAAATAAATTTTCATTAATAATACATATTAAACTAAACACAGGTAGCTACATGCTAAGCACTACTGCGTTAATAAAGGTAAGGGCAGACAATGTATGACTAGAGCAGCTTTCCAATTTGAGCCATTATGAATACAGTTGCTATGAATATAATTCTATGTGTGCTTTGGTGGACATAAGCACTCTTTTCTCTTAGGTATATACCCAAGAATGGGACTGAAAGTTTATGGGGTCAACATTGGTTTTACCCAACAGTTCACAAAGTGATACCATTTACCCTCACACCATCAAGGTGTAAGGGTTCCAGTTACTTCATATCCTTGTCAACACTCAATATTGCTCATCTGCTAAATTTTATTCCAGTACAGTGAACGTCTACCGGTATCTCTTTGTTCTCTACTTTGCATTTCCCTGATGAGTAGTGATGTTGAGGACCTTTCTACTTGCTTAAGGGCCATTTGAATATCTTCTTTGGGGATGTGCTTGTTCAATTCTTTTGTCCATTTAAAACATTTAGTATCTTTTCTTATTGACTGACGAAAGTTCTTGTATGTTCTGGGTACATGTCCTTTATCAGATGTAAAGCCTTTTTTGTTCTTAATGATCTTTATTTATGTAAATATATAATTCAATTAGGTTTATCATTATGACATAATTGACTATATACCAATTCTTTAAACTTTGTTTTTGAATATAGAAAATGTAGAAATTTTACTTAGGAAAATAGTGTGCTTATGATAATTTATTTAAACATTTTCTTATTGTTGGATAGCTAGACTATTTCAAAAAATTGTAAATTATACTGCAGGGCCAGGCATCGTGGCTCACACCTATAATCCCAGTGCTTTGGGAGGCTATGGCAGGAGGAACGCTTGAGCCCAGGAGTTCAAGGCTGCAGTGACCTATGACTGAGCCACTGTACTCTAGCCTGGGTGACAGAGTGAGATTCTGCCTCTAAAAAAAAGAAAACATAAATAAATGATACAGCAGAGAACATATATATATGTATGTGTGTGTGTGTGTGTGTGTGTGTGTATATATATATATCACCCATATTTATTTTATATATATCACCCATATCATATATATATACATGGATCATTTATATATCACATATATATATATATATATGTCTTTGAGCAAATCTTTATTTCCCTATAAGTTTCTAGAAATTATATGAATTATCTACTGCCATGTAACAAATTACCCCAAAACTTAGTGGCTTAAGGCAATAATCACTTATTATCTATCACAGGTTCTGTGGACCATAAATTCAGACAGGGCACAGTGGGGCTGGCTTGTCTCTGCTCCGCAACTTCTGGGGCCTCAGCAGGATACTCGACAACCTGGGGCTGGAATTACCTGAAAGCTTTCTCACTCATACTGTGGTTAATACTGGCTGTTGGCTGCAGCTTAGCTCAGGTTTTTGAAGAGAATACCCACATGTGGCCTCTTCGTATGACTTAGTTCCAACAACAAGCATCCCAAGACAAAGAGAGAGCCAGGAAGAAGCTGTAGCTTTTTTTTTTCCCTCTTTTTATTTGTGCAAATTTACAGATTACATGAGGAATTATGTTACATGTATATTATGCATAGTATTAAGCCAGGGTCTTCAGGATGTTCATCACCAGGTACAATACATTTTTGTTAGGTATAGTCATCCTGCTCTGCTATCAAACATTGAATCTACTCCTATCTTAATGTATGTTTGTACCCTTTAACTCACTTCTCTTCATCCTTCCCCTTTCCCCCACTCACCCTTCCCAGTCTCTCTTATCTATTTTCCATTCTCTACCTCCATGTGTTCAAATTTTTAGCTCCCACATATAAGTGAGAATATATGATATTTGTCTTTTTGTGCCTAGCTTATTTAACTTAAGATAATGACCTTCAGTTCCATCCATGTTGCTGTAAGTGACATTATTTTGTTTTGTTTTTTTATGGTTGAACAATATTCCATTGTGTATATATACCATATTTTCTTTATCCATTCATCCACTAATAGATACTCAACGCTGATTCTGTATCTTTGCTGTTGTGAATAGTACTGCAATAAACATGTTGATTTATTTTCCTTTGGGTAGATACTCAGTAGTGCGATTGCTGGATCAGTTGTATCCTATTTATATCATGGCCTCAGAAATCCCATCACATTATTTCCACCATATTCAATTGGTTGAACAGTCACAAGCCTGCCCAGGTTCAAGAAGAGTGGAAATAGATTCCACCTACTGGTGGGGAGTGACAAAATTCTGTGCGAGCATATGAGACTAAAAATATTGCTATGGCAGTTTCTTGAAAATAGATTGTCATACTTTCTCTATTTAAAAGGAAAAATGGCCCGTCACCAATGCCTCCAACAGTACCTTTAAATCAGAGTCCATTTTAAATGGGCCACTTTGTATTTTCCAAGTTATTACCAAATGAGAAAATCTATTCAATTATTACAAGCAAAACATTACAAAAGATATATTCCCAATGTTTCAAAATAATTTGAGATGCCTATTAGAAGCTGTATAAATATTTTCTCTAATTTGCCAGCTGATTAAAAAAAAAACTCATGAATCTTCTTTCCTAAATGAAAGGGATAAATATGTAAAAATAAACTATTTATGAAAAGCAGACATTTTTAAAATGCTTGATTCAAAATATTATGTCAAGCTTCCAGTTTAGAATGACTAGCAACTTCTGGCCAGGTGCAGTGGCTCACGCCTGTAATCACAGCACTTCGGGAGGCCAAGGTAGGCAGATCACCTGAGGTCAGGAGTTTGAGATCAGCCTGGCCAACATGGTGACACTCTTGCCTCTACCAAAAATACAAAAGTTAGCTGGGCGTGGTAGCGGGCGCCTGTAATCCCAGCTACTCGGGAGGCTGAGACAGGGTAGTCACTTGAACCCGGGAGGCAGAGGTTGCAGTGAGCCGAGATTGCACCACTGCACTCCAGCCTGGGCGACAGAGCAAGACTCTGCCTCAAAAAAACAAAAAAAAGAATGACTAGAAACTTCTGATTCAACATTTCTTAACAGCTGCTATGATTTGAATGTTCCAAAAATTCATAGGTAAAACCTAATCCCCAACATGGTGGTATTAAGACGTGGAATATCTGGGAAATTATTAGGTCGTAAGGACTCTGCCCTCATGAATGGCATTTGTGCCATTACAAAAGAGGTCCAAAGGAGCTTGTTTGTCCCTTCTGCCACGTGAGGACACATAGAAGGTGCCACTTATAAGGAAGAGGCCCTCACCAGACACACAATCTGCTGGCAAGCTGACTCTTGGACTTCCCAGCCTCTAGGACTGTAAGAAATAAATTTCTGTTGTTCACAAATTACCCAGTCTAAGGCATTTTGTTATAACATCTTGAACAGGCCGGGGGCGGTGGCTCACACCTGTAATCCCAGAACATTGGGAGGCGGAGGCAGGTGGATCATAAGGTCGAGTTCAAAACCAGCCTGACCAACATGGTGAAACCCTATCTCTACTAAAAATAAAAAATTAGCCGGGTGTGGTGGCGCGTGCTTGCCTCAGGAGGCTGAAGCAGGAGAATCACTTGAACCCAGGAAGTGGAGGTTGCAGTGAGCTGAGATCGCACCACTGAAACTCCAACCTGGGCGACAGAGCAATGCTCTGTCTCAAAACAAACAAACAAACAAAAAACACATCTTGAATAGACTAAGCGAACATCTAACTAAAATACACATAAAAATAAGACAGAACAAAATGAAAACTCTCACCATAAAAACTATGATCGAAAAGTATCCTCAATTAATTCATTCAAATAATTTTATTGAATTGCTACTATGTGTTAGGTACTTATACGCACTAGTAAAAATTTTGATGGCAAATATCTCAATGCATAAGTACATAAATAAATACCTTAAAATACCATAAATTTTTTTTTATTTTCTCCTAGGTAGATATAATTTACTTAGATCATAATTTATTAACATTTAGCCAATCTGCAATTTTTAGAAATCTCAGTTATTGTTAAATATTTTGCCCTTACAATGTCTGTAGCACATTTTATTTTCCAAAACTGGCTGCAACCAGCCAGGCATGGTGACTCACTCCTGTAATCCCAGCACTTTGGGAATCCAAGTTGGGGAGACTGCTTGAAGCCAAGAGTTCGAAACCAGCCTGGGCAGCATGGTGAGACCCCCATCTCTACAAAATTTTTTTTTTAAATTATCCAGGTGTGGTGGCATCTGCCTGTACTCCCAGCTACTCAGGAGGCTGACACAGAAGGATCTCTGGAACCCAATAGGTTGAGGCTGCAGTCAGCTACAGTCGTCAGCCTGGACAACAGAGTGAGACTCCATCTCAAAAAGCAAAAACAGAAAAAATTTTTGCAATCTACCCATCTGACAAAGGGCTAATATCCAGAATCTACAAAGAACTTAAACAAATTTACAAGAAAAAAACAACCCCATCAGAAAGTGGGCAAAGGATATGAACAGACACTTCTCAAAAGAAGACATTTATGCAGCCAACAGACATATGCAAAAATGCTCATCATCACTGGTCATCAGAGAAATGCAAATCAAAACCACAATAAGATACCATCTCACACCAGTTAGAATGGTGATCATTAAAAAGTCAGGAAACAACAGATGCTGGAGAGGATGTGGAGAAATACACCGTTGGTGGGTGTGTAAATCAGTTCAACCACTGTGGAAGACAGTGTGGTGATTCCTCAAGGATCTAGAACTAGAAATACCATTTGACCCAGCAATCCCATTACTAGGCATATACTCAAAGGATTATAAATCATTCTACTATAAAGACACATGTGCACGTATGTTTATTGCAGCACTGCTCACAATAGCAAAGACTTGGAACCAACCCAAATGTCCATCAATGATAGACTGGATAAAGAAAACGTGGCACATATAGACCATGGAATACTATGCAGCCATAAAAAGGATGAGTTCATGTCCTTTGCAGGGACATGGATGAAGCTGGAAACCATCATTCTCAGCAAACTATCACAAGGACAGAAAACCAAACACCACATGTTCTCACTCTTGGGTGGGAATTGAACAATGAGATCACATGGACACAGGGTGGGGAACATCACACACTGGGGCTGGTCGGAGGATGGGGGGCTGGGGGAGGGAGAGCATTAGGAGAAATACCTAATGTAAATGATGAGTTGGTGGGTGCAGCAAACCAACATGGCACATGTATACCTATGTAGCAAACCTGCATGTTGAGCACATGTACCCTAGAACTTAAAGAATAATTTTTTAAAAAAAGCAAAAACTAAAAAAAAATGGCTACAATAATATTTCTCACTCTACATACTCTTCTGTAATCTCACTGTCTTGGTCTGTTTTGTGTTGCTATGACAAAATATTATAGACTGGATAATTTATAATGAATAGAAATTTACTCATTCATAGTTCTGGAGGCTAAGAAGTTCAAGATTGAGGGGCCAGGCATCTGGCATGGGTCTTCTTGCTGCATCATCCCATAGTGGAAGGGCAAAGAGGGATAAGAGAGAGCAAGAGATAGAACTTGCAGCCTTAAGCCCTTTTATAATCAACATTAATGCATTCATTAGAGGTGGCTTCATGACCTAAACACCTCTCATTAGGCCCCACCTCCCGACACTACTGCATTTGGGATAAATTTTCTAATACATACTTATTTTATTTTTAAATTTCAGATTCAAGGGGTATATGTGTACCTTTTTTACATGGATATACTGCATAATGGTAAAGTTTGGGCTTCTAGTATACCCATCACCCAGGCAGCCAACATATGCTTTCTGGGGATCATATTTAAAGCATAGCAGTGACCTGACCCTATCCTATCAAGAAGTAGAGTCTAAGGCCAGGCCCAGTGGCTCATGCCTGTAATCCTAGCACTTTGGCAGGCTGAGCCAGGCAGAATGCTTGAGCTCAGGAGTTTGAGTCCAGCCTGGGCAACATGGTGAAACCCCGTCTCTACTAAAAACACAACAAAAATTAGCCGAATGTGGTGTCACAAGCCTGGAGTCCCAGCTACTTGGGCGGCTGAGGTGGGAGGATCACTTGAGCCCAGGAAGTCGAGGCTGCAGTGAGCCAAGATAGCACCACTGCATTCCAGCCTAGGTGACAAAAAAAAAAAAAAAAAGGGAGAGTCTAATGTCTCTCCCGTAGAATCTGAACTGGCCTTAGTGACCTGCTTTAACAAATACATTGCAGCAGAAGTGATTTTGCAGATTCTGCCTCGGTCTCTTGGCATACTCATTCTCCAGTAAAGTGGGTATATGGTCAATAATCCCAGCTGAGGCAAGCTTTGAGTGAACTCAGCCCACGCATAACTCACTTCATTCAAACTTAAGTAAAGACTACAACTATCTACGTCTATGTGCTAAACACTGAAAAGGCTCTTGGAATCATCAGTCAAAAAGCAAAAAGTAGTCCAGGTATGATGACTCACACCTATAAAAAGAATCTCATCACTCTGGGAGGCTGAGGTGGGTGGATTGCTTGAGCTCAGGAGTTCGAGACCAGCCTGCGCAACATGGCGAAACTCTGTCTCTACCAAAAAAACACAAAAATTAGTTGAGTGTGGTGGTGCACACCTATAGTCCCAGCTGCTCAGGAGGCTGAGGCAGGAAAATCACTTGAGCCCAGGAGATTGAGGCTGCAGTGAGCTATGATCCAGCCACTGCACTCCAGCCTAGACAGCTGAGCGAGACCCTGTCTCTAAAAAATAAGTAAATAATAAGAAATTGTTAAGATGTCTTTTACACCTACTACATCTTTGGGTTTATAATAAATGGCCACTAGGTAAAACAAAGCTTTAGTCCTTTACTTTATTAAAAATTTTTTAAAGGATTATAAAAATTATTAGCTTTGTTTGGCATACTCTGAATTTTAATTAACTTAAAACTTTTGTGAGAACTCTTTGCTTTATTAAATTTGGGTTAAAGGGAAAAAAAAACCTCACAAATCATAAGGAAAGTTAAGCCTTCCCAATTTAATCATGTATAATAAAATGTGGTTAAAATAAATATACTTCAACATTTAAGTATCTTTCGGCTTAAAGAAAATATTAGGAGGCCGAGGTAGGCAGATCACCTGAGGTCAGGAGTTCGAGACCAGCCTGACCAACATGGTGAAACCCCATCTCTCTTAAAAATACAAAAAATTAGCGGGGTTTGGTGGTGGACACCTGTAATCCCAGCTACTTGGAAGGCTGAGGCAGGAGAATTGCTTGAATCCAGGAGGCGGAGGTTGCAGTGAGCCGAGATCATGCCATTGCACTCCAGCCTGGGAAACAAGAGAGAAACTTCGTCTCAAAAAAAAAAAAAAGAAAACATACATTCGAGTACAAAGACTGCCACAATAGCTATCTAAAAAAGGATTTTATTTCTAGGTTTCAGTAAACTTGGAATGGTGAAACTCATAATACACTTTATAGGATAAATGAAAGAAAGTCCTAGAGACTGTCAATGTCCTCCCTGTTTGTGAGATATTCTTACTTCTAGGATAATCAGTGACTACTCATAAAATTCATTATGTACTTTCTGCAATAGAAGATTCCACTCCCTTCCATTCTGATAATGCTGGTTAATATAATAAATCAACTAAAGCCTATAGTCCCATGATCCACAGGTGGTTTCCGCTTCTTCCTTACATTCATCTAAAGTTCCTGGCTATAAGCTAAAGATAGGAATTGAGCCTTGTGGAAGACTTATCAAAAGAACTTTTGTAAATGTTTGTATCATGCACCCATTACTGACACTACAGAGAATAAATTAATGATGCATACTGCCGACATCATTGCCATGGACAAACAGTGGGTGAGCCAAGATTTCCAGAACTGTTATGGTCCAGAAGCAGAAGATAAAATGAATAGACTATTTATGTCCAAGATAATCAGAACACAACCTCCCAGATGCCAGAAGCCACTGATGACTACAGACTTGCATGATTTTGTCCTTTATTCTCTTGGCATTTTCTTCTCTCTCCACTGTTGTAAGATTTTAGGCTGCTAACAGATAACTTTTCCTTACTGTTAGCACTATCAAGATGCTTATCCTTGGCAAAATATAAACCAAATATGGGACAGTTGCAAAGGTGAATGACCCATATCCAAATTAAAGGAAAAAAAATATATTTGGTTGCCCAAAGGAAAATCCAAATAGATTATGGGATATATGGGACATTATTTTAAACTTTAATAATAACTGTCTGAGTTTCAGTGTGTTGCAGATGCCAAGTGTGTGATCTTTAGAGTCTTAAATGCTGCTGTGCAGCCACTGTCACACCAGCTGATTCAACAAATTATCATCTAAGAAAAAGAACATCGAGGCCATCCTGGCTAACATGGTGAAACCCCGTCCCTACTAAAAATACAAAAATTAGCCTGGCATGGTGGCGGGTGCCTGTAGTCCCAGCTACTCAGGAGGCTGAGGCAGGAGAATGGTGTGAACTCAGGAGGCGGAGCTTGCAGTGAGCCGAGATCGTGCCACCGCACTCCAGCCTGGGCAACAGAGCAAGACTCCGTCTCAAAAAAAAAAAAAGAAAAAAGAAAAAAAAGAACAAAATGGCCTGGTGCCTGTAGAGGCCAAAATGTCTACCATCAAAGCTTTATAAACATTCACAACCCATCAAACGACAGTTTGAAATCTTGATTGATCACCTCCCCTAAATGGTAAATGTTCCAGTTTAGCGGACGAATGATCAGAAACAGAGATTAAAAAGTGAAACAAAACTGAAATTACACTACAAATTGCTTGCAGATGCACAGAAAAGCACTTAGTACTTGCAAAACAGATAAACTGAACCAAACCAAACCGCAATGTACTGTGCATCACAGGCCATCTAAGCTCAAACCTTATTTTTTTTCTTTTTAAGAGAGAGGGTCTCCCTCTGTCACCCAGGCTGGGGTGCAGTGGCATGATCATAGCTCACTGCAGTCTCCAACTCTTGAGTTCAAGTGATCCTCCCCCTCAGCCTCCCAAGTACCTAAGACTACAGGTGTGTGCCACCACACTCAGTTAATTTTAATTTTAAAAAAATTTTTTTAAAGACTGAGGTCTCACTAAGTTAAACAGGCTAGTCTCAAACTCCTGGCCTCATGCGATCCTCCCATCCTAGACTCCCAATGCACTGGGATTAAAGGTGTGAGCCACTGTGCCCAGCCTCAAACCTTTATTAATATCAGCTCACTCATACCCGTATGTTCTAGTACCACAAACTGATCTAACAGTAAATCCTCAGGGACTTATGTGTCCTAGAGGCAAAACTACTGGCTGTTCCAGCAACTCACTCAAATTACATATTCTAGCCAATCCCTGCCCAGACTACTACCTTTATCCTAACATTACTCTGTGACTAACAGCTCCTAAAATCCTGTATGTCCTCTTTCCTAACTCTATCCTTTTGAGAGGTCCCACAGCTCTTCTGATGTATGTTATTCCTTCCTGCAGCAAGCTAAATCAGTGTAACTTATTTTTGACTACAGATGTTTTCTTGGTGGTCTTTGGTGGTGAGATTTAACAGTCCCATGGCAGGAAACTGGTGGCTGACAGTTAGGAATAGGAAGACTTTTTACCACATACCTTTTAAAATGTTATGCCATGTTATTCTACTATTTACTTAAAAAATACATAGAATTAGACTTTAGAGATGTATATAATACTATCATAAATTAATCGACCAACAGTAATATTACCAACATCCAATACTGCTGGAACTTACCCAGGAATCAGAGTGTTTTGGATATCAGCAGACAGGAAAATTCACCACCTGCTTCTACAATTCTAGAAAACCAGCCAGCAGTTAGGGGTGGTAATTAGCTTCATATCTAATGTAAACAAACTTTTATTATACTGTGTATTTATACTAAAAATCAAGTTTAAAAACCCCTTATCATTAAAAACAAACTTCATATGTGGAACTATGTTTGCTAAATATGGCTCACAAAGTGCTGTAAATAAAGTAAAGATTTTCAGCTGGGTGCGGTGGCTCACGCCTGTAATCCTAGCACTTTGGGAGGCCAAGGTGGGCGGATAACAAGGTCAGGAGTTCGTGACCAGCCTGGCCAATATGGTGAAATCCTGTTTCTATTAAAAACACAAAAATTAGCCGGGCATGGTGGTAGACACCTGTAGTTCCAGCTACTCGGGAGGCTAAGGCAGGAGAATCACTTGAACCTGGGAGGTGGAGGTTGCAGTGAGCCGAGATCACACCACTGCACTCCAGCCTGGGCAACTGAGCAAGACTCTATCTCAAAAAATAAATAAATAAAGTAAAGATTTTCTTTTTTCATTTTTAGACACAGGGTCTCTCACTCTGTCACTCAGGCTGGATGGTGTGCAGCTGCTTGATCATGCCTCACGGTAGCCTCGAACTCCTCAAGCAATCCTCTCACCTCAGCTTCCAGAGTAGCTGGGACTTCAGATATGCACCATGACACCTGACTAATTTTTAAATTTTCTGTAGAGACAGGTGTCATCATGTTGCCCAGGCTGGTCTCAAACTCCTGGCTTCAAGCAGTTCTCCCACCTCAGCCTCCCAAAGTGCCAGGTTTACAGATGTGAGCCATTGCACCTGGACTAAAATAAAGGTTTTCATGCTATTTTTTAAAGTTTCGAAAGTTTTGGCCTGGGAATGGTGGCTCATGCTTGTAATCTCAATGCTACAGGGGGCCAAGATGGGAAAATCACTTGAGGACAGGAGTTTGAGACCAGCCTGGGCAACATAGCGAGACTCCACCTCAAAACACACACTCACACACAAAAAATTCTTTGAAATTTTCAAGCACAGAATTTACAAAAATAGAATAGGAAAGTATTATCCATGTAGTATCAAGTATTGATTGTAAACATTCTGCTAATCTTTCAAACTATCCTATCTTTATTTAAAGATTTTTATAAATCAAAGATACTATACACTTGAGGCAAAACAATTTTTTAAAAGAGCACAAAACAAAAAACAATAACCACCACAAAAACAAAACTCTTAGAATCTCACCAGCCAAAGACAACTACTGTTAAGATGTCAGTATATATCTTAATATTTTAAATATGTAAATACATTATTTTATAATCAGTTATACTATATAGACAATCTTCTAATGTTTTCTTAATTTAGTAGTAAACTCCACTAATGCAGTATAGATATTTTCTCCCATTCTGTGGCTTGCCTCTTCATTTTCTTAAACATCTTTAGAAGAACAATTTTTCAAAAGTCCAATTGTCAGCGTTTATGGTTCATGCCTTCTATGACCTATCTAAGAAAATAGTCTACCCCAAAGTCACAAAGATTTTTCCTATACTTTCTTTTAGAAATTTATAAAAACTTCACCTCCCCAAGACCATACCTCCTAATACCATTACATTGGGGATTAGGATTTCAACATACAAATTCTGGGGGGTCACAAACATTCAGACAATAGCATTAAATAATCTCTTGTACTTCTTCTTAATACATATATCAAAGTAATATGACATGAACTAGAATGAAAATAATCTCTGAGAGGTCACTAAAGTTTAAGTCCAACCAACAATGTAGGCATAACATGTGACAAATAATACTCACATGCAAGATACTCTCTCATGAAAATGAAAGTATTTTACACAATTCTAGATAAACCACCTATAAGTTTATCTCTTTAAACACACACACACACACACACATAACAAAGTGATAATAATGAAGTGGTTATTAGTGGGAACCATGAATCTACTCTAATCTTACATACAAGATCATTCAAAAACTTCAGGACTTCAAATATTGTTAGTTACAAATTATAACACATATTTCACACATGGATTGCACTAAAGAAAAGTAAGAAATTTGCAGCTCTGTATTAAAAAGAGAATAGAGATTTAAAAAATAACAAATCACTAAAATGGTCTGGGCACAGTGGCATGTGCCTGTAATTCCAGCTACTTGGGAGGTGTAGGTGGAGGCGGAACGATCACTTGGGCCCAGGAGTTCCAGGCTGCAGTGAGCTATGACTGCACCACTATACTCCAGCCTGGGCAGCAGTGCTAGACTCTGTCTCAGAAAAAAAAAAAAAATTACAAATGTATATTTCTGGTGTCAACTTCAATATGTGAAACACATAATGCCACGTGCTACTAACACTTCTTCATAACAATGAAACATTTTATTCATATCATTCTACTTATAGTTGCTGACTTCCTTAATTTGATTTAAAAGCAGCAAACTTTGAAGAAATTCATTGACCACAATTAACACTCTTTTCTCAATAATAAGAGGTAGGAAAGACTGTGTATAAAATCATCAACTCCTCTGGTTTCTCCAACACCAGTTGGGGAGATTTACAATTCAAATCGAATTATCCAGTATCCTCCTTTGAAACACTGAAAGAGTGTACATTACCAACTGAAAAACAAAACATTCCATAACTAAATATATCTAAGTTTCTATAGGTAGCCTTCCTAAAATCCTAGCTAGTAGTGATATATATATATTTTTATTTTACTTTATTTTATTTATTTATTTTTATTTTTATTTTTATTTTTTTTGAGACGGTGTCTCGCTCTGTTGCCCAGGCTGGAATGCAGTGGCATGATCTCAGCTCACTGCAACCTCTGCCTCTCAGGTTCAAGCAATTCTCCTGTCTCAGCCTCCCAAGTAGCTAGGATTACAGTTGAGAACCACCACGGCCAGCTAATTTTTGTATTCTTAGTAGAGACAAGGTTTCACCATGTTGGTCAGGCTGATCTCAAATTCCTGACCTCAAGCAATCCGCCTGCCTCGGCCTCCCAAAGTGCTAGGATTACAGGCGTGAGCCACCGAGCCCAGCTGATATTTGTTAATAGTGAAGTTCTAAAATTTGTATCAAAGAGCTAGAAGGATTCTTTGAGTAACGTTTGAAAGTGCTAGGGAAAAAATACTAGAGCAGTAATTATATTCTAGTTAAATAACTAAATGTTTATCTGGTACCTACTACATGCTCACATTGTATGGGTAATGTGTGAAATATACAAGTTGTTTTTGTGTGTTTTTTTTGTTTTTTTTGTTTTTTGGTGCGACGGAGATTTACTCTTGTTGCCCAGGCTGGAGTGCAATGGCACGATCTCGGCTCACTGCATCCTCTGCCTCCCAGGTTCAAGCGGTTCTCCTGCCTCAGCCTCCTGAGTAGCTGGGATTACAGGCATGTGCCACCACGCCTGGCTAATTTTGTATTTTTAGTAGAGACGGGGTTTCACCGTGTTGCCCAGGCTGATCTCGAACTCCTGACCTCAGGTGATCCGCCCGCCTTGGCCTCCCAAAGTGCTGGGATTACAGGCGTAAGCCACTGCGCCCGGCCGAAATATACAAGTTTAACACATTTATTCTACCTTGAAGAATCATATGCTCTAGTTGAGTAGAATTCGCATAAAACAAGATATAAACACAGAATAGTTAAGCAGTACATTGTATGGTTCAGACTGTAAGTACGGAAGATTATAAAGGGGGAAATCAACGATAGCTACAGAAATCAATTAAGTGTATGAGAAAGTTGAGACTTGGGCTGGGTGCAGTGGCTCATGCCTGTAATTCCAGAACTTTGGGAGGATGAAGCAGATGGATCGCTTGAGGCCTGGAGTTCAAGAGCAGCCTGGCCAACATCGTGAAACCCTCCCTATCTCTACTAAAAACCACAAAAATTAGTCGGGCATGGTGGTGTGCACCTGTAGTCCCAGCTACTCCAGAGGCTGAGGCAGGAGAATCACTTGAACCTAGGAGGCGGAGGTTGCAGTGAGCCGAGATCCAGCCTTGGAAAAAAAATTCTTAAAAATAAATAAATAAATAAATGAAGATGGGACTTGGGCTGGGTCTTTCAGAAGTTCCAAAGCCACTTCCACACTTTTAGGTGTTTGTTACAGCAGCACTCTATTCTTGGTACCAAAATAAATAGAAGGTATACTAAAAGGAAGAAAGGAGAAAATTTCAGATATATATGTAATATGCTGTATATTTTTAACGAAATATTTCAATATTACAGAATATTGAGAGAGGGGAAGGGATGGAGGGGGAAGGAGGGAAGGAAGGAGGGAGGGAAGGAGGGAGGGAGGGAGGGAGGGGAAGGAAGGGAGGGAGGAAGGGAGGAAGGGAGGAAGGGAGGGAGGGAGGGAGGGAGGGAGGGAGGGAGGAAATAAATCACAGCTGAGAATCATTCTAAGCCTATGCATCCAAGAAGTCTTTCAGTGTTCCCAAATCTAGCTTTTTACCATGTGTCAGCTGCTTTCAGATTACCTGTATTTCATTAAAAATTATTTAACAATGCTTCCAAATCAGAAGCAAAAACCTTAATCAAACCAGGTTTGCACATGATTAAAAACAATAGCCAAACTATAAAACTGAGTTTCCCGTGGAGAAGGGGGACTGGTGTAGCTATACAGGGGAAGTAACTAAATCTTGTGGTTACGGTACTGTTGAGTACCCTTATTGTGCTGGTAGTTATGCTACCTATATGTGAAATTGTGTAAAGCTAAACACACATACACAGACAGGAATGCATGTATAACTGGTGAAATCTGAACAAGCTCTATGGACTGTACCAATGTCAATTTCCTGGTTTTGGTATACTACTGTGTGTGGTGGTGTGGGATACTGACACGGGCAAAGAGAGGGAAGGGAGTTAGGGGAGAGGTGTTTGGGACCTCCCTTTACATTTCTTTATTTACAACCTCCTGTGAATCTATAATTATCAAAATAAAAATTAAATAAATTTTGAAAAACTAAGTTCCTAAAGTACACTCAAGAAATTCTGCAACCTTTTCAAGATCAGATTCTGTATGCTACTACAATATACATTGACTACATAAACAATATGTATTTTCAGGTAAACACAAGTAAAATCTGATGTAGATCTGCATAAATGAGAAACAGCCACATGGGTTGACCTGCGGTGAGTATGAAACATAAACCTTAAAGGTTATTGGCCTATAAGCTATTATTTTTAGATTATTGTGGTAGTCTTATCCTCATGGGACACTAGGATTTGCCTAAATAGCTATGTCTGTTCACTGCTTTCACTCCTATTTTAAGCCAGCAGTCCTGCCCTACTTTTTCAGACTCATTTCCTAATCTACTCACCTGCCTTGCCAATCATGAACACGCACTGCTAAATAAGTTACATTAAATATTATTACCAAAAGTATTATGTGCCCTTTCAACTGTTCCTCACCAGAACAAGTGACTTTAGTTCCATGATCTGATCAGCTTCTTTGAGATTATTCCTCTGGTCTTTGATAGTCACAGAACTCACTTTCAAAGTATTAGCTAAAAACTGGCCCTCCTAGAACCAACTAAGTAATAATAGTCACAGAACTCACTTTCAAAGTATTAGCTAAAAACTGGCCCTCCTAGAACCAACTAAGTAATAATAGTCACAGAACTCACTTTCAAAGTATTAGCTAAAAACTGGCCCTCCTAGAACCAACTAAGTAATAACCACCACCAGTCACAGTCAACAGAAACAATAACTTCTATAGTGGCATATGTTTTCCATAAAGCAGTGCAAAGTAGTTAAAAATAACCAACTTGCTTCCATGGAGAAGCCCACCAACTATCTTTATTACTCCAGCCATTCATTAAAATCACTCTATTTTAAACTTCCACAAAGCCTTAGGTCACAAGAAAAAAACATACGTAGGCACACACATAAAAAAACACAAAAGTCTTACCTCTTCAGGCCACTAGTCACAGTCAGATTAAACATTAAAGGATTATCAATTTATAGATCAAGGGAACAAACATTTCACACCAGGTATTGTCTACAATTTAGTCACCTGCTCCTTTTGCAGTGGGATTAGTCATAGGTCACTATATAGTTCTAAATTTCTGTGACATTTTTGAGAGGCTATTATATGCTACACCGCATGAGTACTTTTCAAGTAGTATTTAACCCTTCTAAGCATAACCAGAAATGTGCTCCATGTAATAGGAACTCATCAAATATTTATGAATACATCACTTCCAAAATTCTATCTATACTATAGAAAAGGAAAATTTCATCATTTTTCTTCTTAAGCATTTTAGGTTTAAGTCCTTTCTTTCTTTTTTTTTTTTTTTTTTTGAGATGGAGTCTCACTCTGTCGCCCAGGCTGGAGTGCAGTGGCGCAATCTCGGCTCACTGCAAGCTCTGCCTCCCGGGTTCATGCCATTCTCCTGCCTTAGCCTCCCGAGTAGCTGGGACTACAGGTGTCCACCACCGCGCCCGGCTAATTTTTTGTATTTTTAGTAGAGATGGGGTTTCACCGTGGTCTCGATCTCCTGAACTCATGATCCACCCGCCTCGGCCTCCCAAAGTGCTGGGATTACAGGCGTGAGCCACCGCGCCCAGCCTTAAATCCTTTCAATATCTAAGACTAAAGTTAGAAAACAGTCATGTGCCACATAGCAATATTTCAGTCTACAAGACTATATATATATGACAGAGATCCTGTAAGATTATAATGGAGCTGAAAAGTTTCTATCACCTAGTGATGTTTTCACCTGTCTTAACATCACGGCATAAGGCACTACTACTCACATTTGTGGTACTGCCGGTGTAAACAAACCTACTGCACTGCCAGTCATATAACGATAACAAATATGTTACTGGCTTATACATTCACTATACCACCCTTTTAATCATTACTTTAGAGTATACTCCTTCTACTTATTCAAAAAACAAAAACAACAAAAAAAAGGTAACTGTAAAACAGCCCCAGACAGGTCCTTCAGGAAGTATTCCATGAGAAGGCATTGTTGTCATAGGAGGTGACTGCTCCATGCCTGTTAATTCCCCTGAAGACCTTCCAGTGGGACAGGAGGTGGAGGTAGAAGACAGTGACATTGATCATCCTGACTCTCTGGAGGCCTCAGCTAATGTATGTGGTGTGTGTTCATTTTTAACAAAAAAGTTTTAAAAATAAGAAATGTTTGAAATCGTAAAAGCTTATAAGAATAAGGATATGAAAGAAAATATGTACAGCTATATGTGTTTGTGTTTTAAGCTAAGTATGAGTACAAGAGTTAAAAAGTTTAAAAATTTTTAAGTTTATAAAGTAAAAGTTACAGTAAGCTAAGGCTAATTTACTATTGAAGAAAAATATTTTATAAATTTAGCATAGCCTAAGTGTGCAGTGTTTGTAAAGCCTGCGGTGTTCTACAGTAATGCCCTAGGCCTTCACATTCACTCACCACATACTCCCTGACTCACCCAGAGCAATTTCCAGTCCTGCAAGCCCTATTCATGTTAAGTGCCCTCCACAGGTGGACCATTTTTTATCTTTAATACTGTACTTTTACTGTACCTTTTCTAGGTTTAGATATGTTTAGATACCCAAAGACTTACTGTTGTGTTACAGTTGCCTACAGTATTAAATAGAGTAACATGCTGCACAGGTTTGTAGATTAGGAGCAATAGGCTATATACCATACAGCCTAGGTGTGTAACATCTACGTTTGTAGATATATATAACATCTAGGTTTGTATAAGTATGGTTAACTCAAACAACATGGGTTTGAACTGCACTGGTTCACTTATATGCAAATGTTTTCAACCAAACACAGGCTGCAAAACCCCATCCTGCAAATACAGAGGGCCAACTTTTTGAATTCTCAGGTTCCACAGGGCCAACTTCTGGACTTGAATATTCAGGGATTTTGGTATATGTGGGGGTCCTGGAACTAAGCTCTCACATATACCAAGGGATAACTGTACACTATACAATGTTTGCATAATGATGAAATCGCCTAAGGATGCATTTGTCAGAACTCCGAATTATTAAGCAACTATGTAAGCGTGACTATATAAAATACAGTACTCTTAAATCTTCATTTCACATGTCACTTAAAGTAAAATAGATCTACTGTCAAATCTCGCCAAGATCCAAGATTGATTTATTTTTTAAATAATAGCTAACATTTATTAACCACCCACTATGGGCATTATGCTAAGCACTTTACATACAATATGAGATGTAATCTTTAAATTCTGAGGTAGGCACTATCTCCCATTTTACACCTGTGGCAAGGAAAATAAATAACAAAGCTCAAAGGCCACACGGCTGGTAATCAGCAGAGTCTGTACTCTTTCTTACACTGTCATCCATAAAATAAGCTTCTTATGCTTGCACATACTTAAATATTTACTAAGCACCTAAGCGTGTGTTAAGCACTGCATTCAGCATTAAGGATACAGTGGTTGCCCTTAAAGAGAGGAGTTTATTGTGAAGAAAGGACAAGAAAATATTTAAAGCGATTTGCAAAGCAATGAGATTGTTTATGGGAGCTCATAGGAGACAGTAATTCTTATGATGATGATGATGATAGCGATGGCGGCAGCAGCACCTACCATAACATATATGGAGTACTCACTATGTGCTTGCCACTGCAAGTTTCATTATCCCTCTTCTACACATAAAGAAATGCAGGTAAAACAAGTGTAAGTGATTTATCTAAGGTCATGCATCACTAAAAGAATTTGAGCTGGGCATAGTAGCACATGCTTGTAGTGCCAGGCATGAGAATGAGGCAAGAGAATCACTTGAGCCCAGGAGTTTGAGGCTGCAGTGAGCTATGATGGTGCCACTGCACTTCTTCAGCCGGCTAACAGAGCAAGACTCCATCTCCTTGAAAAAAAAAACAAACAGAAATTTGAATCCAGGTATGTCTGACTGAAGCCCATGTTCTCAAACCATTACTCTCCACAGCTTCTTAGCAGAGAAGAAAAAGCTTCTCAGAAGTCCCCTTGGCTAAATCTTGAAAAACAAACAGGAGCTGGTCAAGCTGAGGGACAAGATTCTACGCAGGGCCAGGCACAGTGGCTCATGCCTGTAATCCCAGCTCTCTGGGAGGTGGGAGGAACACTTGAGGCCAGGAGTTTGAGACCAGGCTGGGCAACATAGCAAGACCCTGTCACTACAAAAAAGTAATAAAAATAAAACATTTAGCCAGACATGGCAGCACACGCCTGTAGTCCCAGCTACTCAGAGGGATGAGGCAGGACGATCAATTGAGGCCAGGAGTTTGTTTGAGGCCACAGTGAGCATTGATCGCATTACTGCACTCCAGCCTAGACAACAGAGTGAGGCCTTATCTCTAAAACTGTTAAAAAAAAAAAAAACCATTATGCACAGAAGCAAAGAGCCCATTCACAGATATAAAACATTCTAGGACGACAAGTATGACTTCTTATTCAAAGTGCTTAGGACCAGAAGCATTTCAATTTCAGATTGTTTCAGATTTGGGAATATTTGCATATACATAATGAGATGTGTTGGGAATGGAACCCAAGTCCAAACACAAAATTCATTTATGTTTCATATACACAGAATGTGAAGATAATTTTATAAATATTTTTAATAATTTTGTGCACAAAATAAATTTGCGTACACTGAATTAGAAAGCAAATGTGTCACTACCCTTAGCCACCTACGTGGTCAATCTGTGGTTGCCTGGACATCACCATCATGCTGTGCATGGAAAAGATATATCACAACCGAAGGGGGCTGGGAGGGTCTTTTTCCCTTGGGGACACTGAAAAAACTTTGGGTTATGTCCCCAGGTTTTGATTACAACCCATCACATGAGGTCAGGAAAGAAAGTGTCCACTTGTGGTGTCATCTGGCACTCAAAAAGCTTCAGATTTTGGAGAATGTCAGATTTTGGATTAGGAACACTCAACCTGTAGTATTAAAGGAGGCTGGGGGCCGGACACAGTGGCTCACGCCTGTAATCCCAGCACTTTGGGAGGCCGAGGAGGGCAGATCACCTGAGGTCAGAAGTTTGAGACCAGCCTGGCCAACATGGTGAAACCCCATCACTACTAAAAATACAAAAACTAGCTGGGCGTGGTGGCATGCACCTGTAATCCCAGCTACTCGGGAGGCTGGGGCAGGAGAATCACTTGAACCTGGGAGGCGGAGGTTGCAGTGAGCCAAGATGGCGCCACTGCACTCCAGCCTGGGAGACAGAGTGAGACTCTGTCTCAAAAATAAATAAATGGGCCGGGTGCGGTGGCTCACGCCTGTAATCCCAGCACTTTGGGAGGCCGTGGTGGGCAGATCATGAGCTCAGGAAATCAAGACTATCTTGGCTAACACGGTGAAACCCCATCTCTATTAAAAAAAAAAAAAGAAAAATTAGCCGGGCGTGGTGGCGCGTGGCTGTAGTCCCAGCTACTCAGGAGGCTGAGGCAGGAGAATGGCGTGAATCCGGAGGCGGAGCTTTCAGTGAGCCGTGGTGGCGCCACTGCACTCTAGCCTGGGTGACAGAGCGAGACTCCGTCTCAATAAATAAATAAATAAATAAATAAATAAATAAATAAATAAATAAATAAATAAAAATAAAGTAGGTTGGGGATGAGGGTTGTGAAATGAGGAGGAAGAAATGGAACACAAGCCTAGAGAGGTTTAGCATGCAGGGTACTGCCCATCAACAAAGAGTTTATCCCACAGGCAGGAAGTGCTCATGAAGGATTTTGAGCACAAGAATGACCCTTGATATTGTTCACAGATCACGATGACAGCGTGGACAGACTACATAGTCTCAGCAAGAGGCTCCTGCAATGGCACAAGCAAAAGGTGTGAGAATAGGATGAAGTAGAGGATATGTACAAACCAAAGGTTCACAGCATTTAGTCTGGTGGGACTGGACATGCAGTAAAATGGAGAAGAAAGAGTCTGGCCTGATTCCCAGGCTGGTCATCTGAATCAGTGACTAAATGGGTGAGTGGTGCAATTAACAGGGATGAAAAATACACTTAGAAAATCCTTTTTTTCTCCTCTACTCATTAGTGTTAATATTTACTTTATCCCACTACCACCCCTTTTTTCACTTCAATCTCTTCAATAAAATTAAAAACATAGCTATTCCACTTTCCACATCAACTGTCTGGGTAATATTTGGATTTTCTATGATTTCAGAATAGGTTTATAAGTCTATTTGTTTTGGGTTTTTAAAACATGGTCATCACAGCCGGGCGCGGTGGCTCACGCCTGTAATCCCAGCACTTTGGGAGACCAAGGTGGGCAGATCACAAGGTCAGGAGTTCAAGACCAGCCTGACCAACATGGTGAAACCCCTTCTCTACTAAAAATACAAAAAAAAATTAGCTGGGTGTGGTGGCGCACACCTGTAATCCCAGCCACTCAGGAGGCTGAGGCAGGATAATCACTTGAACCCGGGAGACAGAGGTTGCAGTGAGCCGAGATTGCGCCACTGCATTCCAGCCCGGGCGACAGCGAGACTCTGTCTCAGAAAAAAAAAAAAAAAAGAAAAGAAAAAAATAACAGTCATCAAAATAGTCTTGCTGTCCCATTAATGAAATTGATGTCAACTGCTCCACCAGTTTTCAACTATCCCTCTTCTTTTTCTTCATTTTATGTATTTCAGTTCTCTGGCCCTTCTAGTTTGCCCATCTTCTCTCTACTTCTTAGTTAAGTACCTTTTCTTTCTCCATACTGACTTCTGTATGTTTTTCTAACCCCCATCATGCAGCTGAAACCACTACTTTTTCTGCTAAACAAGCTGCCTCCACTTCACATCAGCTATAATATTCTTTAAGGCTCATTTTCTTCTTTTCAGCTTTCCCCCATTAAGACACTATGGAATCCTCAAATATGATGACAGCCTTTCCTAAACCTAGCTGTAGCTGTTTTGAGGCATTTCCTTTTTTTTTTTTTTTTTTTTTTTTTGAGATGGGGTCTCAGTCACCCAGGCTGGAGTGTGGCGCTATCTTGGCCCACTGCAACCTGCAACCTCCACCTCCTGGCTCAGGTGATCCTCCCACCTCAGCCTCCCAAGTAGCTGGGTCCACAGGTGCAGGCCACCACACCTGGCTAATTTTTTATATTTTTTGTAGACACGGGGTTTCACCATGTTGCCAGGCTAGTCTCGAATTCCTGAGCTCAAGTGATCCAGCCGCCTTGGCCTCCCAAAGTACTGGGATTACAGGCATGAGCCACTGCGCCCAGCCAAGCCATTTCTTCATTGTACTTTTTTTCTCCCTAACTTTTTTTTCTTTTTTAAATAGAGATGGGTGCTCACTGTGTCACCCAAGCTGGAACACAGTAGTGCAATCATAGTTCACTGAAGCCTTGGAACTCCTGGCCTCAAGCAATCCTCCCGCTTCAGCCTCCCAAGCAGCTGGGACTATAGGCGAGAGCCACCATGCCTGGCTGTCCCCAACTTTACATTTTGAAAAACTGAAATCTATTTAAAAAGTGAAAGAATCATAAAATGAACACCCATATGCTCTTACCTAGATTCACCATAGTAAATGTTTTGCCACTTTCGCTTTTTTCTCTACAAATGATTTTTTTTTGAACAATTTAAAAGCAAATTGCAAAAATCACGACATTTCAACATACTAATACTTCATCAGGTATTGCCTAAAAATAAGATCATTTTCCTATATAACCATAATACCATATAGTCACATTCAAGACATTTAACAATGATATAGGCCAGGCACGGTGGCTCACACCTGTAATCCCAGCACTTTGGGAGGCGGAGGTGGGCAGATCACCTGAGGTCGGGAGCTCGAGACCAGCCTGACCAATACGGAGAAACCTCGTCTCTACTAAAAATATAAAATTAGCCCAGTGCGGTGGTGCATGCCTGTAATCCCAGCTACTCGGGAGGCTGAGGCAGGAGAATCGCTTGAACCCGGCAGGCAGAGGTTGCGGTGAGCCGAGATCACGCTATTGCATTCCAGCCTGGGCAACAAGAGCGAAACTCCATCTCAAAAAAAAAAAAAAACAAAAAAAAGGTATAATACCGTCTAATATATACACCATATTCAAATTTTCCCAGTTATCCCCAAAATGTCCTCTATGGTTTTTTGTTTTCTTAATCCAGGCTTGACACTGTACTTGACTGTCATTTCTCTTTCAACTTCTTTCATCTAGAACAGTCTTCCTGCCCTTTTTGTTTCGTTTCGTTTTCACCACTTTGAAATTTTTAGAGTTCAGGCCAACTGTCTTGTAGAAAGTCCCACAAACTGGATTTGTCTGATTGTCTACTATAACTAAGCTCAGCTTAAATTAAACACCTTTAGCAAGAATGTTACATAGGTAATTACTGAATGAATTCTTCAAATATTTCTCAGTGTTTGTTCATTTAGAATTTCAGTCTCTTGGGCTGACATTGTCTAGACACTGCAAAAAAACCTTCATGAACTGTTAGCAATTAGTAAATCTAGTAATGATCATCAAAGAAATACATTATCTTGTCCAGCCATCCAGTATATCTTTCTGTGCCCAATTTAAAGATCCTGGTTACCAAGTTAAACCCTCTTCAAACAACAAACGAAGACTCAAGAAACTAAAAGACTTCAGGATAATCTAAAGTGCCAACAAAACAAAATTGAATATGGGGAACTAAAAGTTCTCTCTACATTCATCTGGATAACCAGATAGAATATAAGGGTAACTAAGAAAGATACCACTTAGGTTAGGTTGAAAGTTTTAGGCCTCAGTTTTGAAATGTAAAATGCTGCTAAATTTTAACATTAAGACTATAAAAGGCAGGGCGCAGTGGCTCACACCGTAATCCCAGCACTTTGGGAGACAAAGGCAAGAGGATCGCTTGAGCCCAGGAGTTCAAGACCAGCCTCAACAACAGGGCGAAACTCCACCTCTATAAAAAATACCAAAATTAGGCCAGGCTCGGTGGCTCACGCCTGTAATCCCAGCACTTTGGGAGGCCGAGACGGGCGGATCACGAGGTCAGGAGACCGAGACCATCCTGGCTAACACAGTGAAACCCCGTCTCTACTAAAAATACAAAAAAAAATTAGCCGGGCATGGTGGCAGGTGCCTGTAGTCCCAGCTACTCAGGAGGCTGAGGCAGGAGAATGGCATGAACCCGGGAGGCAGAGCTTGCAGTGAGCCGAGATTGCGCCACTGCACTCCAGCCTGGACGACAGAGCGAGACTCTGTCACAAAAAAAAAAAAAAAAAAAAAATTAGTTGGACACGGTGGCGTATGCTATGCCTGTGGTTCCAACTACTCGGGAGGCTGAGGTGGATCACCTGAGCCCAGGAAGCTGAAGCTGCAGCGAGCCATGATCGCGCCACTGTACTCCAGCCTGGGCAACAGAGCGAGACCCTGTCCCCCACCAAAAAAAACTATAAACGGGCATTATAGTCTAGTAATGATTGCACCAAAGGATGGTAATGATTCTAAGACATCCCTTTATTCCCATTAGTCATTTAGCAATTAAGTAGCAGCAAAGTTCCAAAATGACTACAAATCCCGGAATTAAATGAATAATTTTGTCTCTAATAGAGACATGTCTAAAAATCAGCTTTTTTTTTTTTTTTTTTTTTTTTTTTGAGACAGAGTCTTGCTCTGTCACCCAGACTAGAGTGCAGTGGCGCAATCTCAGTTCACTGCAACTTCTGCCTCCCAGATTCAAACGATTCTCCTACCTCAGCCTCCTAAGTAGCTGGGACTACAGGTGTGCACCACCATGCCTAGTTAATTTTTGTATTTTTAATAGGGACTGGGTTTCGCCACGTTGGCCGGACCTCAGGTGATCCACCCACCTCGGCTTCCCAAAGTACTGGGATTATAGGCGTGAGCCACCACGCCTGGCCTAAAAATTAGCTTTTTCCAAAAATGTTACCTTAATAGAAAGACATTCAATTCCTAGTATCAAATACTGCTTAGGAAAAGGTCTTTAATTAATTATTTCACTTTAAGTAATGAGTCCTTAGCATTTTTCTCTCAGAGTCCCTTGTTTTTTTCACTTTACAGTAAGATGTGATTAGTATGTTACTTTACAAATATGACGTTAGACGCCAGAATAATGGTTACAAGTGTCATATTTTCCCCACTGTTGCCCATTTAGGGATGGAAACCAGTGGACTGAACGTGAACTCATGCTTGTTTCTGGGATTCTGGTAATCTATTTATTTTGGTTGAGTGGTTACATGGGTATGTGGGTGCTAAATTTGTAAAAACTCACTAAGCTGTACATTTATAATTTGTACATTTTCCCATATACACTCCAGTAAAAGTTATGGTACACTAAAAATTACGTAAGGCAAAAAAAATTTTTAATCCTATTTTAAAATGCAATAAAAGAGAGAAAGCTTAATTATCAAATGTCAGACCATAAATAAAGCTTTGATCACAACCAATAACGTATAGGTAAGAAAGAATACTTTATCCTTGCTCAAAAAGAAAAAAATTAAGTGTTTAAATTAAGATGCCCTTTCAGAGGTTCCAGATTTCTACTCAGATGTATGAATCTCGATTAGCACTGATTTTGAATGTTTCAAAAGTTTGGCAGCTTGTTAATCACAATGGTAAATGAAGCATAAATTAAACAAATACTGTTGACAAATCCAGGAGATATCAACTTTAAAACGTATTCACATTGAAAATTTATACTTGAAAATGTTTCTTCTGGGTTGGTATTGTATCAAGTGACTAATGTGTCCCCACTGAAAATATAAAGAACCAAAATATTAATATAAGCACTCTAAAACCATTTCCATGCTGATTGAAACCATTATGGAAATATTTAGGTAAAATTACAATATTTATGTTAAAATAATATGAAATATTTGCATAACAAAAGCTTTAATATGTGTGATCCATTTTCCTTTGAATTCAAAATATACCTGCAGATGGAAACACACAAAGGTATTAAAAGCAGTTATTTCTGCTGGGAAGGAATATGAAGTCTTTCTTTTCTTCCCTTTCTGATTTTCAAATTGTATAAGTAGCAGGATTAAGCTTATATTTAAGAGAAAAAATTTTAAACCCTCGGTAAATCCATTATGGATATAAAAAAGGGAGAGTCGGGGGAGAGTTGTGGAAAGAAATGAAGTATAGGTACCAGAGATTGAAATCGGGTTTAGGGTATATTTGTAGAAATAGCAATTTTTGTCCACACTAATATTAAAATATTTTAAGAAAGCCATAAGCACAATATTCCCAGTGCCACGATATTAAAGAAACAGTAGCCTGCCATGTGTGGTAAAAATGGTACAGTACTCTGTGAATACACAATATATTTGAATTCTAAGAGAAAGGGAGAAATGTATCAGCACCTTACTAAAAAGAAATCTGACTTTTCTGTTAAACCCCATCTGGCCATAAAGTAACAAAATAAGACAATGGATTCTCTATATTTGTCATGTAATTCCTACTGAAATTTCCTTGTTGCTTCTGAAAAGATTCATTCCAGGGAAATAAACTGCTTTTATAAAAATCACTGTCAAAGAAAAAACATGTCCTTAAACAGGAAAAGGAACGTGGAAACTAGAAAAAAAAATAAAGCAGACAGAATATCACAATTTAATCATTTGGGTGCCTAGTTCTCTGGCTTAGATACCAGTTATGGTGCCCCAGTGCATATAAACTGCTCTAAAGGCTCACAGAAATGCTACTTTTAAAGCAAAGAAGAAATGAATGAGCAACCTACTAGGGTACATTGCAGATGGCACTCAATAAACATTTAATGAATGAGTAAAATCATAAGAAGGTTTAAACATAAAATAAACACCTTCAACAGATAGAGAAGAAATCTGCTGCCTAGGGAGTACCAGACAGAACTGTGCTGATCTCTTCACATTGTTACCGACGAGATTTCACCCACATATCCATTATGCTGTAGAATAGGTATTCACCTGACTAGGAACAGTTTTGTAGCTTATAATTTCACATACTTTCTGATATTTTCAAATGTTAATGATATCTCTACTAACTACTTCTGTAGTAAGCGATCTATTACCAACCTATTATCATGTCTCAAAGTACTACCTTAACTTGACCTTTTCACATGCTTTATGTCACTTGCATGACCCAGGCTTGACAGGGAAGGTATTATTAACCCTATTTTACAGATGAGTTTTTTTTTTTTTTTTGGCTTGAGACTGAGTTTCACTCTTGTCGCCCAGGCTACAGTACAGTGGCACAATCTTGGCTCACTATAGCCTCTGCCTCCTGGGTTCAAGCGATTCTCCTGCCTCAGCCTCCCAAGTAGCTGGCATTACAGGTGTGAGCCACCACGCCCAGCCACATCCTTCAATTTAAGAAAGCTGCTATTTAAAGGACACCTAAAATACAAACCTCTCCCACATACCCACTCTTCTCCAAAATTTGCTCAAATAGAACAATTAGGTACACTTTAAAGTTAACAGGAAATGACAGAAACAAAAATAGCTGGGGTGTGGTATCACCTCTGAAAAAGCTTTCAAGCTGTGAATAAATGCAGACAGCTGTGACTAAACAAGATAGCATCAGACCAGGGTTTAGTACCCGTTACAATGGACCTTAGCTATGCACACGTGACACCTCATTTTCTTCAACTATTTCAAACTCTGGAAAACCCTGAAAAAAGCACCATAAGTCATCATGAAGCCACAAATGCTGTGGTCAAGCTCTTATGCCGAAGTTTTTATATAGGAGAGAAATCCATACATTCTAAGGACCTGAAATTATTTCTATTTCATTTATTTAAGAGCAGTCTTAAAAGTACACAATATTCGGTAATTAATTTTGGTAAAGAACAAATTTGCATCCTGCAGGATATGATGACAGTGTTTATTTAATAATAAGCATGCGTAGCAATAAACCAGCCCCTGCTTTTTTTTTTTTTTTTTTTTTAGAGAGAGTTTCACTCTGTTGCCCAGACTGGAATGCAGTGGCACCATTTTGGCTCACTGCAACCTCCGCCTCCCGGGTTCAAGCAATTCTCGTGCCTCAGACTCCCAAGTAGCTGGGATTACAGTGCCCGCCACCATGCCCAGCTAATTTTTGTATGTTTAGTAGAGATGGAGTTTCGCCATGTTGGCCAGGCTGGTTTCGAACTCCTGACCTCAGTGATCTGCCTATATGGGCCTTCCAAAGTGCTGGGGTTACAGGCGTGAGCCACCATGCCTGCCCCTAGCCCCTGCATTTTAACTTTTTTATTTTATTACATTTTATTTTACAATATTTATTACTATATTTAAGGGTCATTTAAGATTTTTAATCTTCTTTTGATCTTATGGCATGTTATGGTGGAAATTACATGGCACAATGGTGATTTGATTGTGAGATTCCTGAGGGCTGCACTAAGCTTCACTAAGATCCTATTTATTCTGACTTGACCCACAGTTCTGGCTTATCTGGTTTCCCTGCCTACTTCAGCTAAGACGTAGCAGATTAGAAAGCAGTTAAGGGCATATTTTGACAGAAAACAGTACTGGAGAGAGAAACTAAAAGCAAACAAAACACTGAACTGGTATAGCATTGCGAAGTCATTTTAGTACAGGACGAAACTGCTAACAACTTTATACAGCAGAACGCACCGGCCATATTAACAGCACAGTACAGAAATTAATGTACATAATGACCTTGATTCCTCAAAAAAGGTTATGTTAAGTACACTCTGAATCTTAAGAGAGGGCTATATACTTCTTATAGGCTATACACTAATAATATGAAGACACATTTAAATGGTCACAATAATTTAGCTGTTCAGGGGATAATGTCAGTTAGATGAACAATTCAGTTAAACCTCTAACGATAGCATACAAATGCTAAGCAGATAAATCTCAAAAATCCCATTATAATTATGTAGTACAGATAATTAACATTTATGAGGCTGATTTGGGGAGAGAGGGGGGAAACCTAAGTTATACACTAAAATTCTTCCCCCTCCCTGAACATGCAATAAGGCGTTTCACCTTTTAAAAATGTATTCCCGTCACTAGTATTAGTTGCCTTTCTCCTTCTAATACCAAAATGAAAAAGAAGAAAAGTATCTTAATAATTTTCCCCACTGTCACGCTAACCCCTGCATCCAGAGGCCACTAACACAGCTGGTCTAAGTCTATTCCCTTCTTACAAAATAGCGCTTTCAAACCGATTGTTAATCTCAGAGAGAAGGGTTGTGCCTAAGACTTACGGCTGAATAAAAGCAGCACATAAATTAGTGGTTATGTGTAATCCATCTTCTTAGTTTAAAGGGAGAAACAACTATAACCTAAAACTCTACAAGATTTAGAGAGCAAAGAGCCCTTTACATTTTGTTCTTATAACAACAACAGAAATCTAACGCAGGTACACATATGAATCAGAAAACGTCATTCTCCAAGTCTTTATAACCAAAGGGAAAATAAAATACCATTACCCTGTCAAGAGCTCCGTAAACTTATTTTAAACATCATATAATGGATTTATCTGACTTGTTCATACTAAGTTTATTCCAGTAATAGCAGTGACTTGCAATGATCTAGAGAAAGCGGGTCAAAAGGCACATGGTATACGTCCTAAAAAAGGGTGGGGGGCGGACGTCAAGAAAGATCTAATCTTAAATATCTTACTTGGAAGAGTCGACTCCCTGCTCACACCACCCCCGATGGCTTCCCCCGAGTCGTTTCTTAAAGAGAAAAAAAGACAGGGATCCGGGCCCTTCGGGGCGGTGGGAGAAGAAGTCCCCACTGCACCCTGAACCCTTCGGGAGGGAACTTGGCACTGACGGCCAGGCACCTGACCAGGTGCAGCAGAAAACGCCGGGTCCGGGTGGCTGCTCTCGGAGGCTGCCGCCCGGCTCTGTCTACACCCCTCCGAGCCCTCCTAGGGTGGGCGCAGCCCGGCCCCAGCCTCCCTCCGCCCCGAGCCGCCGCCCAGCCGAAGGCCGTTTCCCGCGGGTCCCAGAGGAAGGCCCGGCCCGCCAGGCACCTTTGATGACGCGGTCGGTGGTGGAGAGGTGGAAGCGCCTCCCGGACATGGTCCCCTCGGCCTCCTCCAGGCTCCAGGAGCCCGCCGGACGTGCGCCTACGCCGCGGCCGCCGCCTTCTCCTCGGGCAGCCTTAGCTGCCCGGAGCCGTCAGCCAGCCGTGCCCGGCCCCGGCTCCTCAGCGGTGTCCGAGCACCAGAAGGGCGCGGCCACCGCAGCGCCGGCCTCCGACGCCACTGACAGGACGAGGGCCCACCGGCCGCTCTCTTGGGAGGCGCCAGCGGCTAAGGCGGGGAACACCGCTTCGGCACCGACCGCGACCGCTGCTAAGGGTGGCGACCGGGACGGCCGCGGCTGCTCGCGGCCCGGGCCCTCGTGCACGCAAGCGCGCCCCCGAGCGCCGCTCTCACAACTTCCCAGCGGCCCCGCTGTCCTAGCGGACCCGGCCGGGCCTCCCGCCCCGAGCGCCGCCCTCCCCACCCTTCCGCCTTCCCGCGAGGCAGTAGAGCTCGGCGCACGCGCTGCTCTCGGCTCCTCCGGCTCCGGGTCCCTGCTGCTAACCGCCCATTTTCGCTTCTTCTCAGCCAGCCCTCCCCGCAGCCGGCCCCTTCTCTCCTGCCAGCCCCTACCCGGGCCCGGAACATCTGAAACCCGCCCGCGTGGCCCGCGCGACCCGCGCGGGAGGCCGGCCCGGCCATCTTGCGACCCGGCCCTGCGGCCTCGCAGCGGCTCCGCGCCGCCTCCTGGGACCGCCTCGCCGAGAACCCCTGGCCTCCCAGTCCTCGCCCACAGGCGACCACCCTCCTCACCTCTGGGTCTCCCACCCGCTTTGTCTCAAGGAGTGTGATCAGTCCGGCCGCGCTCCTTCAGTTTTTGTGGGTCATTCAACAAACGCACACATTTAAACCCCCTCGCTTCATCTTTCCCGCTTGTTGAGTGCAGTTAGTACAATGAGAAGGACATTCGTGTCCATCCTAGTTCCAGTCCAGTAGCTAGGGCGGTGGGGGATTGGGGGAGCTCCGTTTCTGAGCAAGGCTCTGCTCCCTCCTCACTTTCCACATCGAAGAGAAGGGAGATCTCTGCTCCTGGGACCCCCGGGCCGGACCTCCTCGGCCACAAGAACTGACCTCTTCCTATGCCCTGTGTGTCACCTGCCCAGCTAGAAGCCCCTTTTTTCTTCCCCCTGACACAGTACCTGCCTCCCCGGCCCAGGCTCACTGTGGAACCCCATGGGCAAGTCCGTAGAAACTTAACAGTCTGTTCATCTCGAGGTTAAAAACTAACCTTTATCTGTCCTTAAAACTGTAAGCCTAGAACAGAAACTGGCTCCAACTGTCCTCTCACTGAGTAACTGGCAAAGTCAAAAGGATTTTGACTTTTAGCAATGCAAATGAAATATTGAAACTGATGTCCAATAAAACATATGCAAGTTACAGGCAAAACCAGTCTTAACAATTACCGCAGTGACCGATAAGTAGTTGTAGCTATGTAAATTTAAATTAATCCCGTTCCTCTAGGGGACTAGCCACATTTCAAGTGTTCAAGAGCTACACGCGGCTACCTTATTGGACATCCAGAAAATTCTACTGGACAGCTGTTAGGTAAAAGATTATAGGATTAAGCGTAAATCTCCAATAATATGGATTTATGTATAGGCGGTCTGGGGATATATAGTGGAATCAGACCCTGAATTATCCCTTGGAATTTTGACCATAGCTCTTTGATGGTAACCGCAGGAGGCAAAAGGACTTTAGGAGCCGACTAGAATTTGGTTTTCGTTTTCATGATCCTTGAGTCTTCCACCCAAGAGAATTGTTCAGATATCCTGGGGAAACTCTTCATTTAAGAAGTAACCAGAACTCCACGCCTATCAAATCATACCCCTGGGTCAGAGGCTAAAATTCATCTGGAAGAACCTCAACAGGATAGCTAAAAATAAAAAGTTTAAGAAAACATTGCGGGCCGGCAAAAAAGAAAAAAAAAAAGACCGGGTGGGGTGGCTCACGCCTGTAATCCCAGCACTTTGGGAGGCCGAGGTGGGTGGATCACGAGGTCAGGAGATCGAGGCCATCCTGGCTAACACGGTGCAACCCCGTCTCTACTAAAAATACAAAAAATTAGCCGGGCGTGGTGGCAGGCGCCTGTAGTCCTAGCTACTTGGAAGACTAAGGCAGGAGAATGGCGTGAACCCGGGAGGCGGAGCTTGCAGTGAGCCGAGATCGCGCCACTGCACCACTCCAGCCTGGGCAATAGAGCGAGACTCCGTCTCAAAAAAAAAATAAAATAAAGAAAGAAAGAAGGAAAGAAAGAAAAAACATTGCGGGCCGGGCAAGGTGGCTCACGCCTGTAATCCCAGCACTTTGGGAGGCCAAGGCAGGCGGATCACCTGAAGTCAGGGGTTTGAAAACAGCCTGGCCAACGTGGTGAAACCCCGTCTCTACTAAAAATACAAAAATTAGCCTAGCGTGGTGGCACATGCCTGTAATCCCAGCTACTCGAGAGGCTGAGGGAGGAGAATCGCTTGAATCCGGGAGGCGGAGGTTCCAGTGAGCCAAGATTACGCCCCGGCACTCCAGCCTGGGTGACAGAGCGAGACTGTCTCCAAAAAGAAAAAAAGAAAAAGAAAACGTTGCAGGCCGGGCACAGTGGCTAATGCCTGTAATCCCAGCACTTTGGAAGGCTGAGGTGGGCGAATCACCTGAGGTCACGAGTTTGAGACCAGCCTGGCCAACGTGGCAAAAACTCATCTCTGCTAAAAATACAAAAATTAGCTGGGCGTGGTGGTGGACGCCTGTAGTCCCAGCTACTCGGGACGCTGAGGCAGGAGAATCGCTCGAACCCGGGAGGCGGAGGTTGCAGAGAGCCAAGATGGTGCCACCGCATTCCAGCCTGGGCACAGAGACAGACTCCATCTATCTCAAACACAAAACCAAAAAACCCCACAAATACTAACTCGTTCAATCCTCACACCAACCCCATTTATATGATTATCCCCATTTTACAGATAAGGAAACTGAGGCACAGAGATGTGAAGAAACTTGCCCAAAGTCACAGAGCTGGTAGGAGGCTTAGTGAACACCATCATCGTCAAGAGACGTGCAGTACCTGAACTTTTTCTATAGCACCACGAACTTTTTCTATAGCACCACGTGGAATATGCGGCATGAGTCCTCAAGCATGGTATACATGAATTTACAGAATCCAGATGTCATTCTGTAGCTTGGCTTTAGCAAAGTAATTGTGAGCAACTTGCAGCCCTGTCCCTTCGTGTCCCCACCCCCACTTTTTTTTTTTTTTTTTTTTGAGACGGAGTCTCGCTCTGTCACCAGGCTGGAGAGCAGTGGCGTGATCTCAGCTCACTGCAAACTCCACCTCCTGGGTTCAAGTGATTCTCCTTCCTCAGCCTCCCAAGTAGCTGGGACTACAGTCGCATGCCACCACACCCAGCTAATTTTTTTGTATTTTTAGTATTTTTAGTAGAGATGGGGTTTCACCATGTTGGCCAGGGTGGTCTCGATTTCCTGACCTCGTGATCTGCCCGCCTCGGCCTTCCCCACCCCTTTCTAAGGAGATTCACTCAGTAGCTCTGCCTTTCTCCAAGTTCCTTGCTGGTCCTCTGTTTCAATAGCTGCTTAGTCTTCCAGCAACAGCCAGTGACACCCAACAGACCTTGATACCATCACTTCCAGCTGTGGGCATGGGTAAGTTCCTTCACTTCTCAGGCCTTGCTTTCCTCTTTTGTAATATGGGGATGATAATATTAATAGGCCCTCCCTGTAGCAGAGGCGGGGATGCCCTGCCCAGATCCCCTTCACCATGAGGGATAACCATCTTCTGGTTGCTGCTGTTTTTGTTTTTGTTTTTGTTTTTGTTCTAAGAGAGAGATGAGGTCTTGCTCTGTTGCCCAGGCTGGAGTGAAGTGGTGCCATCATAGCTCACTGAAGCCTTGAACTGCTGGGCTCAAGTGATCCTCCTGCATCGGCCTCTCAAAGTACTGGGATTATAGGCATGAGCTACCGTACTCTGCCTGTTTCTTGAGGGCTGGTGGCTGACAGTTCATTGCTGCCCCTTCTCCAGAGAATTGCCTTAGGTTGAATGGGCGCCCCTTCCCCTAAGGAGTTATGACCATCCCTCCCCCAGTCCTAGGGGCAATGGCTATCAGGGCCTCCAGGTCAGACTAAGTTTGCCTCAAGGTAAGAATATCTTTGTGGTACAACTCAGGCTCCAGAGCTTGCTGTGAGAACAGACTGAACTATAGGAACACATTAAATGAGGTTCATTTTATTTGGATGTTATGAGATGGCCCCAACTTGAGATCTAAATACAGTAGTCGGTTAATTTTTCCATTACTATTATTGAATAATACATCCCTTCCCATTGGTTTGCAATGTTTTCTTTTCTTTTTCTTTTCTTTTCTTTTTTTTTTTTCTTTTAATTGAGACAGAGTCTCACTCTGTCGCCCAGGCTGCCCAGGCTGGAGTGCAGTGGCACAATCTAGGTTCACTGCAACCTCCGCCTCCCCGGTTCAAGCAATTCTCCCTGCCTCAGCCTCCCGATAGCTGGGATTGCAGCCCTGCTCCTAATAGTTCTCCTCACTTTCTATCTCTGTGTTTGGAAGAGGGCGTTAGATCCATGGATTTCTCCGGGAGGAAACCAGGTTGGAAAGGCTTTGATCTGTATAAGCTGAGACCACCAGAAACCTTCACCCATCGCATTGGTGCTTTCCCATCCTAGTAGAGGTTTCAAAAGACTTTGGGTTGTTTGGGGCAGACACAGGGAACGTGTCTTGCTCTCTGCGGGAATCCATCTCAACTGATTCTGTAATAGAATCAGCTATTCTCAGGGCATAAAGGCTGGGAGTGAATAGGGGCTAACCCTCCGCTGCATCAGCTTCTTAACTGGTCCCTGAGTCTTTGGTCTTGACCTCTTATCTTCATCCATTGTCCACATTGACCCCAGAATCAACTTTTTTTTTTTTTGAGATAAGGTCTCACTCTGTCCCCCAGGCTGGAGTGTCCCCCAGGCTGGAGTGGCATGATTACAGCTCACTGCAGCCTCAACCTCCCAGGCTCAAGCAATCCTTCCACCTTAGCCTCCTGAGTAGCTGAGACTGCAGGTGTACACCACCACACTCAGCTAATTTTTTAAATTTTTTGTAGAGACTCGGTCTTGCAATGTTGCCCAGGCTGGGCTCCAACTCCTGGCCTCAAGCAATGCTCCTGCCTCAGCCCCCCAAAGTACTGGGACTACAGGTGTGAGCCACCATACCTGGCCCAGAGTCAACTTTGTACAGAAAATCTGACTATTGACTCTGCTCCTCATCTCCCTTCAGTGGCTCCCTGGCGCCCTTGGGATCGAGTTTGAACCCTTTAACCTGGCCCAACAGTTCCTTCCCAGCCTGACCCTGACTCACCTCTACAGCTTCTCTCTGTCCGTAGCCCCATGAGATCTTTCAGGCCGGCCACTTGAAACCATTTGCTATGTTTTTTCAGGGCTGCAGCCCTCTAAGGAAGGATGGGATGTGAACAGCAAGGAGGAAGGGAGGTGTCCTAGGTTGGGCAAAGCTGTACAGAGGCATGGGGTTGGAATATAGTGGATATGTTCAGGGCTCCACTCCTTTGGATATTTGATCCTTATATCCTGGAAACACCCTTCCTTCTCTACTTCGACTCACAAGTTCAGCCATGCCCTTAAGATCCAGCCCTGTTATACTCACCTCTCTGAAGCCTTTCTTAATCCATCCAGGTAGAGGTAAAGCCTTCCTCTGTGGACCAAGAGCGTTTTGTAAACAGATCAACCACCTAATGCATGGAGGATATTATTTATTCACATGTGGCTGTTTTCCCCACCTAGACTATTAAGGCAGAGACTATATCCAGTTTCTTCTTTTTTAAAAATTGTCATTTATTTATGTATTTTGAGACAGGATCTTCTCTGTTGCCCAGGCTAGAGTGCAGTGGCACCGTCATAGCTCACTGCAGCCTCCAACTCCTAGCCTCTAGCAATCCTCCCACTTCAGCCTCCTGAGTAGCTGGGACTACAGACACACACCACTAGGCCCAGCTTTTTTTAATTTCTTTTTTGCAGAGATGGGGCCTTGCTATGTTGCCCAGTCTGTCTGGAACTCCTGGCCTCAAGTGGTCCTTCCACATCGGCCTGCCTCCTAAAGTGCTGGGATTTACAGGCATGAGCCACTGCACCCAGCCTATATTTCCAGTTTCTAGCATGGCCCATTTATATTGTGGTTGCTCAGTAGGTGTTTGTGGATATAATGAATCACTAATCACCTCCATTCCTTATATGTAATAATTTAGTATGCCTCAGTAGATAAAGTTTGATTCAAAAGATAACTGGCCAATTGGAGTATCTAAGAGGCCAAAGACCAAGGATTCATATGGACCAACATTATTATATTACAGGTGAGGGAAATGAGTCCAGAGACATCAAGCCACTTACCCACTGTCACACAGGTAGTTCAAAGTACAACTTGAACCCAACTCTGCTCTCAGAATTTTTTAAATGCTTTAAATATATATTTTTAAAAGTAACACATGCCCATGGTTTAACAAAATTAAAGGCTGGGCATGGTGCTCATGCCTGTAATCCCAGCACTTTGGGAAGCCGAGGTGGGTGGATCACCTGAGGTCAGGAGTTCGAGGCCAGCCTGGCCAACATGGTGAGACCCCCATCTCTGCTAAAAATACAAAAAATTAGCCAGGCGTGGTGGCGCACGCCTGTAGTCCCAGCTACTCAGGAGGCTGGGGCAGGAGAATTGCTTGAACCCAGGAGGCGGAGGTTGCGGTGAGCCGAGATTGCACCACTGCACTCCACCCTGGGCGAGTAAGACTCAGTATCAAAAAAAAAAAAAGAAAAAAAAAGAAAAGAAAAAAATTAAATACTGCAAAAGTATGTAGAAGAAAAGTAAATTCTCACTTATTTCCCTGCCCTCAGTTTCCTTCTTTTTTTTTCTTTTAATGCTTCACAAATGTGTGTGTCATCCTTGCACAGGAGCCATGGTAATCTTCTCTGTATCATTCCTATTTTAGTATGTGTGCTGTGGAAAAGAGCACCCAGCTTCCCTCCTATAAGCAGTTCATTATTTTTTTTTAGATGTTAATTGTAAAATTCCATAGAATGGAATACTATTCAGCTAATAAAAGAGAAATAATTACTGCTACAGGCAACAACATGAATGAACCTCTAAAATACATTACGCTGAGCAAAAGAAGCAAGCCACAAAATGATATCTACTATATGATTTCATCCATATAGGAAAAATGGTTACATGAAATATGATTGAATGGAACATCATGCAGTTAGGAAATACCATATTTTAAATTAGAAAAATATTTAATGACATGAGAAAAGCCTCAGGAGATACTGAAAAGTGAAAAAGCTAAAATATAACCATATATATACAGTATTGTCCCCATTTTTATTAACAAACATGGCTGGCTCAGTTACTCGGGAGGCTTAGACAGGATAATCGCTTCAACCCAAGCGGCAGAGGTTGCAGTGAGCTGAGATGGCACCATTGCACTCCAGCCTGGGCAACAGAGCAAAACTCCATCTAAAAAAACAAAAACAAAAACATAAACATGGCCGAGTGCAGTGGCTCACGCCTGTAATCTCAGCACTTTGGAGGCCAAGGCGGGAAGATCACTTGAGCTCAGGAGGTTGAGACCAGCTTGGGCAATATGGTGAAACCGCGTCTCTATAAAAAATACAGAAAAATTAGCTAGGTGTGGTGGCATGCGCCTGTGGTCCCAGCTACTTGGGAGGCTGAGATGGGAGGATTGCTTGGGAGGCTGAGGTGGGCGGTCTCTGAGGTTAAGGCTGCAGTGAGCCAAGATCGCATCACTGCATTCCAGCCTTGGTGACAGAGTGAGACCCTGTCTCAAAAAAAAAAAAAAAAAAAAAGCATAAAATAAAAGTCTTAAGCCAGGCATAGTGGTATTCACCTGTAGTCCCAGCTGCTTGGGAGGCTGAGGCAGGAGGATCTATTGAGCCCAGGAGTTTGAGGTCATATTACACTATTTTCTTGCCTGTGAATAGCCACTGCACTCCATCCTGGACAACATAGCAAGACTCCATTTCTTTAAAAATAAAAGACCTCAAGAAAATATTAATATACTCATTCAACAAGTATGAATTAGGTGTGGACTGTGTGCCAGGCACTGTGTTAAGGATATGGAAACGAACCAAAACTGACATAATTCATACCCTCACTGAGCATAATCTATCAAGGAAAAAAATGTGAACAGTAGCCATCACTTGGTGGTGTAATAAAAAAAATTTCTTTATCTTTCCAATTTTCTGTGGTGAGAAAGTATTGCTTTATAAATAGGTGAAAATAAGGCCAGGTGCAGAGGCTCATGACTGTAATCCCAGCACTTTGGGAGGCTGAGGCACAAGGATCGCTTGAGCCCAGGAGTTCCAGACCGGCCTGGGCAATGACATAGGGAGACCCCATCTTTACCAAAAATTTTTTTTAAAAATTAGCCAGGTGGCCGAGCACGATGGTTAATGCCTATAATCCCAGCACTTTGGGAGGCTGAGGTGGGTGGATCACCTGAGGTCAGGAGTTCGAGACCAACCTGTCCAACATGGTAAAACCCATCTCTACAAAAAAAAAAAAAAAACAAAATAGCCGGGTGTTGTGGCGGGTGCCTGTAATCCCAGCTACTTGGGAGGCTGAGACAGGAGAATCGCTTGAACCTGGGAGCCGGAGGTTGCAGTGAGCTGAGATCATGCCATTGCACTCCAGCGTGGGCAACAAGAGCGGGACTCCATCTCAAAAAAAAAAAAAAAAAAATTAGCCGGGCACGGTGGTGAACACCTGTGGTCCCAGCTACTCGGGAGGCCGAGGTAGGAGGATCACTTGGACCCAGGGAGTTGAGGCTGAAGTGAACCATGATCACACCACCACACTACAGCCTGGGTGGCAGAGCAAGACCCTGTTCTAAAAGAAAGAAAGAGAGAAAAAGAGAGAGAGAGAGAGAAAAAGGAAGGAGGGAGAAGAGAGAGAGAAGGGAGGGAAGGAGCAGAGAGAAAGAGAGACAGAGTGAAAGAAAAAGAAGGAAGCACTTTTCTTTATCTTCACCTATTTATTTATATGTTTATTTATTGAGACAGGGTCTTGCTCTGTCGCCCAAGCTGGAGTGCAGTGGCATGATCATAGCTCACTGCAGCCTCTATCTCCCTGGGCTCAAGTGATCCTCTAACCTCAGCCTCCCAAGTAGCTGGGACCACAGGCATGCCACTGCCATGTCCAGCTATTTTTTTCTTTTTTTAGAGATGGGGGGTCTTCCTATGTTGCCCACTCTGGTCTGGAACTCCTGGACTAAAGCGATCCTCCCACCTTGGCCTCACAAAGTGTTGGGATTAGAGGCATGAGGCACCGTGCCGGCTGCTCTTTTCTTTTAGTGGCCTAGTTCCAATAGAGTTAAACATTCATTGCTTTCTCAATGTCTTTTCTGATTAAAACAAAAACAAACAAAACATCTAGAGCCACTCCATGAAAATTTAAAAAGAAGAAAGCTCTAATTGAGCTCCCTTCCCAAACAATTGTTTTCCATAACAAATTAGGTTTAAGTTCATTGCTTGTGTGGTGGTGTTTTTAGACATTAACAATTCTCAAGAATCATTGGAGAGCCCAATTTCATTCAGCTGGTGGATCTCTCCACCTGGCCAGATGTCCACTTGGTGAATTTTGTATCCCCCCACTTTTTTTTATTTTCTGCATTGGTCAGTCAGAAGACATAAATATTTGAAATAACCAAGATTCATGTTTAACTATCATTTCTACACATTTCTTCAAATCTGGGTTTCCTTCTTACAGGGCTTGTGAGCTTTGGTGTATTTCCTCATGAAACTCCCTAAGCGCTTCCTAAACCTTGATTAATGACCAGCTCCTCTGAGACATAATTATGAACACTTTTAATTTAACAAAAGCACAGGGAACCCTTGTTTCCACTGTTGTGTGAAAGTAACCTGGCGTCAGTTTCTATTTATATGAAGCCATTAAATGTTCAACTTCTGTGTTAAATGCAGGTAAGAGAACTGTAGAATATTTTAAAAACCATAGTAAAATGAGCATTTCTAAAATAGCTACACAAAACAAAAGGTATATTATAATGTATAATCTGCAATTTTATATGAAAAGCACTATATAGGCCAGGCACGGTGGCTCACGTCTGTAATCCCAGCACTTTGGGAGGCTGAGGCAGGTGGATCATGAGGTCAGGCGATCGAGACTATCCTGGCTAACACAGTGAAACCCTGTCTCTACTAAAAATACAAAAAATTAGCCAGGTGTGGTGGCACGTGCCTGTAGTCCCAGCTACTCAGGAGGCTGAGGCAGGAGAATTGTTTGAACCCAGGAGGCAGAGGTTGCAATGAGCTGAGATCACGCCACTGCACTCCAGCCTGGGCAACAGAGGGAGACTCCATCAAAAAAAAAAAAAAAAGAGGGAATTGGGAGTCCCAGACCGGCTGCGGCAGCTCGCCCCTATAATCCCAGCACTTTGGGAGGCCGAGATGGGCGGATTACTTGAGGCCAGGAGTTAAAGACCAGCCTGGCCAACATGGTAAAACCTTGTTTCTACTAAAAACACAACGATTAGCTGGGCATGATGGCACAGGCTTGTAATCCCAACTACACAGGAGGCTGAAACAAGAGAATGGCTTGAACCCAGGAGGTGGAGTTTGCAGCGAGCCGAGATCACACCACTGCACTCCAGCCTGGACGACAGAGCAAGACCCTGTCTCCAAAACGAAAAAAAAAGAATTGGGAGCCCCAAAGCTGCCGTCACTTCCTGCTTGTGACTGTTGTTGTTTGCATCATTGCAGAACAGGAGAAAATGGTGGCAACCAGTACATAACACATTTGGTGGTTCCACAGGTAAGATACCAAGGTAAACAGCACTGGCATTCAAGTTGCTTGGACCAAAAATTTAGAATCAGGGACGCCTTTCCACACACTGTATCCTGTCAACTTCCTCCCCCTACCGTCTATTTTCCTATACAGCAGATCTTTCTAAACTTAAAGCATAAAACTGATTTGTCATTCCTCTGGTTAAAACTCTCTTGTGGTCTAAGGGCGATGGCCCACGCCTGTAATCCCAGCACTCTGGGAGGCTGAGGCAGCAGGATTACTTGAGCCCAGGACTTGGAGACCAGACTGGGCAACTTAGTGAGACCCCGTCTCTAAAAAAAAATTAAATTAGCCAGGCTGGTTGAGGTAGGTGGGAGGATCTCTTGAGTCCAGGAGTTTGAAGCTGCAGTGACCTCTGACCCCATCTCTAAAACAAACAAACAAAAACAAATGTCTTCTCCTTTCCCGAAGTGGTCTGACTCCTGTCAACTTTGAGCTCCCACCAACCTTCTTCCCTCATGTCTGCTGCAGTCCAGACAGACTGGCCTTGTTTCTGCTGTTTACACATACTGGCCTCAAATAGATGAAGCTTATTTCTGTCTCAGCATTCTTGCGTTGGCCGGCCCTTTGGCTTAGAACATTCTTCTACAGTCACAAAGCTCAACTCAGATGTCATCTGGTTAGAGCCCTTTCCTGATCACCTCTATCCCTGTCTGCCCATTCCCTACCTCACTCCCCCGTGTTAATTTATCTGTAGCACTTGGTTTTTGTTTATTTCCCCTCACTCCTTAAGGGAAGGATCTTTCACTGCTATGTCATGCCAAGCTTGGCAGAGTTGGAGCTCAACAATTTGTTGAATGAATGGATTTCATCTTACTCTTGTCTGCAGCAGAAGTTTTTCACCTGGGGCACAGGGGCTTCAGGAGATCATTCCCTTCTCGTCTACCTCCCATCCCCATGCTGCTCCCAATTATAAATGAAATTAAAGGTTGGAGTATATTTACACATGCTATGAGTGTGTATGAGCAATCATGTATTTTTCAGATTCTCAAAGGAATCCAAAGAACAAAATGTTAATTACTACTAGTACAGAGCTTTAATTTCTAAAACATTTTGCATATTTACTTCTCATTATACTTATACCTACCTTATAAGGTAGGCAGTATAAAATTATAATTTCTACTTCATAAAAATATTGAGGTGCAGAGAGGTTAAACATGTTAGAGATCACACAGATAGTCAATGATGGAATTGACATGAATCCATTCCTATGGATGCAAAATCCTGTGTTCTTTTTTTGTTTGTTTGTTTTTGAGACGGAGTCTGGCTCTGTCGCCCAGGCTGGAGTGCAGTGGTGAGATCTTGGCTCACTGCAAGCTCTGCCTCCCGGGTTCATGCCATTCTCCTGCCTCAGCCTCCCGAGTAGCTGGGACCACAGGTGCCCGCCACCACGCCCAGCCAATTTTTTGTATTTTTAGTAGAGACGGGGTTTCACCGTGTTAGCCAGGATGGTCTCGATCTCCTGACCTTGCGATCCACCCGCCTCGGCCTCCCAAAGTGCTAGGATTACAGGCGTGAGCCACCACGCCTGGCCATTCTGTGTTCTTTTTCAAGACAAAGACACAATGCAGAACTCTGGGGAAGTAAGTTTGCATTGGTTCTTACCTTCGTTTGCTCAAAAATTACCAAACATCAACACTTTTCCAAGGATTCTCCCATTTAAACTAGTTTACAAGGCTGCTTTAAGTTTTTCAGTGAAAAAACAAAATCATCAGTTAGATCAAGGCAGTCTTCCATGCAGTCAGCCTCCATTTCAAACAAAATGTTAAAAGAACACATGAACTGGCCTGGCGCAGTGGCTCATGCCTGTAATCCCAGCACTTTGGGAGGCCAGGCTGGGCGGATCACAAGGTCAAGAGATCGAGACCAGCCTGGCCAACATGGTGAAACCCTGTCTCTACCAAAAATACAAAAATTAGGTGGGTGTGGTGGCATGCGCCTGTAATCCCAGCTACTCAGGAGGGTGAGGCAGGAGAATCGCTTGAACCCGGGAGGCAGAGGTTGCAGTGAGCTGAGATCGTACCACGGCACTACAGCCTGGGCAATGGAGTGAGACTCAGTCTCAAAAAAAAAAAAAAAAAAAGAACATATGAACCGAGGAACACAAAATTTTTCTACTAAGCTAAGTTGAGCATTATTAGAAAAACAGATTTGTGGGAATATACCTTAAAGCCAGATAAAGATGATATTGAGATCTCTGTTTAGATTTTTATTTTATTTTATTTTTGAGACAGAGTTTCGCTCTTGTTGCCCAGGCTGGAGTGCAATGGCGCAATTTCAGCTCACTGCAACCTTCACCTCCTGGGTTCAAGTGATTCTCCTGCCTCAGCCTCTCAAGTAACTGGGATTACAGGCATGCGCCACCACACCCAGCTAATTTTGTATTTTTCGTAGACAGGGGTTTCCCCATGTTGGTCAGGCTGGTCTTGAACTCCTGACCTCAGGTGATCCACCCGCCTCAGCCTCCCAGAGCGTTAGGATTATAGGCGTGAGCTACCGCACCAGGCCAGATTTTTATTTTTTATAGAGACAGGTCTCACTGTTGCCTGGGCTGGTCTCAAATACTGGCCTCAAGCAATCCTCCTGTCTCAATCTCCCAATGCACTGGGATTGCAGGTGTGAGCCACCACACCCAGTCTGTTTAGATTTTACCACCCTTTTAGTTAGACTAGTTCACTGAATCATGTATACTGAAAAATCAGTATGATCCCTTTGTTTAAATCAGCTTTCCCAGAAAAGAAAAATGTAAATTCCATCTCTCTCTCCTGTTCTCTTGATTTTCAAGAGGGGGAAAGAATCCTACAATATTTGCAGAATCACTAAATGCTTAAATTGTGTGAATTTGGCAGCGTAAGATATTTCACTTCAAGGGCCACATCTATAGAATACAACCAGACAATGGCTTCAAAAGAGCTTGTTTTTATAAACTTCAAGAAGTTATAGAGAAGATGCCACTTGAAAGAATCGCCTATTCTGGGAGGATACTCAAGATCAAAGAGGTTTTTTTTTTTTCCTTACTAGCATTTATAATTAAAGACCTAATCCTTTATTTTAAGCAAGAAAATGATTCCCTTTATTGAATTAGTTGTTTTCCTTCTTAAAACCCAAAGGTTGACATCAAATTTTGGGGTGAATGTCCTATTAATTAGCTTGGGTCATTCTTTGATTTTGATGCATTTAAAATGTTAGCCAAACGCAGGAAGACAAACCCTATTTTTTCTTTTCGAGATGGAGTTTCACTCTTGTTCTCTTGTTGCCCAGGCTGGAGTGCAATGGCGTGACCTCAGCTCACCGCAACCTCCGCCTCCTGGGTTCAAACGATTCTCCTGCCTCAGCCTCCCGAGTAGCTGGGATTACAGGGTGTGCCACCACACCCGGCTAATTTTGTATTTTTGGTAGAGACAGGGTTTCTCCATGTTGGCCAGGCTGGTCTCAAACTCCCGACCTCAGGTGATCCGCCTGTCTTGGCCTCCCAAAGTGCTGGGATTACAGGCATGAGCCACTGCACCCGGCCCCAACAAACCATATTTTAAGAGAGCACATTGATCGTGGTGGCTCATGCTTGTAATCCTAGCACTTTGGGAGGCCATAGTGGGTGGATCACCTGAGGTCAGGAATTCAAGACCAGCCTGGCCAATATGGCGAAAACCCCATCTCTACTAAAAACACAAAAATTAGCTGTGCATGGCGGCACATGCCTGAAATCCCAGCTACTTCGGAGGCTGAGGCAAGAGAATTGCTTGAACCTGGGAGGCGGAGGTTGCAGTGAGCTGAGATCACACCACTGCACTCCAGCCTGGGCAACAGAGTGAGACTCCATCTCAAAAAAAAAGAGAGAGAGCATATCATTTAGAATTACTTCATCAAAAAAACTCCTTGTTCAGGAGCCTCCTCTGGGAGATTCCTGATGGCTTTGTGTCACACGAATGGATTTGTGAAAACCTGTGTGGATTATTGCCTGAGTTTATTCTTAGGGAACCTCAGTGTTCCACAAATCTATAAGTAAACCGGTTGTAGAAAAACATCTAGAGAGTCTGGGTGCAATGGCTCATGCCTGTCATCCCAGCACTTTCGGAGGCCTAGTCAGGAGGATTGCTTGAGCCCTGGAGTTCGAGACCAGCCCGGGCAACTTAACGAGACCTCCTTTCCACTAAAAATCAAAATTAGCCAGGTGTGGTGGCGCATGCCTGTACCCCCAGCTAATTGGGAGCTGAGGTGGGAGAATCACTTGAGCCCAGGAGATTGAGGCTGCAGCGAGCCATGATCGAGAAACTGCACTCTAGCCTGAGTGACAGAGCAAGACCCTGTCTCAAAATAAAATAAAATAAAAACAAGCCGGGCGCGGTGGCTCACGCCTGTAATCCCAGCACTTTGGGAGGCCAGGGTGGGCGGATCACCTGAGGTCGGGAGTTCGAGACCAACCTGACCCATATGGAGAAACCTCATCTCTACTAAAAATACAAAATTGGCCAGGCTTGGTGGCTCATGCCTATAATCCCAGCTACTTGGTAAGGCTGAGACAGGAGAATCGCTTGAATCTGGGAGGTGGAGGTTGCGGTGAGCCGAGATCGCACCATTGTGCTCCAGGCTGGGCAACAAGAGCAAAACTCTGCTCAAAAAAAAACAAAAAAAAAACAAAAACCATCTAGAGCCTAGTAGAAGAACTTCTTGGCTTATGATTGCCAGGGTCAGAACACTTTGGGATTATTCCTTAACCATAATTGATGCTACCATCTTGGAATCTGACCCACTGCTGGATCAAGGATTGCTGTTACAAAGGATACTCCATTAACTCCCTTCCTTCATTAAAAAACAAAAACAAAAACAAAAAACTCCTGAAAAGACATCTGGCAAGAATAGACATCTGCTGAAAAGAAATACAACTGTTTTTTGGCTGGCAGTTCTAAGCATACTTAGCTGAAGGCTGATAAAGGACCTGTGGATCGCTCCCAACCACTGATTTTTTTTCCACTATTAAAAAAAAAAAAAAGTCAGCCGAAAGCCACCAATCACGAATGCAATGTTTTCCCACGCATCAAAAACACTACGTCCACATTTAGTGTGTTTGCTATTTCTTGAAGTGGGTTTTGCCCAAATCCAATCCAAGCATCACTGAATGGTAAAGTGCACAGAAGGAAGAAAGTAGGAGAGAACACTCATAGCATTTTTTGAATTTCAGTTATTTCACCTTCCACCAAAAATGTCCTAGATGGCTTAGCTGATTAAGAGTATTACAAAGAGATGGCTAAGGTCACGGTTTTAATCTACTTAATGGCCTGTTTACTTTGCTTAGCTCTGTTCCACGTGGGCCACAAGTACACCTCTCTCAAACTTACATTTCTAAATTAAGGTGGACCGAGTAATAAAGCATAAGCGAAACCATCACTGATGACTGGAAGACACAACAGGAACTGCTCACCATGGAAAGTGAGCATCTCCACCAACACAGAACTTAAAAGACATTTCATTTAGTCTTTTTTTTTTTTTTTTTTTTTTGAGACGGAGTCTCACTCTGTTGCCCAGGTTGGAGTGCAGTAGCACGATCTTGGCTCACTGCAACCTCTGCCTCCCGGGTTCAAGTGATTCTCCTGCGTCAGCCTCTTGAGTAACTGGGATTACAGAGGCACACCACCATGCCCGGCTAAATTTTGTATTTTTAGTAGAGATAGGGTTTCACACCATGTTGGCCAGGCTGGCCTCAAACTCCTGACATCAAGTGATCCACCTGCCTTGGCCTCCTAAAGTGCTGGGATTACAGGCGTGAGCCATTGCACCTGGCTCATTTAGTTTTTTCATTCATTCTTTCCATATGGCCAGTGCTGACATCACAGAAAGAAACCAGATACGCCCTCCACCCAGAAGGAATTTGGTATGCAAAGAACAGCAATTACAATGCAAGTCCTGTAACTGAGGTATGCAGAGACAGACTCCTGGAAAGGCAGGAGGGACTGTAGGCAGAAAAGGACGTCGAGGTGTCAGGAGCTGAAGGGCAGTGTGAATGTCATTTTGAATAGCAAATGGCGTAGTAGTGAGGTAATGCAAATTAAACGACCAACACGAGCCACTTCATATATTATTCTTGTTTTAACAAAGGAAGGACTAACAGGCATTTGAAAATCTCTAATGGAGGTAGTCATAAGATTGAACCAACTTTTTTTTTATCTTACTGGTCATTTCTGTTGTCGAAGAAAAACAGATCCCTGACCCTACAACTAAATTGGAATGGGAATAGCTTTAGCATTTTAAGTCGCATTGACAGAGGACTTTTCCCTGTAAGATATAGAAATGTGGCTTAAACAAACTAAGCAAACGTTACAAGTTTCAAGTTTATGTAAGAGAAAACAGGGTGATAGAAAAGTCTTCTTGGAAACACCACAATTCTTCTATCATGCAACACAGTGAGATCACAGCCTCCGAAAGAGATAAACTAATCGATTTTGGCCAGGCTTGGTGATCTGCGCCTATAATCCCAGCACTTTGGGAGGCCAAGAGTTCAAGGCTAGCTTGGGCAACGTAGCAAGATGTTTCTATAAAAAAAAAAAAATTAAAAAATTAATCAGGCATGGTAGTGCTCGCCTCTAGTCCCAGCTACTCAAAAGGTTAAGGCAGGAAGATTGCTTGAGCCTGGGAGTTCAAGCTCACTCTCTCTCTCTAGATAGATATAAAACTTTATCTGTAGATAACAGTTATCTATCTACATAGGAAGATAGATGAGAGAGAGAGAGAGAGAGAGAGAGAAACCAATTAAAGTGAGTATAGGCCAGGCGCGGTGGCTCATGCCTGTAATCCCAGCATTTTGGGAGGCCGAGGCAGGCTAATCACCTGAGGTCAGGAGTTCTGAGACCAGCCTGGCCAACATGGCGCAACCCCATCTCTATTAAAAATTCAAAAATCATGGCCAGTGGCTCACGCCTGTAATCCCAGCACTTTGGGAGGCCGAGGCAGGGGGATCACGAGGTCAGGAGATCGAGACCATCCTGGCTAACACGGTGAAACCCTGTCTCTACTAAAAATACAAAAAATTAGCTGGGCGTGGTGGCGGGCACCTGTAGTCCCAGCTACTCGGGAGGCTGAAGCAGGAGAATGGCGTGAACCCGGGAAGCGGAGTTTGCAGTGAGCCGAGATCGTGCCATTGCACTCCAGCCTGGGCAATAGAGTGAGATTCCGTCTCAAAAAAAAAAAAACAAAACAACAACAACAACAAAATTCAAAAATTAGCTGGGCATGGTACTACATGCCTGTAGTCCAAGCTACTTAGGAAGCTGAGGCATGAGAATCGCTTGAACCCAGGAAGCGGAGGCTGCAGTGAACCGAGATCGTGCCAATGCATTCCAGCCTGGGTGACAGAGTGAGACTGTCTCAAAGAAAGAAAAGAGAAGAGAGTACAAAAGTTTCCTTCTTGGCCTGGCACAATGACTCAAGCCTGTAATCCCAAGACTTTGGGAGGCCAAGGCGGGCAGATCACCTGAGGTCAGGAGTTCGAGACCAGCCTGGACAACATGGCGAAACCCCATCTCTACTAAAAATACAAAATTTAGCCAGGCGTGGTGGCGGGCACCTGTAATCCCAGCTACTCGGGAGGCTGAGGCAGGAGAATCGCTTGAACCCAGGAGGTGGAGGTTGCAGTGAGCCGAGATCGCACCACTGCACTCCAGCCTGGGCGACAAGAGCAAAACTCTGTCTCAATAACAACAACAAAAAAAACCTTCTAAAATCCCAGTCAAATGTTAAACCAGACCTGGTAAAACAAAACTTTGTACGTCAGTGAGACACCATCGCCACCTTGTGTTCAACAGCCTTCATTACATCCACATTTATTGCAAATGATCACCCGTGGGATTCTCAACAATTACAGAATATAGCTTTATTTATAGAATCTTACAAATAAAACATTTACAGTCCACATAAGTTAATTTTCTTTTCTAATTTCTTCTCATACACCTGAGTTATTTAAAAAAATACTGTGATGGAACTGCAGAACTGTAAAGGGAAATAAGAACAATAAAATCCTAACCTCTCTTGCAAAAATCAGACAACTTTGTTTTAAAGTAGATGCCCAGCATATTGCCATCTCTTTGGAAGAGGACTTACTATACTCAGCTCTTACGCTACCCAAACAGAGAAGCCTTCTTTTTAAAACCCAAGGTTAAGGACCAGTGAAGAATAGCTCCAATTTGACACTAGACACAAAATACCTTTGGGGGCAAAGACAGGGGCAAGCTGTGTGCCGGTGGTGAAGTGAGAAGGAGCAGAACCCCTGTCCCTGCCTCACTGTTCCTGCACGTGACATACACTTTCCTTGCTAACTTATTAATAGGAGCTGGTGCATCTGGAAAATGAGGTCGAAGCTGCTAATGCCAGGGGTGAAAAAGTCCTCCCACTGACTTGCTACTCCTTAGACTTCTAATATGTACAAATGCTTGAAACAGCAAATTCAACAACTAAAAATCAAAAGAAATTGCCAATTTTTGACTCATGAGGCAAAGCTGTTGCCACAATCAGTGGCGACTCAAGTCAGACGATGTGAGCGTCTCCGCCCCTCCTAAGCTCCGACTAGGACTGACCTCTGCGCCAACTACGGTTTAAAGAGGATTTCCCTTTGAGGCAGCTGTCTATGGAAGGAAATTTCTTAAGGTAATATAGGTGTGCACAAAAAGGGAAAACACCCTATTTCATTTTTCAATTTGTTAAAGATTATAGTTTTGAGCTCCTCTCCTAAACTAGAAATCCACTAACTCTAACTTAGTATTCTACTCCAAGACAAAGGGTATTATGTTTAAGGAATGATAGGATCTATTGGGAATGCTAAAATTATAAATTTAATACATCAATGCGAGTTAGGTTAAAGCAAAATCTTCCAGAGTCTTCAACTTTGAGTTATTTTCTGCTAGCTCCTGAAAGCAGCTTGAGAAAAATAAAACAGAAAAGACAAAGAACCGTTTAAAAACAACAATAATAATGACAATATAAAAAGTTAGATTCCAACATTCAAGGAATTGGTTCTTTGGTAAAACTGGACCATAATCCCACCAGGAAATCAGTCCTGATATTTAATCTAGAATCTCCATCACTGAAATTTTCCCTCTTCAGCGTATTCTCAAATGTATTGAAGCCAACAGGCAAGATAAAAACAAAACTTAAAAAAAGTATCACCAGCAGTTTTTCCTGCTCACGTTCTTTTCAAGAATATTCCTGGTTTGACAGATGTCTCCCAAGAAGAGAAAACAAAACGGATGCTGCTTGTGATTACTGAGAGCGGACAGTTTTTCTATGTAAGAGAAAAGCTCAGGCATTGGTAGTGAACCAGTACTCCTGTCAGCCATGCACATGAATCAGTTTGCAAACATGGCCCCTGGGCTCCAACTGTGGGCACCACTAAGAAAGGCTTCTGGAGAGACAGGCTCCCCAAAGTGGCTAAAGAATCTCACATTATCAATATGATAATAATAAATCAATTCACCTAGTGAACCTGGAGAAGAGCTCCCCTTGAAGCCAGAGCTCGGAGGCAAGGGCTCCACAGTGGCTAAGGCTGGCCTACAGTTTTAAAGACAAGTTATCTCCATCCATTTTCTGGAGAGAGTTAGAGAAATTCATATTCAATTCAATGCAGGATTCGACTTTTTTTGCAAGGAAGCAGTAACCTAGACGGGTCATTTAAAACCCATCTGTAGCATAATCATTAGGCCAACCATTCTGCAAACATCTGCGATGCCCTAAGTGAAGTTTGTGCCCTTACATTTCAGAGACCCCCTATTAGTCATGCTTTGATTTATGGAAGCGGCAAATCCTAAATTTTGCCTGCACTGATTCCATTTCTGATTACCCTTGTCTAAGTAGAGCATAAATGGCACCCCATTTCTACAAGTCAGCTTGCCACTCTGCAGACGTCTCAACCTGGGGGAGGATAGTTTGTGCAGTCTCCCCTCTAACACAGAGGTCTCAAATGTGCTCAGAATGTGCTTCTAGGAGGCAGCTACAAAGTCTCTTAGAAGATGGCAGTGGGGAAGAGGAGGTCAAAATCACAGCCAAACCAACTGTTTTCTTGCAGACAGCCTGAGCCTCCATTCTGTCAGCGTTAACCTGAAAGAGGAGGTCCAGGCAGCCACACCGCCACGTTAGCTCACTCGGACAGCCGTGAAACACCAGGTGCTGTTACAAAATCAATATCCAGCATCTCAGTAGGAACAAGTGAGCATCCTGACAAGACACACAGCAGTGGTTCGACTTCCTCTCCCATTCAGGATGAACCTTGCCTCACCTCTCACCCTGCTCATGTGTTCTGACTTCAGGTTCTCTTTGAGAGAAGTAATAGGCAATTAAACAGACTTTGAAAAAATGGGAAGGCTTCCTGTCTCCTGTCTCTTCTATTGGCCAGCTGGAGGTCCAAGGTGCCCAGCTAGAGTCATGGGCCCCACACTATGGATTCAACTCTTGATATTTCTAGCCAAGTTATAACCATTGGCTCTATTTTTGCATTGTTGGGTAAAGGATTCAAAACCTTTCAGCACTGGTTCCAAGAGGAGGCCAAGGTAATCAGAGAAAAAAGTCAGGCTTGTCTTGTAAGCTGCATTCAGGTTCCAGAGTCACTGAGAGAAAAGGAGGTGAGGAGAGGGCAAGAGGCACTAGCTAGAGACTGGTTACCAGGGCAGCTTATTCCTAGGATACAGCATTTTACAAACGGCTGACATTTGAATGCAGGAATACAGTCTGTGTCAGTTTTTCATAGAACGGCCTCTTCCGTGGTGCATTGTGGATGGTAAGTCCTCGGGCTGGCGATCGGGCAGCCCAGGGCCCGACTTCCAGTCCCACAGGCTCTTGGCAGAGCCCTACCCAATCTGGATCTGTCCTGAATACATGGTGAGGACCACCATGATGGTGAATCCAGTCAGGAGGCCCAGGTTCTGGATGATAAATGGAATCAAGATGCTGCCCTTCCTTTCATCCTCTTGACAGACCTCATTCATCTCAGGGAACTGGGAAAGAAGCAAGAAACAACACAGCTGCAATTCCTTCTTCATCTTGTAAGTCCAGGGCAATTCAGTGATGGAGATATAGATCAGGTTGGTTGACAAAGAAAATTATCAGGGCCAGGTGCAGCGGCTCACTAGAGGTCAGGAGTTCGAGACCAGCCTGACCAACATGGTGAAACCCTGTCTCTACTAAAAACATAAAAATTAGCTGGGCGTGGTGGCGCAGGCCTGTAGTCCCAGCTACTTGGGAGGCTGAGGCAGGAGAATTGCTTGAACCCGGAAGGCAAGGCTGCAGTGAATGGAGATCACACCACTGCACTCCCGCCTGGGCAACAGAGCGAGACTCCATCTCCAAAACAAAACAAAACAAAAAAAGAAAATTAACAATAGCAGGTACCATGTCTTTACAACTGTCTAGGTAAAACAAAGTACTCAACGTGTATGTGGCTCTGGATGAGTTTAGAGGCTGGCTAAAAATAAATGTACTCTGATAAAAAATAAACTTTATATTATAGACTTTTTTTTTTCCTTTTTTCCACTCGCTCTTGCCCAGGCTCGAGTGCAGTGGTGCGAACATAGCTCACTGCAGCCTCAAACTCCTGGGCTCGAGCAATTGTCCCACTTCAGCCTCCTGAGTAGCTCCACAGGTGCCTGCCACCATGCCTGGCCTTATTATGGACTTTAAACACTTTAAGAGGTCTTTTTGTTATCAAGATATTATTAACAAGCTAGATGCAGTGGCTCACACCTATAATCCCAGCACTTTGAGAGGCTGAGATGGGAGGATCCCTTGAGGCCACAAGTTCAAGACCAGCCTAGGCAGCATAGAGACCCCATTCTATAAAAATTCAAAAAATTAGCTGGGCATGGTGGCTGGAGCCTGTAGTCCTAGCTGCTTGGGAGACTGAGGGAGGAGGATCACTTAAGCTCCGGAGTTCAAGGTTGCAGTGACCTATGATCACACACTGCACTCCAGGCTAGGTGAGTGAGGTTCTGTCTAAAAAAAAAAAATTAAAGAAAAAGACACACCCAATGCATTGAGATAAAAAAAGAAACAAACCAAAGTATTGCTATTATTGTTTTAGGGGTAGTATGATGTATGATTATGCGTAATTTTCTTTCCTTTCTTCTGTCTCTTATCTATATACAGCCATTCCATAATAATTAATAAAGACCATAGATAAATTATAATCATTTTCTTTAATGACATATGCTAACAAAAACATAAACTTTTCCTCCTTTAAAATCTAATGCCCCCTTAAAAACCGCTGAATGGTAGGTACACCTTAAACAGACGAACTCTGTGGTATGTGAAAGAAAGCTAAGGAAGATGTTATTAAAAACAAACTACCAGCCATGTGCGGTGGTTCATGCCTGTAATCTCAGCACTTTGGGATGCCGAGGCGGGTGGATCACCTGAGGCCGGGAGTTCGAGACTAGCCTGGCCAATATGGGGAAACCCCATCTCTACTAAAAATACAAAAATTAGCCAGGCGTGGTGGCACACGTCTGTAATCCCAGCTACTCAGGAGGCTGAGGCAGGCGAATCACTTGAACCCGGGACGCGGAGGTTGCAGTGAGCTGAGATCATGCCACTGCACTCCAGCCTGGGAGACAGAGTGAGACTCCATCTCAAAAAAATAAAAATAAAAAAAAACTACCTACCTAACATCCATCCCCTTAGCCGCCCTCTCATCCAGTGAACTGTGGAACACTTACCATATCAGCCAGAGAAATATACAAGAACATTCCTCCAGCTAGCGCAAAAATCCAGTTGGCAGAGAAGTGGCTGCCGGCCAGGATGCCAAAGGCCAGACCCAGGTAGCAGCAGCAGGCAGAAAGGAAGTTGAAGAAGAGAGCTTGTTGGATGCTCATCCCAGCGTTGAGCAGGATGACAAAGTCTCCTACAGCAGCGAGAATGAAAAGGGGAGGGACGAGGAAGGAAGAGTAAGATGGGCATGGTGAATGCACACCTGTCATCCCAGCTACTCAGGAGGCTCAGCTGGGAGGACTGTTTGAGCTCAGGAGTTTGAATCCAGCCTGGCGACAAAGTGAGAGCCAGTCATACAAGGTCGTGGGAGACAGAGGGCACCGATGACATCAGACTGCTAAAAGTGTGGGTGAAAAAAATCAAGACAGCCCTAGACTCAAGACAGAAGTGACAAGACAGGCCCTTGAACTTCCTGTTCAGGACCCGTCTCCATTTGCCAAACTGGCCGTATACCCAGCCTAAAGGCTGAAAATCTTTCTCAGGATTTTAAAAATAGATGACCAGCTGGCACTGGCCTCCTCATTTCTCTCTGGATTCATAGTGAAACAGAAGGAACCCCCTTCCTCACAACTACCATGGAAACAAAATCAAAACTGCGAGAAGTTAAGTGTCGAGACTGTGAGAAGTGATTTGCCCGAAGTCACAAGTCAATATATGGCAAAGCCAGAACTTGACCCTACGTCGTCCCTAAAGCCTCTGGAGTAATTACTAGCTTTTTACACTCTCCCTCTGATCAAACTAAGTCCCTCCTACCCCCTGGTTCATCCAGCTGCCATGCACCTGCCAGGCACCTGAGCCTTTGGAAGATTAACAGGCTACAAAAGAGAGCCTTTACTGAGTGCTCAGAATAGCACCTGGCACATGGGAAGTCCCTCTCACCCTTTGTTTTCCTTTAATCCTCACTATTATTCTAAAAGGAGGTGCTCTTATTAACCCCACTGTATAGGTGAGAACTGAGCCACTGCATATGGGGCTAAAAGGAAACAAACACCCCTGTAAAAACCCCATCATTTTAAATTATCTATTTAATCGTTAAGAAATGGTGGTTAGGCCACGTTCGGTGGCTCAAGCCTGTAATCCCAGCACTTTGGGAGGCTGAGGCGGGCGGATCACGAGGTAAGGAGTTCAAGACCAGCCTGGCCAACGTAGTGAAACCCTGTCTCTACTAAAAATCCAAAAAAAAAAAAAAAATTTAGCCGAGTGTGGTGGCAGGCGTCTGTAATCCCAGCTACTTGGGAGACTGAGGCAGGAGAATCGCTTGAACCCAGGAGGTGGAGGTTGCAGTGAGCCGAGATCACATCACTGCACTCCGGCCTGGGCAACAGTGCGAGACTCCGTCTCCAAAAAAAAGGTGATTAGGGTCCATGAAGCTTTAGGAGTGTGTTAAATCAGTTACAATAAGCACTGTGAAGACAGGGAGATGGGAGCAAGGAACCGGCCACAGGAAGGGGGCCTACACCACCACCCAAGGGAGCACCAGTGGAACGGGGGACGCACGCTTACCTAGCTCATGTGGGAACTCCTCACAGAGGATGGCCACCGAGGTGCTGATGCCTTGGAAAACTGACACAGTGAAGGAAGCACCGATGGCCAGGCCATCGATGAAATTATGGAGGCCGTCGCTCAGAGTGATCATCCAGGCCAGAGTGCCGATATCAGAGTAGCGGACACCTTTCAGCCAGTAGCAAGCACTCTGGGAAGCCTGCAGGTCCTAGGAGAAAGCACACCCCCAGGGCCCACAGCGTCAAAGGCTGGACCATGTGCCCTCAAGGTAAGCCTGAGTCAACCTCTTAGAGGCTCCACCAAGCAGCTGGTGGCCCACTGACCTGCACAGAGAGCGAGCCCACAATGACCTTCTCGTCCACCATGGGCGCCTTGCCGTCCAGCTCACTGCTGCAGTGCTGAGGAATCATGTGGTCCAGGTCCCCGTTCTGCAGCTTCTCCATCACCCCCTCCTCCTGGTCCTTCTTGGAGGGAAGCGACTCAGAGGCATAATGGCTGTGTCCATGATGATGCTGGAAGGGTGACAGGGAGGGATCAGCATGACATTCACCAAAACCACAAACCTGATTGAGCACCTGCTCCAAGGAAGTGCTTCACACACTGGAAGACCTCAGCCTTACCATCGAAGATGACACAAGCAGGTCACGTGCCCAGAAACATAGCAAAAGCTATTATATAAAGCCATGGTCGGGCACGGTGGCTCACACCTGTAATCCCAGCACTGTGGGAGGCCGAGGTGGGAGGACTGCTTGAGCTGAGAAGTTTGAGAGCAGCCTGGGCAACGAAGCGAGACCCCGTTTCTAATATCTATATATATAAATCTGCACCAAGTGCGAAGGACCTGGTGTCAGACAGATATCAAAGCTGTCTCCTCGGGGTACATGCTTATTCCACCAAGGCAGCCACTGCTCAAATATTTAGAGCTCCTCTTTTGCAATGGCTAATCTCACTCAATTCAGCAGCTATTTAGGGAATAACTGCATGCCAGCCACTAAAGATATCTTTTTGAAACTGTACTATAATAGTCCTGTTTCTCTGCAGCCTCATACTTCATACAGAATGAATGCATGGTATCAAGCTCTTCTCCCCATCCTGTAAAGATACAAATATATTAAGGAAATAATCTTAGAACAAAACAAAGGGGATAAACTACTGCTTAGTAGAAGGCACCCTGGCCAGATCTAGTTTCTGGTCTGGCCTCACTTCTGGCCAAATATCCTCAGGAGGTGAAATGGGATTGTCTCCTCAAGAAATTAGAGTTTCACGGAAATTGTGATATTGGGCTAAGACCATCACCACCACCACCACAATACATCAACATTGTTTGAGATGGGTGTTTTCCCTAGAAGAGCTTTCTTCAGCAACAATTGGGCCTCACCTCATTTTTCTGCTTAAGAAGAATCTTCAAGATCTTCTCTGTGAAAAAGAAAAGATAAAAGCCCCCAAACACCACTGCAGACTTGGAGACATAATAATCTTCCAGAGGGTTGAAACCAAATGCCTGTGGACCCAGGAAAAGAAAATGAGTTTTAAAGAAAATAAAGCATCTTTACTGATCCCCCTCTTATCTCTTAACTACTTCCTTGACTCTAGGAAAGGAGAGAGGCATAATGGAGTAACTCTGCCGTCTACCCATCCTCTTTCCAGCAAAAATCTAGTCCTTGGTGTTTCCCTGATGTGACATCACTAAACCTGCCAGGTTCTTCTCAAGCTTATTTGCTGATGCAAAAGACTGATCATCTGTAGAATTTTAATCCCAGAAAGAAAAACCTCCGATATGGTTTTCCACTTTTGATTTATCTTGGTGCTTTGCTATGAAGGCATTCTCTGCCAATAGATTTCATATTGAAGGAGCAGACACTTGTATTTATTTTCATCTTATCTAGTGTTCCTGGCTGACCTGCCTGTAAACACAAAGGGAGATGGTGTAATTATACTTTCTAAAACGGGAAACCCATTTCCCAGTTAAGTAATAAGAACTGCAGCGTTTTCCTAACCGCAGACCTCCCAGTGACCACAGAACCAAGAAAGTGGACTGTGTTATTGCGAGCGTCAATTTTTGGGTTTTGTTTTGAGTCCTTTCTGAAACTGTCACTTATCAAAGAGGGAGGGGAGAATCCACTGGGAAGAGGACAGGAGTAGAAATCAAGAGAATTCTGTCCTAGGGTAAGCTCCTGATTTATGGTGGGTTCTTGTGAATGTGTCTAATGACCTGGCCGGGCACGGTGGCTCATGCACTTTAAAGGACCGAGGTGGGTGGATCACTTGAGGCCAGGAGTTTTGAGACCAGCCTGGCCAACATGGCGAAACCCCAACTCTACTAAAAAAAAAAATACAAAAATTAGCTGGGCCTGGTGGCACACCTGTAATCCCAGCTACTCGGGAGTGTGAGGCAGGAGAATGGCTTGAACCCAGGAGGCAGAGATTGCAGTGAGCCGAGATGGCACCACTGCACTCCAGTCTGGGTGACAGAGTGAGACTGTCTCAAAAACAAACAAAAAAAAGTATCTAACGACTTGCTCCTATTTTATTCTTAAATTTTTTTGTGGGTACATAGGAAGTATATATATTTACCGGGTTGTTCCTCCATTTTCTGATGGGAAACGGGCCTTGAATAAACTTCAGCCCTCTCATGAATTGGTCCAAAATAAAAGTTGATCCCAACTTCAAGGAACTCTGGGCTGTTTGTTGCCTTTATGTTTTAAACAGGCCAAATTGAATCACCACCCTCCAGGGAAACAACACTTTCATGTTGACTTTCCAGGGGAGTCGAATCATCTTGGGGGAAAAGTGAAGTGAAAATAGGCAACGAACACTTCTCTGCAAAAAGCCACAAAGGATGGTGAATACAGAATCATGGGGTTGAGCTTCAGAAATCCCAAAAGCTGGGTTCTCGACTCAGGGATATGCGCTCTTGTGCAGGTCAGATTCCAACGTGGTAAAACGTTACTTGTTCTATCGATGCCATGGAGTTAACCTAAGGATCCACTAGGAGGGAGCCAACTGACATTTCAGAAAACACCAAGTGTTGTAAGAGGCGCATGCAGTCATCTCTGCTTCAACTGCGGCTCTGTCCAGGCCTGCGAGACCACCCACAGGGAGACGTCCTGTGCTTATTGTAATTAATGGGTCTGCTGAGGGGATTACACCAAATTAGATGAACCATCAGCTCCTTCTTTTGTGGCAAGTTTTCTCATGAACTTATTAGGCAAAGGTACCATCAAGGTATATAAAACCAGACATTGTTTGACTTGCATTGCCTTTGCCCCAAAACTCCCTATGGACAATCTTTTTACTGAGAACTGTGGGTTCTGATGATGTGGGAGTTTGTTTGTTTGTTTTGAGACGGAGTCTCACTCCCGTCACCCAGGCTGGAGTGCAGTGGTGCAATCTCGGCTCACTGCAGCCTCCATCTCCTGGGTTCAAGTGATTCTTGTGCCTCCCGAATAGCTGGGATTACAGGCGTGCGCTACCACGTCTGGCTAATTTTTGTGTTTTTAGTATAGACGGGGTTTCACCATGTTGGCCAGGCTGGTCTTGAACTCCTGACTTCAAACGATCCACCTGCCTCAGCCTCCCAAAGTGCTGGGAATATAGGTGTGAGCCACTGCACCCGGCTGATGATGTTTTTTAAACTTCTCTGCACCCAAAGCCTTAATCTGAGCACCACAACTAAGCCAGAGTGAGCTCGCTACACTGCATCTTTTCACCCCACATCAGACAGCACTTTCCGCACCAGGCACTCAGTGCTGCAGCAGACTCGCTCGTTCCACCCTCACAACATCATCCTGAGGCCGGTCTATTGCTCTCCCCATTTCACATCTGAAGAAACAGAGGCAGTGTGAGGTCAGTGGTGTGCCTGGGGTTACGGAACCTACTGATAGCAGAGCTGAGATTTGAACCCAGCTCTTCAGCCTATGCTGGGCTGCCTCTCCTAGTTCACGCCTAAGTTCTAGCTTCGCTTTCCAAAAGGAAAGGGCCTCCAGGTGCCCTCTCTATGCCTTCTATCCAAACGGAGGTCCTCCCACTGTGCCCGCCGGCATGCTCCGGGGTGAAGGCCCTGGCTTGCCATACCTCCGGGATGAGCTGGAAGAGGGCGTTGGAGTAGAGGGTTCCAATCGCCAGAGCTATGAAGTAGAGCAGCAGCCTCTTGTAAAAGGTCTTCTTCATGAAGGGCACCACGCTGGCCCCCAGGAGGGAGCAGAGGGAGATGACGGTCACACAGAGGAGACCGTATCCCCACACTGCCGTGCGGAGGGAGGGCCAGCCCCACCCAGGGCAGGGAGAGAAGGCACATGCCCCATTGCACAGCAACCACCATTTAGCGGGAGGAAGGTGGAGCAGATAGGGAGGTCGCAAGGAAAAGTTTGGTGGATATTAACGGAACAAAAAAGAAAAATCAGAGAGAGACAAGTAGGGAGGGAGAGAGAAATAGAAAATTTGTTAGTGATTCACATCTGATGAAATTTCCTTCAATCAGTTCAGAAGAAAGAGGAATTCAAGGTGGCCTTGGAACCCTGTGACTTCTGCCCCTGTGGCCACTGGTGGCCCCAAATCGTTCCTGCCAGTGGTGTGACTGGCAGGGCAGGGTGCTGCCTCGTCACACACCCAAGGTCTGCCCAGACCTATCACAGAGGCTGTCCAGGACAGACTTTGGACTCGAGGGCTCTCTTTATAGGACATGCAAGCAGGTGGAAAGAGGCTGATCACTCTGCTGCTGCGTTTGCTTTTGCATGTCCAATTCACACGGCGCAGGCTCGGGTGACACCACGACCACTTGGTTTGCTTTGTGCAAGACACAACCAAGCCAGATGTGCAGGGCAGAAGGGATGGAGAACGATTAATTCATGCCCAATGCCCATAAAATTCAGTGTCTTAACCTCTCAACTTCTTTGCTCATTTCCATGTGCTCTGAGAGGGGCTCAAGCACAAAGAACAGAGTTCCAGGAACACCCTGTCACAAAAATATTTCCTTGAACATTTCCCAGTTGTGACACTCTGTCCAGGCCCAAAAGAGGGCAAGACAGAACCAGACCAGGATGAGACACTCCCTGGCAGGCCACAGGGGTGGAGCACACACAATTACAGTATTTCCATTCCAGGAGGTCACAAGGCCTTTCATTTCAAATCTTTAAAAAATTAATATATTCCATTGCTGGAGCTGAAAAAATAGCCCAAGTTGAGGCCTCCCCTGCAAAGTGTTTGTCAGAGCCATGCAGAATTTTGAGATGGCACCAAGATGGTTCACATTCAACCAGGAAGAACAGGCAAGGCATGGCATCCCATCTGCTGTCTTTTCTGGGTGAGTCTTTTGACTGGGAAAGCCTGAGAAGCAGCTGACATGGGATCTTTGTGAAGGGCAGCATCCATGACTCCCTAATGGGGTCAACCACACGTCTGCGTATCCTCACCCTCCACAGCAGCATCCCTGCTTGAGCTAAAAAAGTGGGCAGACTGTCAACTTGGGCCTTATTTTTATAGCTCCTCTATGATAACAATTAAACAACAAAATTAACATTTCAAAACAGTCAAGTCAAGGTACCAGGAAGTCAGTCCTATCAGAAAAAAGTCAAGATGCAAGGTACAAAGGGCTGAGTGCCCCTTCCATTTATCTTGTCATTTTAATTTTGTTTGGTCTTAGTCTTTGTTCTGTGTTTGGCTCTCTATGCTAGAAACGATGGCCTGCTCAAAATTAAAGAACACTCGCTTTTTAGGCCAATTCTACATATCACTTGGTAACCTCTTTTCCTTCCATCTCATTCCAGATGGATAAGCTCTTGGTGCCCAGACCTGAGTACTGCCAGGATTTCTCCTTAGAATAGAGCAAGTACTTAGCACCAAAGGCATGGACGGCAGTCGATAGCTGCTGCTTTCCCTTGATGCCTTATGTATGGGGCTTAACAAGGGAGGGGAGACTGTCAAGTCCCCAGGAGGAGGGAAATTGGAAGAACCTTGCATCTGACAGCACCTGCAGAGGCCAGAGGAGTGAGAGGTGGGCCCTGAGATCCAGAGTTAGAAGTCGTTTGTGGCTTTGATACGAGGGACAGGTTCATTTCTCAGGTGGCAGTCATTGGGTGCCTTGGAGCCCAGGGTAGGGGAGGAGGGGATTGGCTCAGCTGTGCCGCCCCAGGGAAAGAGGACGCGCAAGTTTCTGTTCTACTGCACCTCTGGGATGAGCTGGAATAGCGCGTTAGACAGCAGCGTTCCAATGGACAGGGCGATGAAGTAAGTGAGCACACGGCTGAAAAACGCTTTCTCTGTGCAGGGCAGGACGAGGACTCCCAGGAGAGAGGCCAGGTTAATCAGTGAGACACTGAGAAAACCAAAGCCCCACACTGTGGAGGAACAAGAACAGACGAGGGCCTCTATTACTGAGGGTGGGGACACTCCTGCTGCCTGGGGCGGCCCTGTTCTGAATTCAGGTGTGATGGGGCAGACTGAGATCCACCAACCCATCAGTAAACATTTGCTGAGTCCATCTCTCACCAGATGCTGCGGAGAAGCCTAGGGAAACTATCAAAATTGCTATCCAAGAGAAACACCTTTTCCATGGAGAGACGGATGCAAACAGCAATGGAAGCCTAAAAACCATACAAGTAGGCCAGGTGCGGTGGCGCAAGCCTATAATCCCAGCACTTTGGGAGGCTGAGGAAGGTGGATCACCTGAGGTCAGGAGTTCGAGACCGGCCTGACTAACATGGTGAAACCCCATCTCTACTAAATACAAAAAATTAGCTGGGCGTGGTGGCGCGTGCCTGAAATCCCAGCTACTCAGGAGGCTGAGGCAGGAGAATCGCTTGAACCCAGGAGGCGGAGGTTGCAGTGAGCCGAGATTGCACCACCGCACTTCAGCCTGGGCAACAAGAGCGAAAGTCTGTCTCAAAACAAACAAACAAAAAAAACAAAAAAAGCCATACAAGTAAATAACGACAGCAGAAAACAGGGACTTGCAGTAACACAGACAGTATATTCCGGGTGCCGACACTCAGGCAGCACACGCCGGCCCTATGGGGCTTAGGGCTATCAGGGTGTACACTCACAGCTCGTGGCAAGCCCACTGTGGCTGGATCAGGGATACCGGGATAGGGAGGGGAAGAAGGATTCAGGGGCCAAGTGCAGCCTCCGGGAGGTCTTAAAGGAAAAACTATAAAACCAAAGTAGGCCAGGTATGGTGGCTCATGCCTGTGATCCCAGCACTTTGGGAGGCCGAGGCAGGAGGATCACTTGAGCCCAGGAGTTTGAGACCAGCCTGGGTAACATAGTGAGACCGTGTCTCTACAAAAAATTTAAAAATTAGCTGGGCATGGCGGTGCACGCCTGTAGTCCCAGCTACTCAGGAGGCTGAGGCAGGAGGGTCACTTCAGGCCAAAAGGTCAAGGCTGCAGTGAGCTATGATTGCACCACTGGACTCCAGCCTCGGAGACAGAGCGACATCCTATCTCAGAAAAAAAAAAAAAAAAGATTAAAAAAGCCAAAGGGTTGGGCCCCCGTGGTTCAACATGAAACAAAAAGCAGACCAAAAAGGGATCCATAGGCCGCTCAAGAAGTCCAACGCTCTGAACATTCGCCAGCTACGGCCCAGGAGTCTGACAATGTGCTAGGCCATCCTTGCAAAATACAAAAATTATCCATCCAATCATCGCTCCCGCTCCTGACACCGACAACCTCATCCTGGTCATCACTGGTGAGGCATTCAGTGAGGAGCAGCAGCAGCTCAGCCCAGGGGTCCTTGTGAGACGCGGGCGAGATGGGAGATGGGCTCCTGCCTTCCTGGCCTGGCTCACCTTCAACAGCGCTTGGCCGCCCCTCCTCCGTCTGCTCATTCTCCTCGTTTTCCTGGTTCTCCGAGGTGCAGGCCCGGGAATCCAGCTGCTGGAGGATGGTGGGGCAGAACTCCTGGAGCTCGCTGCTCCCAATCCGCGACTGCTCGCTGAAATTGTGGGCAGTGAAGAGGTCTCCAGAACTAAAGCACTGAAACACAGGAAGGGCAGGAAGCCGCTTAGACCCCAAAGGTCAGGCCTTGCCCTGCTAAACAGCAACCTACTCAGCCTTCCCAGAGGAAAAAGAGAAGACAGAAATGTCCAAATTTCAGGGAATTTGTAGATTCATCTAGTCTAGGGATGAGGGCAAGGTATTCCCTAAACTTAAAAAACTAGTAACTAATCCTTATGGCTCAGCCAGCCAGGAAAGTTACACATCATAAGCACAACCGTCGGTAAATGAGTGCCTGAGAAACTTTGGGAATGACAAGATTCCAATCATTGTCACCAAAGTGGCAGGGCACGGTGGCTAACACTGTAATCCCAGCACTTTGGAAGGCCAAGGCAGGCGGATCACTTGAGGACAGAAATTGGAGACCAGCCTGGGCAACATGAGACCCCTTCTTTACAAAAAGTTGAAAAATTAGTGAGGTGTGGCGGCACATACCTGTACTCTCAACTACTGAGGAGGCTGAGGCAGGGGGACTGCTAGAGCCCAGGAGTTGGAGGCTACAGTGAAGGAGCTATGATCACACCACTGCACTCCAGCCTGGGTGACAGAGCAACACCCTGTCTCTTAAAAAAAAAAAAAAAGCAAAATATTGTCACTAGGGTATAGTTTCTAGAAAACACCATTCTGGGGCCAGGTGCGGTGGCTCTCGCCTGTAATCCCAGCACTTTGGGAGACTCAGATGGGCAGATCACTTGAGGTCAGGAGTTCAAAACCAGCCTGGCCAACATGTTGAAGCCCCATCTCTACTAAAAATACAAAAATTAGCCGGGCGTGGTAGCTCACGCCTGTAATCCCAGCTACTCGGGAGGCTGAGGCAGGAGAATCACCTGAACCCAGGAGGTGGAGGTTGCAGCGAGCCGAGATCGCGCCACTGCACTCCAGCCTGGGCAACAGAACGAGACTCCATCCCCCACAAAACAAAAGAGAAAGAAAACACCATTCTGTGTGTGTGCCTGAAGATACAAGCTTCGTACCAAATCTGGCTGCACATCACAATAGCCCAGGGAGCTATTATGTTAAAATGCGGGTTCCAGCTACTTCTCTGAAGCTGAAATGTCTAAGGGCGGGGCTCTGCCAAAACTGTGGTGCTGCCCGATCAGCCCCACACATCCTCAACCATAGGACTGCCCTCAGCCTGAAAGACATATGTGTTCACAGAGGTTAGGGGAGGAAAACCTGAAGATTCAGGGAAGTGGGCCATGGCCGGCCAGCAGCCACCACACACAGTCACCTTGGGAGGCAGCAGGTAAGCGCTTCTCACGAACCGTTCCTGTGAAATCTGCAGCTCCACTTCTAATTATACTGTCTACACCTACATGCCAGGCCTTTTCTGAGTTCGGTCTCACATGGGCTTATCTCTGAGAGTCAGCCCTCTTGGTGTGCTCCCAAAATAAGTGCCTGCGCTTCTAAGGCTGGGGGCTGGACTCCCGCCACCCCGAGATGCTGCTGCTATCCTGGCGGGTCCTGAGGCTCACGCAGCTGCATTACCCCGCGGGGGCACGGGGGCGTGCTTGTCTCTGGCTCAGCATCTGATGTGCTCAGGTGTTCGCATCCAAGCCACGTGGTTCCCCCGTCCCTTTTTTTAATTTTTATTTTTTGAGATGGAGTCTCGCTCTGTCGCCAGGCTGGAATGCAGTGGCATAATCTCCGCTCACTGCGACCTCTGCCTCCTGGGCTCAAGCAATTCTCCTGCCTCAGCCTCCCAAGTAGCTGGGACTACAGGTATCTCCCGCCATACCCAGATAATTTTTGTATTTTTAGCAGAGACGGAGTTTCACCGTGTTAGCCAGGATGGTCTCGATCTCCTGACCTCGTGATCCACCTGCCTCAGCCTCCCAAAGTGCTGGGGTTACAGGCGTCAGCCACCGCGCCCGGCCCCGCTCCTCCCCCCCAACTTTTGAGGCCTCCACCTCCTGGGTTCAAGTGATTCTCTCACCTCAGCCTCCGGAGTAGCTGGGATTAGAGGCACCCACCACCACACCGAGCTAATTTTTGTATTTTTAGTAGAGATGGGGTTTCACTGTGTTGGCCAGGCTAGTCTCAAACTCCTGATCTCAAGTGATCTGCCTGCCTAGGCCTCCCAAAGTGCTGGGATTACAGGCGTGAGCCACAGTGCCCAGCACCCCCGTCCATTTTATCTCCACACTGCACTCATCTTTCAAGGGGCAGCTGGAGGACACCCCACGCTCGAGCCTTCCCTGATGACTGCAGCACACTCATCTCCCCCTCTCATTTCTGCATCCTACAATTACTGTCCAACCCACAAAATGCAATGCTTCATTTCAGTGCCTGCTGACTTTGTCCTCTGTTGGTTGAACTCCCCATCGTGACAGTCAACTCCCTAAATATGACTCATTTTTCTCTATTTCTCACAACACCAGCACAGGGAACAAAGTCGATATATAAAGATTTTGCTGGCTGACTTATATTTGGCTGCCACAAATAGCCCCAGAGTCTGATTAGCAGAGATGATATGGAAGAAAGAACACAGAATCCAAAGACCTGGCGTTCCAGCCCTGGTCTCTGCAGGGACTCACTGCGGGACCCTCGGTGTCCTCTCCTATAAAATGCAGATAATCTCACCTGCACCTTGAGGGACTGTGGGCTCACCCGGGATAGTGTGTAATGGACTCTGTCAATGGTAAACTCTATGAGAAATACCGTCCTGGGAGCCGTGTTTTCTCAGTATTTCTGAGTGACTCAAGTGCGGCGCTGAGGAAGATTCTGGGGGGCTGAGAACCCCACTTCCAGGCTGCCTTTTATTTTGTTTTGTTTTGAGACAGATTCTCGCTCTGTTGCCCAGGCTGGAGTGCAATGGCTCGATCTTGGCTCACTGCAACCTCCACCTCCTGGGTTCAAGCGATTCTCTTGCCTCAGCCTCCCAAGTGGCTGGGATCACAGGCATCCGCCACCATGCCTGGCTAATTCTTGTATTTCTAGTAGAGTTGGGGTTTCACCATGTTGGCCAGGCTGATCTCGAACCCCTGACCTCAGATAATCCACCCGCCTTGGCCTCCCAAAGTGCTGGGATTACAGGCGTGAGCCACTGTGCCCAGCCCCAGGCTGCCTTTTGTTAAGGGCTTCAGAACACCTATGCAGGGGGTCAGAAGGTGCTGCAGAAGACTCAGAATTTGCTGATTCAGACAATGAGAGAGAAAGAATCAGCCTGTCCACTCTATCATCGAGACTTGTCTGCCTCATCCTACCTCTGCCAAGCTGCCAGGCTGCCCTGGGCCCAACTAGACAGGGAACCCTGAGAGGCCAGAGACGGGGCTGAGCAGAGCTGCTGGCTCACAGGGGAGCCTTACCGTGGAGAGGTTCCTGTGTCCTTGCACGTGCTGGGTGACATTACCCCGGCCCACTCCCACATCCAGGTGGTTGAGTAGGGCCTTCAGCTGCTGCAGAGTGAGGCTGTCACCCTCGCCATACCGATGTATTAGATCCTGCAGGAAGGAGGCAGCGCTGATAGCTGGTGCACCCAGGGATGAAGCGTGAGCCTCAGGGGTGGTTCTCCATAAGCCAAGCAGGGTCAGCAGGAGGCAGCTCTGGAAGGCCGGGTGCAGCAGCAGCAGCTTCATGGTGACTGAATAAACCTGTGAGAGAAAAAGGCAGGTGAAGCTGAGGCCTCTCCCTGTGTGCCGGCAACTGCGCCAGGCCCGCCCGCCACACACTGAACATGTTGAGACTATCCCTCAGTCTCTGCTTCTCTGCTCCTTCTTGAATTAGCCTTTGAGAAAAACCCTTCTTTTGAAAGCACAGAATAAAAACGAATAAAAAGGACAAATTCAACAGTTTTGACTAGATTGAAAAATGAAAAAAAAAAAAACAAACAGCAATGCGGTTATGATTTTTTTTTTTTTTTGAGACGGGAGATTCACTCGTTGCCCAGGCTGGAGTGCAGTGGCGCAATCTCAGCTCACTGCAACCTCCGCCTCCTGGGTTCAAGTGATTCTCCTGCCTCAGGCCTCCCAAGTAGCTGGTATTACAGGGGCCCGCCACCACACCCAACTAATTTTTTTCTATATTTAGTAGAGATCGGGTTTCATCATGTTGGCCAGGCTGGTCTCGAACTCGTGACCTCAGGTGATCCACCCACCTCGGCCCCCCAAAGTGCTGGAATTACAGGCGTGAGCCACTGCACCCGGCCAGTTATGATTTTTTAGAAGTCGTTTTAGAGGTACTGAAATAACCATGGATTTGACATCTTATATCTGGGGACTGCTTCAAAATAATAAAGGAGGGGGTATGAGCACACGGGTGTGGATGAGACATGATCAGGCATGAGCTGATATTCACTGGAACTAAGTGACAGGTAGATAGGAATTCATCAGACTCTCTGTCTAGTTTTTGTTTGTTTGTTTGTTTGTTTGTTTTTGAGACAGTCTTTCTGTCTCCCAGGCTAAAGTGCAGTGGCACGATCTCGGCTCACTGCAACCTCCACCTCCCAGGTTCACGCAATTCTCCTGCCTCAGCCTCCTGAGGAGCTGGGATTACAGGCATTTGCCATCACGCCTGGCTAATTTTTGTATTTTTAGTAGAGATGGGGTTTCACCATATTTGCCCGCTCGTCTCAAACTCCTGGGCTCAAGTGATCCACCCACCTCGGCCTCCCAAACTGCTGGGATTATAGGCATGAGCCACTGTGCCCGGCCCTGTCTACTTATATATGTTTGAAATGCTCTGAAATAAAGCTATTAAAAAATAAACATCGGCCGGGCACTGTGGCTCATGCCTGTAATCCCAGCACTTTGGGAGGCTGAGGTGGGTGGATCACAAGGTCAGGAGTTCGAGACCAGCTGAGCCAACATGGTAAAATCCCATCTCTACTAAAAATACAAAAAATTAGCCAGGCATGGTGGTGCACGTCTGTAATCCCAGCTATTCAGGAGGCTGAGGCAGGAGAATCGCTTGAACCTGGGAGGCAGAGGTTGCAGTGAGCCAAGATCGCGCCATTGCACTCCAGCCTGGGCGACACAGCAAGACTCCGTCTCAAAATAAATAAATAAATAAATAGGCCGGGCGCAGTGGCTCATGCCTGTAATCCCAGCACTTTGGGAGGCCAAGGCAGGCAGGTCACGAGGTCAGGAGATCGAGACCATCCTGGCTAACACAGTGAAACCCCATCTCTACTAAAAATAGAAAAAATTAGCCGGGTGTGGTGGCGGGCGCCTGTAGTCCCAGCTACTCGGGAGGCTAAGGCAGGAGAATGGCGTGAACCCTGCAGGCAGAGCCTGTGGTGAGCCAAGATTGTGCCACTGCACTCCAGCCTGGGCGGCAGAGCGAGACTCTGTCTCAATAAACAAACAAACAAACAAACAAACACCATAACTAAAAGAGAAAAATTACAGACTGGCAAAAATATATACCATTTGATATGACATAGGTTTATTTCTATACTGTACAAATTAGTAAACAAACATAAAAAACAGCCTCTCTATAGTATTGAGAATATAAATTTAAAACTTGGCTGGTTCCATTTTGCTACTTATTAAAATAGCAACATTTTTTTTTTTTTTTTTTGAAATGGAGTCTCACTCTATTGCCCAGGCTGGAGTGCAGTGGCGCCATCTCGGCTCACTGCTACCTCCACCTCCTGGGTTCAAGCAATTCTCCTGCCTCAGCCTCCCAAGTAGCTGGGATTATAGGCGCTGGCCACCATACCCGGCTAATTTTGTATTTTTAGTAGAGACAGGGTTTTACCATGTTGGTCAGGCTGTTCTCGAACTGCTGACCTCAGATGATCCTCCTGCCTCGGGCTCCCCAAGTGTTGGGATTGTAGGCGTATGCCACCGTGCCCGGCCAGAATTTTTTAAGATAAAACATTTCATGTTAGTGAGGCTAAGCAATAGAATAAGATACCATTGACTGCATAAATAATGGGACTCTTTCTTTTTTTTTCTTTTTGAGACGGAGTCTTGCTCTGTCGCCCAGGCTGGAGTGCAGTGGCCAGATCTTGGCTCACTGCAAGCTCCGCCTCCTGGGTTCACACCATTCTCCCACCTCAGCCTCCCAAGTAGCTGGGACTACAGGCACCTGCCACCACGCCCGGCTAATTTTGTTTTTGTATTTTTAGTAGAGACGGGGTTTCACTGTGTTAGCCAGGATGGTCTCAATCTCCTGACCTCGTGACCCACACGCCTCCGCCTCCCAAAGTGCTGGGATTACAGGCGTGAGCTACTGCGCCCAGCCTATAATGGGACTCTTGAAAAGTTATGTGATAAGGAAAATATATAAATCCCTCAATTAACAATTAATAATTAATTAATTTGCTTTAATAGAAGTAATCCAAAAGTAAAAAGGCTATATGCAGAAAGATGTGTTATGGGTCAAGTAAATCATATCAGTTTCATGGAATAGTATGCAGCTATAAATGAGTCATGGCATAACGGCAAGTTAAAAAGCAGGGCAATTATGTGGCAGAGTTTAGAACTGAGAAAGAACACAGACAAATGAGGCCGGGCACAGTGGCTCACGCCTGTAATCCCAGCGCTTCGGGAGACCAAGGCCAGCAGATCACTTGAGCTCAGGAGTTCGAGACCAGCCTGGCCAACACGGTGAAACCCCGTCTGTAGTAAAAATACAAAAATTAGCCAGGCACACACAATCCCAGCTACTCGGGAGGATGAGGCAGGAGAGTCACTTGAACCCAGGAGGTGGAGCTTGCAGTGAGCCGAGATAGTGCCACTGCACTCCAGCCTGGGGGACAGAGCAAGATTCCATCTCAAAAAAAAAAAAAAAAAAAAAAGAAAGAGAAGAGAAAGAGAAAGACAGAAAGAAAGAACACAGATAAATGAAAGCTTAAAGTAAGATTGATGACGATTTTTCTTTTGTTAACCACCTCCCTTAGTATGGTTATAATTTAATTAGTGATCTAAACAAATTATCCAGAGGGGAAAATGAGTCTCCTTTCTCCAGACCAAGAAGCAGCCAATCACTGCAGCCATTTCTTACCCAGGCACCCAGGGCTCGGACACTAATCTCAGTGCATCACATGCCCTGAGGCTTTGCTTACGACAGAGGAACAGCGGCAGAGTGGCTGAGAGCAGGCTTGCCTGAATCCTGGCTCTGCCACTTACCAGCAATGTGATCTTGGATGAATTATTTAACTGGAGTCAACATTCTAGAATCACTCAAAGCAGCGACGCAGCTTATCATGGCCTTCAGTGTCAGACAAACCTACCTTGAATTTCTGCACAGCTGCTTGTAAGTAACTACAGACAAGCAACCCAGTCTCCCTCTACCTTCAGTTTTCTCATCTATAAAATTGGTATCCACCTCATTAGATTACTTTGAGGATCTAACAGCATAAGATATGGCAAGGCCCTTGCCAAGTACCTGAACCATATAGAAAGCACTCAATAAAATTTAGCTATAATAATTATAAGACTTATAAATCAGCAGGGTTCCCAACTCTGACTCTCTCAACCCAAACATCAGGCTGCTAATGAAACTGTCAGGCATATCCTGTGGCCAACTAAAGTATCTTAACTACAGGCCCTGGGGCACACACATCACTTAAGTCCCCTACTGTGATACACCCAGGGACATCACATGCTTTAGGATCCACGTATGGGGCACGCACAGAATCTGGGGACATAAAATATCACTCTTCAGTGGAATATATACTTTTGAGTCCACATGGATGGATTCGGCATCAGCCACAACGACGGTTTGTAAAAGTGCTACTTTGAGATTCACAACTCTCAAATCTCCACCAAGAGACAAATGTTAAATTTTGGCGAGCAGGGTGGATCTTAGGCAAAAATGACTAAAAACCTGTTGTACAAAGAAAGTGGTTATCCATCAGAGCAGACTGTGAACTGTCGATGGCAGGAGTTGTACTGTCAAAACAAGGGGGAGGTCTGCCTGTATTTAGAAAAGAAAAGGCAAAGAGATGATGGACAGCAGCTAGCATTTACCGATTGCAGACCTTGCTAAGCACTTGGCATTCCCCAGTTCCTTTAACAGAAGCTGGGAAACTTACTCCACGTAACAGACAAGGACACTGGGGTTCAGCGATTAGGAAACATGACCCACAGAAGCAAGCAGCAAAGCCAGAAGCTGAATTGCTTTGTAAATCAAAGCCTGGTCTGAATGACGTTAAATTCAGTGCTTTCTTAACCACCATGCCCTCTGCACAAAGACATAAAAATACATGTCCTGGAACCCACGGAGATCCACAAAGTCCTGCGTGTCTCTGTGCAGATCTTTCCCGATGTCTAACAGCCCCAACAAGCATCCAAATCTTGGCTTACAATGCTCTGCAGTGCTATGAGGGGACGGCCCTAGGTAGCCTTTAGAGGACACACTGTCACAGTGCTCGTGCTCTGGGGCTACTTCAACAAGATAAACCAACAGATGTTCCCCCCTCAGCTGCATTTCTCAAACTTAACCGCTGTAACTTCAAACCACTGAGCAAACAAACCCCAAAAGACTTCAGGTGTGGGAAACTCAGGGTGATTTTAGCAGCTTTGCCTGGCTGGCACTCACCTAGAGGTGAGCATCTACGAAGCATTTACTTTTCCCAGACCCAGCGGCCCCTCGGCCCCTCAGGTGGCTGCTATGACAGCCTGGAGTGCTAGGCAAGAGGCACCTTCAAGTTGTACCATCAGAAGAATGAGCCCACAGGACCACCTTCGCTTCTCCCAGGTGACCTTTTCTCCCCTGCAGCACAGCTGCTCTTTCCTCCAGGACGTGTGCTGCACTGGGCACTGACGCCCACAAGACAGCATCCAGGCTCAGGTCTAGACCTGTCTCCATGGGGTGTGCAGATTCAGCGAGCACAGCCCCCCTGCCTGGCCAGCGCTTGAGACATGCACTCACCCGCAAGGGTTGGGGAGGATCTAGGAGCTGCGAGTGACACTTAAGTCCAAGTGACCCCGGCCTTTTGGCAGGCATGAAAGGGGAGTTTTCTGCTCCAGTGGAGTCTTGTCTTCTTTTTAACTACAAGTTATTCTTAGCGGGGAAAAGGTTTGTAAAAGGTATTAGAGAGGAAAGAAAGAAGAGGGAAACACACACAGCTGTTGACGCCGCTGGGACGGGGAGGCCGGGCAGGGGTCCGCGCGCATGGCCCCAGCTGCAGGAGGAAGCCCCACGCCAGGTTCCATTCCATGTGTGGCCCCTGGAGAGCCACTCCAGTCCCCCCAGGGTGTCAGGCCAGCTGCCCTCAAGTAAGGATGGACACCTTTCAGGGGCAGAAAGACAAGTGGGAAGGAGACAAAACGAAGTGTGCTGTGGCTTGGGAGCGCCCCCAGGCCAGCTCTTCCTGCTGGAGAGGGGCTGGAGTCTCTCTGCCTGAGGGTGCACTTGCCTCAGGGTCAAATAAGTAAAATTATTTTAGTGCCCTCCTTCTGTGTCTAAGGCGCCAGACCCAACCCTTGGGGAGGTGGGAGGGAGACATAGGAAAAAGCAAGACACCTGTTCTGGAACCCTCTATGGAAGCGCAGAAGTTGCCTTACCATCCAGAGGCCCATAATTGGAATTCCACCTACCGTCACCCTTCACTTGGTCCAGAAGTAGCTCTGCCTAGAAGCGGCACTTCTGTCCTGCACAGACGCTTCTGTGATGTTCAGCATGCTGCACTTTTTTCTAAGCCCACCTCCCCTCTCAGAGAGGAGCAAACATTCACTTCTGTGACGCTGGGTCTAGAGGTTGGGCATAGATATGAGAACAGGCAACAGAAACCAACAAGGCCTCAGAGCAGCCGGGCATCCACTTGTCCCCTCCCTTTCCTGACAACCCCCCACCGCACCCCGACTCTGCTGGCCAGGGAACTCACCACTCCCACTCTCAGATTCTGGGCGCAGAAACACAACATGAAAACTAAGCTCAAATGCTCCAGAGACAAACTTGCCCAACTCAGACGATTTCCGACGCCAAGAAGCTGTGTGTCTGCCCCCCGACCCCTCGCGCCCACTGTGCCCCGCCAAGCACAGGCTGTGTGGGTGCACAGGACTTCGCCAGGGTGGGGCTCTTACGCGGGGTCAGAGTCAGCTGCAGGCTCTGGGGTGGCGGTCGGTTTGAAGACAGTCTAAACCGGGGTTTTATTAAGCATTTTACTTAAAATTATGAGAAGGCTGATGGTCTACACAAAGAAAGACCACAGGGTTGCAGGGGTGGGTGAGGGAGTGGAGGGGGCGGCCAAGTAGACGCCAGGCTGATAGAAATTATGTTCCCCAGAGCTCTTGGTTCCACCACTGACTGGCCTCAGTGAATCATCCTAAGACGTCCCCGCAGCTGTCTTCTCAAAGGACGTAAAATGAGCCGTCTGGTTCTCACATATTCCTCAGGGACAGAGAAAGGGGTCTCCGAGGGACCCATGATCCTGGCACATCACCCAGGCTTATGACCGTCCACAAGACAGTAACTACAAAGGTAGCTCCCACCACTCTCTTGGGGTTCTCTCCCAGGAAAACAGCTCATTTCTGCATCAGCCCTTCAAGCAGACTGCGCTTTCTCCACTCTTCCTTCCCTTTCCCACTCTAGGGCTGTGACCGCTGAGCCTGATAGAAATGTATCTCCAGCTAGCAGATAACCATGGCTCAAGGTTAGCTCTCTGTGAGTCACACAATAGCAAAAGGCCCTGGGTGAGCCAAGAGCCATCTGGAGCCCAGGCGTAGGGAAAAACCCTGACAAGTTGCAGACAAAGGACAAAGCCAGGCCTCAGGGTGGAAGGAGGAGGTCTTTCTTTTTTTTTTTTGGGACGGAGTCTCGCTCTTTCGCCCGCTCTTTCGCCCAGGCCGGAGTGCAGCGGCGCTATCTCGGCTCACTGCAAGCTCCGCCTCCCGGGTTCACGCCATTCTCCCGCCTCAGCCTCCCGAGTAGCTGGGACTACAGGCGCCCACCACCACGCCCAGCTAATTTTTTGCATTTTTAGTAGAGACCGGCTTTCACTGTGTTAGCCAGGATGGTCTCGATCTCCTGACCTCGTGATTTGCCCGCCTCGGCCTCCCAAAGTGCTGGGATTACAGGCGTGAGCCACCGCGCCCGGCCAGGAGGAGGTCTTAAGGAATAAAAAAAATCAAGGGCTACTTCTCTTGAGGACTGCGGGTGCTAGTGGCCTGGGAAGCGCTGCCTGGCAATGGAAGGGCCACGGACGTGAATCTGAAGCCCAATTTTCGGTAGGACCACAAGCAACATATTATTACAATGAACCCCTATCCGTAGTTTGAAAAGAAGAGAATAAACTTGCAGAGTTTAATGAGTATTATAAAAACAAGCATATTGAAACACTAAAGACTTAAGATGAAAAAATGAAATAGGAGTGTAATTTTCCTACACCTGATAATTAACAAAATGAGTAGAACTTTTAAAAGAAAAAAAAATTAACCAATGCAACCAAACAAGAAAACAGATCTAATCAGAGATATATTAACTTCAAAACCACAGGCAAGGAAAAAGGAAGGAGGCACCACGCATGGCTCATGTTCTATTCCTGGCCCAACCCTGACAAACCAAATGAATGACAAGGGCAGAACCAGAATTCTCACTCACATCCCCAAATGTGGCAAGAGGAAGTCTTTTTCCTCTTCAGTTGAGTAGTAGGAGGAAAAGCTACCGGGGAAGAGCAAAAAAAAAAACGGTGCACCTGGACCAAAAACAATGGGCTGACTCCCTTGGAAGGAAATAAGGGCTCCCGGGCCACATTCTGAATTGAGGACATGATCCAATTCCAAATTCCACTTAGTCTTCTCTCTCTCTCTCTCTCTCTCTCTCTCTCTCTCTCTCTCTCTCTCTCTCTCTCTCTCTCCCCCCCCTCTCTCTCTCTCTCTCTCTCTCTCTCTCTCCCTCTCTCTCTCTCTCTCTCTCTCTCTCTCTCTCTCTCTCTCTCTCTCCCCCCCCTCTCTCTCTCTCTCTCTCTCTCTCTCCCCCCCCCCTCTCTCTCTCTCTCTCTCTCTCTCTCTATTTATTTATTTATTTTTTAAGATGGAGTCTTGCTCTGTTGCCCAGGCTGGAGTGCAGTGGCGTGATCTCGGCTCACCGTAACCTCCGCCTCCCGGGTTCAAGCGATTCTCCTGCCTCGGCCTCCTGAGTAGCTGGAATTACATGCATGCACCACCACACTCAGCTAATTTTTGTATTTTTAGTAGAGACAGGGTTTCACCATGTTGGCTAAGCTGGTCTCAAACTCCTGACCTCAGGTGACACACCTGTCTCGGTCTCCCAAAGTGCTGGGATTACAGGCGGAAACCACTGTGCCTGGCCAAGTGTGCCTTCTCTTCTAACGGAAAAGGAATACAACTCCCAAGGAAGTGAGCAGAGCCACACTGCAGGGACTAAATCCCTGAATAGAGGACAGACCCACCTCACCACACAGCTAGCATTCCTTCAGGCTACAGAAAACAGGTCATAAATACCCAGTCCTTAGCACTCCTGGAGCTGAGAGGTGGGGACAAACCTGGAGAGGAAAGTTCCTTTCTTATTTTAGAGCCAACAGAACATGTGAGCAGAACTGCACTCACATGAGGAAGAGGAAAAGAAACGGCAGGCAAAGCAAGCCACAGACAGGTAAACCACAACTCCAGAGAAAGCTGTTCCTCACCACTGCTCCACACGGAGGAATAACCTCATTAAAACATCAGTTCCACGAGACGAGAGCTCAAAGATGAGATTATAACCAACGTGAGACCAAAAGAGGATGCAGGCTTACTAAAAAAGAGGAATAAAACCTCACTGAAGAACCAATACATTATGACAAATACAGAACAAAATTCTGCCAGTCATTTAACCCATTTAAGCCTGAGGTTGCAAGTTTTTGAATTTTTGCAATCAGACTTTGGCGATGACCTTGAGCAGGATATAAATTAACTCCTATATGCTTGGTGTTCAAAAAATGGAACACTAGGCATAAATGGCTCAAGGAAAGTTTGAGATAATCACAGTGAATGCAGATGGACAAGAAAACTTAAACCAAAAACAGTGAGAAGACAAAGAGACTAACAAAAGGATAACTCGTATTCCCGGAGAGGGGAACCCAAGAATGAAATGGAAGATGTGTTCTAAGATAAAACACAAGATTTTCCTGGCTGGGTGCAGTGGCTCACTTGAGGTCAGGAGTTCAAGACCAACCTGGTCAATATGGCGAAACCCCAACTCTACTAAAAATATAAAAATTAGTCAGGTGTGGTGGCGCACACCTGTAGTCTCAGCTACTCAGGAGGCTGGGGCAGGGGAATTGCTTGAACCCGGGAGGCGAAGGTTGCAGTGAGCCAATATTGCACCACTGCACTCCAGGCTGGCGACAGAGTGAGACTCTGTCTCAAAAAAAAAAAAAGAGAGAAAAGAAAATTGAGAAACATACTAAAACTTCTTTCAAACGGGAAAAAATTCAAACTGCCTTCTTCTTTCCCGAATAGCACCATTCAGTGTCAGAAGAGAATGCAAGAATGTCAGAAAGTCTCCACAATTCAGAGCAAAAGAAACTATGAGCCGAGAATATGATCCCCAGCCAACACATCACACAATTTGGTAAAGACAACAGGCAGAAATTCTGGGGCATGAAAGAAGTCAGAAAATATAGTCCCCTTCCTAGGGGGGAAATACGACTTAACAATGAAATGCATGTAATTAATACAGAAATGGAAATACGGAGAGCTCAGGAATGCAGAAAGTATGGTAAGAGGACTGACGGTGAGCATTAAAACCCTTCCTATAAGAAATAATAAAAAATCGGCCGGGCACAGTGGCTCACGCCTGCAATCCCAGCACTTTGGGCGGCCGAGGCGGGCGGATCACAAGGTCAGGAGATCAAGACCATCCTGGCTAACACGATGAAACCCCGTCTCTACTAAAAATACAAAAAATTAGCCGGGCGTGGTGGTGGGCGCCTGTAGTACCAGCTACTTGGGAGGTTGAGGCAGGAGAATGGCGTGAACTCGGGAGGTGGAGCTTGTAGTGAGCCGAGATCACTGCACTCCAGCCTGGGTGACAGAGCGAGATTCCAACTCAAAAAAAAAAAAAAAGACATAATAAAAAATCATTACAGGGCTGGGCACAGTGGCTCATGCCTACAATCCCAGCACTTTGGGAGGCTGAGGCAGGTGGATCACGAGGTCAAGAGATAGAGATAATCCTGGCCAACATGGTGAAACCCCGCTTCTACTAAAAATACAAAAATTAGCTGGGTGTGGTGGCGCACGCCTGTAGTCCCAGCTGCTTGGGAGCCTGAGGCAGGAGAATCACTTGAACCCCGGAGGCAGAGGTTGCAGTGAGCCAAGATCACGCCACTATACTTCAGCCTGGCAACAGAGCGAGACTCTGTCTCAAAAAAAAAAAAAAACACCCCTTCAGATAAGAAATAATAAAAAATCATTACAGGGCTGGGGGCGGTGGCCCATGTCTGTAATCCCAGCACTCTGGGAGGCCAAGGCAGGTAGATTGCTTGAGCTCAGGAGTTCAAGACCAGCCTAGGCAACATGATGAAACCCTGTCTCTATAAAAAATGCAAAAGTTAGTCAGGTGTGGTGATGAATGCCTGTAGTCCCCGCTACTGAGGAGGCCTGAGGTGGGAGGACTGCTTGAGCCCAGGAGTTTGAGGCTGCAGTGAGCTATGACTGTGCCACCGCACCCCAGCCTGGGTGACAGAGAAAGACCTTGTCTCAAAAAATCATCAAAATAACATAAATCAATTAAAAAAAACACATTTGGCTACGGAAACTGCCAAATGTTTTACAAATGCTTGATTAATACACTCTGGATATTCATGGTCAAACTAACAACGATACAGTCATCTGTGTGAGTCCCAGTTTACGAAATCAGAAACCCAAACATCTGCCAGCTTGGTCATCAACTGAATACTGCCCTACAGGCTTCTCTGGGGGTAGAAAGAGCTTTGAGAAAAACCATCCAGCCCATGGCCCACCCCACTCACCCAAAGAACACCGTGTGAGAAGCCACTCTCCCCTCAGACAAGCTGACCTAGGCTGACACCTTCACTCAGGCAAACAGCAAATCTCACAGTTGGAAAACCAACCCTCGCTTGGCCCTGCCCCGGGGCTTAATCGGCCCATTCTCCCCCTGCCTCCTCTTGCCCTCCCACCTACTGCTCTCCTCCATACCCTGAAAGGATGCATTATCTTCCTCCAGCTCCTGCTCCCAGGACCTTCGCCTCAAGCCTTGGCACAGTCAAAGCGCACCCAGGGTGGGAAATTTCCAGACAGTGCAGGAGGGCGGCCAGCGGAGCCCACTCACTCTCCTTGTGAAACCTCGCGCTGATGGGAGGGGCAGGATGGGAAAACTAAGAAAAATAATAATAAAAACTCTGGTGACCCAGAAGCAGGGAACAAAATTAGAACCTTGAGCCTGCTGTTCACCAACTAATATTTACTGAGCCCCCACTGTGTGTGCCAGCGCCTGTGGGAGGAGGTTATGAGGCAGAGACGGGTGGTCAGGGCCCCAGGCAGCGGCACAGACAAACAGGGAATGGCTTATTTAGCCCCACGCTGAGCGCGGAGTGAGTGTAATGACAGCCAGGCCCAGGCGCTGGAGCCAGGAGGAGGGAGGGAGGGAGGGAGCACATTTGCCAGGCTTGCTCCAGCCCAGCTGGAGCTGGAGCAAAGGGGACTTCCCAAAGCAACTGAGTCAGGTGGGCAGGGACCCGGGAAGGGCCCACAGTGGCCAGCCGGTGTTTTCCCCACCCGAGGCCAGGGCCAGAGTCACCTCACTTCTCATCATTCATCCATCAACACTTCCCAGACAGTTGCAAAATTCTCCCTGTCGTCCAAGTTCACTCCCATTTGTCAGACCGTGAGGCCGGGCATGTGGCTTAGGAAACGCGGTACTCACATCCATCACTTACGTCACCCCCATGAAGCAGAACTTCCCGGCTTGTTATTCGGGATCAGATAAATAAATAGAAAGAATGATCTAGTGGCCAAATCACTGGACAACACGACGTGCCACACGCCCTGGGTTCAACTTTGGGGCCTGCCAGGAACTTCCCAAGCGTGTCCGGCACAATTAAACTGTGAAAGCACCGAGCTCGCAGAGGCACTCTGATCAAGACAGAGCTTAAAGGCTGCACAGCACAGCACTGAGCCCGGCACCTTCCTAGTTCCCCATCTTCTGGGTTCTCAGGACAACGGCTTTACTTAGTCCTGAATTCTGGTTCTGTTCAATTGCCTCCCTGTCCAGGAAGCCGTCTTGGGTCACTTTTCCAGCACTTTTCTCTGGCTATTATGGACTCCTCATTACCTTGTTTCCCAGGGAGCCTCCCCAGCTAGATTTGTATTCCTTGAAGATAACTTTCTGAAATGCATCCTTCCCTCCTATTTCTTCTATGTCCTCCTCTCCTCCCTGCCTGCAACACAGTGCCTGGGACAGTGCTGGGCACATAATGTGCTAGAGACAGAGAAGTTTTGCCTCCCTTCTAACTGAAGTCGGCCTGCATCGCCCCTGCAACCTGATAAAGAACAGGGAGCCCTGGCCGGGAGCGGTGGCTCATGCCCGTAATCCCAGCACTTTGGGAGGCCAAGGCAGGCGGATCACGAGGTCAGGAGTTCAAGACCACCCTGGCCAAAGTGGTGAAACCCCGTCTCTACTAAAAATACAAAAATTAGCAGGGCATGGTGGCGGGTACCTGTAACCCCAGCTACTCGGGAGGCTGAGGCAGAGAATTGCTTGAACCCGGGAGACAGAAGTTGCAGTGAGCCGAGATCGCGCCACTGCACTCCACCCTGGGCAACAGAGCAAAGACTCCATCTCAAAAGAAAAAAAAAAAAGAACAGGGAGCTCAGAACCACTTTCCAAGGACATTCTATCCTCCTTGGCCCACAGACCAACTTTAACCCAGATCATCTGAAGTCAGGTGTCAGGACCACCTATTATGCACTTCTCTAGAGTAAACAACTCCCTGACCTTGAATTTCATTTACATTAATTGAACTAAAAGCTAGCATATTACCTGCTGGCTTTAAAAACTCACTCCAAGAGTTTATCCATTCAACAAATACTCACTGCTTACCAATTATGTGCCAGAAGTCATGCTAGGTATTGGGGATGCAAAGGACCTAGCACCTGCCCTCAACAAAGTAGGGAAAGCAAACAATTCAACAAGGAACCTAACCTGAATGATGATGACAAGGGGGATGTATAGATCAGGGTGCAGTTAGGCTATTTTGGCAGACAGGGGTTTTGTACAGGATATTAAATGGCCTAGAGGCTCCTTCGAAGAGCTGAATTAACAAGACTCTAGGCTAAGTCCCAGGAGCTACCTATTTGCAAAGATCACGTTGCAGAGCTGGGATGCCATGGAGCTGCTGCCTGTGCTCCCACCAGATAGCTATGGCACAAGAAGCCGCCTGCTCCAGAACCACACTGTCCTTGCCATGAGCCACACCAGGGAAATGCATGTCCCAGGATCCACCCTCCGGAAGGTGTCCAGGCTCTCCCCGCGGGACTGTTACACACTTAAGACTGGTTCAAGGGCTGGATGTGGTGGCTCACCCCTGTAATCCCAGCAGTGTGAGAGGCTGAGGTGGGAGGATTGCTTGAACCCAGGAGTTTGAGGCTGCAACAAGCTATGATTGCACCACTGCACTCCAGCCTGCACAAGAGCGAGACCCTGTTAAAAAAAAAAAGTTAAAAATTTTAAAAAGCCTTTCAGCTGGAACCACCATCTTCCAGCAATTTGACCAAATGACGAACACAAAGGGGAAGAGGAGAGGGGCCTTCTAGAAAACATGGAGTTGTAGGCCAGGCACGGTGGCTCATGCCTGTAATCCCAGCACTTTGGGAGGCCGAGGTGGGCAGATCACTTGAGGCTAGGAGCTCGAGACCAGTCAACATGGAAAAACCCCATCTCTACTAAAAGTACAAAAATTAGCCGGGCATGGTTGTGTGTGCCTGTAGTCCCAGCTATTCGGGAGGCTGAGGCAGGAGATTCACTTGAACCCAGGAGGAGGAGGTTGCAGTGGGCCAAGATTGTGCCACTGCACTCCAGGCTGGGTGACAGAGAAAGACTCTGTCTCAAAAAAAAAAAAAAGTATGCTCTAGTGTCAAAAAGAAAGGAAACATGGAGTTGTTCCTTTGACCACATACAAGGGAATCTATAAGGTGATACTGTAGACATTAGACCTCAAGGGAATGGGTACTGTTCAAAAAAGGAATAACCCACAGATGTTACCATGGCAAAACCAGAGGCGTCTGCAGTGTTCCCCACCATGCTGTCGGCATAGCTGTAAACAAACAAGGGCAAGATTCTGGCCAAGAGAATTAATGTGCGTATTGAGCACAGTGAGCGCTCTAAGAGCCAAGACCGCTTCCTGGAACGCGTGCAGGAAAATGACCAGAAAAAGAAGGAAGCCCAAGAGAAAGATACCTAGGTTCAACTGAAGGGCCAGCCTGCCCCACCCAGAGGAGGGCACTGTGAGGACCAAGGGTACGGGCCTGAGCTACTGGAACCTCTTCCCTGTGAATTCACGGCATAACAGGTATAAAAACCAAAAGACCTCTGGACTGTAAAAAGAAAGCAAAATAGTAAAATAAATACTAATAAATGCTAACTCCAACTCTCTGGCAGCAATACCCTGAGCAAAATGTGCCTCCAAGGGCCTCTCACAAGAAGCCTGTGCACGCCCTACCTCTCAAAATGACTGATAGCCCCCCTAAGCCTCTCACCTCGCCACCCCGGGGAGGGGAGGTGGGCCCTTGGCAGACCTTTAGCCTTTGTGTTCTGCTCACGTCAATCTGCTGGCCCATGACAAGCACCTGTGCAGCAGTAGCGAGGCATGCTTGGATGGGCAGCAAGTGGACCCCAGAAGCCAAGCCTCAGTGGCAACCCCACTGCTGGGCCTGCAGCCAAGACCACCTGCCCCCAGCCTACCCCACCTCCCCCGGGTCCTCCTGTACCACTACCTCCCCCTGCGCGATCTCCTAGCCCTCAAGCCCGCTCACGCCCGACTCCTCCTCAAAGACCCCGCCCATGCCAGTCTGCAGCTGAGATGCAGAGTCTTGTGTGGTAATTTCTCCAGGAAAGGGGTTCTCAAAGTGCGGTTGCTGGAACAGCAGCATCACTGACACCTGGGAACTAGCTGGAAGTGCAAACTCTTAGCACTTCCCCCCATAACCCACTAAATCAGACACTGGGGTTGGACCAGCAACTTGGGTTTGACTAAGTGCTCAGGTGATCATGATGCACACTGAAGTCGGAGGGCTACCGGTCTCACAGGCAGAGCCAGCGCTTTTTCATTCCATCTCCAGATCTCTTAACCAAAACAGGTAAGAAGCGCCGCTGCTCAGCGCCGGCCCCTTCCAGCCCAGCCCCTGCGTCGTCCCTGCTCAAGAGGGCACGACCAGGGCGCCAGCAAGAAAGGCAGGGGCTGCATCTTGAACTTTTGATTTCTCAGTAACTATAAATACTTATCAACAGATTAATAAAAAAGCCCCATTCTCATGAGAAAGAGGGTTACTGAAAGAAAGGAAAAGCCCATATTTCCAAATTGGGTTAGAAAGGTAGACAAGTGAATCATAATTCCTCCATTCTCCCTCGGGCTGTCCAAACCTCCCACACAGCACATTCTTCTGGCTCAAGGTCACTGGCAGCCACCATCCCATTACTGAAGTTAAGGCCTTCCCACATCCTCTGCTTTCTCCCTGTGGGGCTCACCACGAACCCAGAGCATCCCCCTACGATTCCAGGCTCCTGAACAGAAAGAAACACTCCAGCCCCTGCTGTTCCCTCCTGGCCACCCAGCCCCTCCCCTCCAGAACCTCCTGCCCCCACTTCATCACCGCCCCTCCCCACCCAAAGCACAACCTCCCAACACTCCGTCCCTCCAGCAATGTGCTATGGCCCTTCTGCCTGGGAGTCAGGGGTCTCTCCAACTGGCGTCCTACCCACTGTCACCCTCACCTGCCACTGCTCTCTTGCCCTGGGCTGCATCTGAAATGTCCTACCCCTCCATCCCTACACGTTTCTATCTCCACACTCCTCCCCGCCACAGGACTAGGAAGTCCCATTCATGTCAGTGGTTTGCACGCACCCCATGCACTCTCTCCACAAGGTGTGAAGGGCCTGGATGAAGAAAACAGGGTGTACTGCAGGACATAGCACCACCTCAGATCCACCCCAATCCTCCAGCACCAGTCCCATCCCCATCCAGGAAACATTCTCACCTCCTGCTTAGTTTCAGTGTCATATGGTCCTAGAAGGACAGGGCTTATATTTTAGGTTTTTCTGATTGTTTCCTAACAGTCCTGTGGGGTTGGTAGGATCTTAATAAGCACCTGCTGCTTAAATGTGTACATGCACACACTCACCGTGCAAACGCATATATAAACAGACAGACACATCCTCACCCCTGCCTCCAGACATGAACAGGCATGCGCCACCACACCCGGCTAAATTTTTTATTTTTAGTAGAGACGGGGTTTCTCCATGTTGGACAAGCTGATCTTAAACTCCCAACCTCAGGTGATCTGCCCACCTTGGCCTCCCAAAGTGCTGGGATTACAGGCGTGAGCCAATGCTCCCGGCTACAGGTGTCTTCTTAAAGCTCCCTGCCAGAGACACAAAGGAAGCAGGAGGAACCTGGCCCAGGGCTCTGAAGAGAGGCTGCCTAGGGCACACACACAAATGGGTTCCAGGACAGAGGCTTCTGGCTCATATCACACCCAGCTCTCACTCAGGGCCAGACGATCCAACACCCGCTCACACAAGGCCCCCTATCCTCAGGTTTAAAAACTTCAAGGCAGGGGGTATGGTGGCACTTTCCAGAAAATATGGCACAAAAGAAGTGACTTCCCTGACAACATAACCACTTATGTATTTCCACTTGCCCTTTCACTCCTCCACGTCCTGCAAACTGCCTGCCTGCCTATTAACAAGGGATCAAAATTCTAACCAGACTTAAAGGCTTACCCTTTCCAGCTAACACCAACCCCAGGGAGCAATCGATTGCCACAAAGCGTTTCTGCTTTTAGCTTGCAACTCGGACAGGCTCCTTTCTGGGTGACTTTCAACCCCGAGGACGTCTTATGGCAGCACTATTCACAGTAACAAAAAACCAGGGCGGACCCAAAAGCCCATCAGCAAGAGAGTGGATGAATGAACTGCATCACGACTTTAACACCAACTGGACACTCCAAGTTTTTAATAACTACTGCCTTTTTTTTTTTTTTAAGACAGGGTCTCACTCTGTTACCTAAACTGGAGTGCACTGACATGATCACAGCTCACTGCAGCCTTGACCTCCCGGACCCAAGCGATCCTCCCACCTCAGCCTCACGGGCAGCTAGGACCAGACGTTCACACCACCATGCCTGGCTACTTTTTTTATTGTTTTGTAGAGACAGGGTCTCACCCTATTGCCCAGCCTGGTCTTGAATTCCTTGGCTCAGAGATCCTCCCGCCCCAGCCTCCCAAAGTGCTGGGATTACAAGAATGAGCCACCACGATTGGCCGACAATAGCCTTTTAAATGCTGCTCATTCTTCAAGGCCCCCTCCAGGAAAATTTGGAAGGACTCTCTGAATCTGAAGACACTGCATTGTAAACTCCCTGAGGACAAGAGATCATCCAAGTCTTCCTTGCAAAGTGGATGGAGTACAAGGAATTTGAATGGAGGAAATGTTGAAATAAAATACAATCTCTTACCTGGGCTTCCAGCTTCCTCTCAGCACCTAGCTCTGTTCTGTCAGAGTCCCCAACTCCCCTCTTTTAAGTTTAACATATGCACATATCAAGTGCCCAAATCTTAAGTTCACAGCTTAATGAAAGAGTCATCTGGGGTGGGCACGGTGGCTTACGCCTGTAATCCTAGCACTTCGGGAGGCCGAGGCAGGTGGATCACCTGAGGTCAGAAGTTCGAGACCAGCCTGGCTAACATGGCGAAACCCCATCTCTACTAAAAATACAAAAATTAGCCAGGCGTGGTGGCACATGCCTGTAATCACAGCTACTCGGGAGGCTGAGGCAGGAGAATCCCTCGAACCCGGGAGGCGGAGGTTGCAGTGAGCCGAGATCGTGCCATTGCACTCCAGCCTGGGCAACAGAGCAAAACTCCATTTCAAAAAAAAAAAAAAAAAGTCATCCTTCTAAAGTACATATTCGTCAGGCGCAGTGGCTCACGCCTGTAATCCCAGCACTTTGGGAGGCTGAGGCAAGCGGATCACCTGAGGTCAGGAGTTCGGGACCAGCCTGGCCAACATATAATGAAACCCCGTCTCTACCAAAAAAATACAAAAAATTAGCCAGGCGTAGTGGTGCACACCTGTAGTTCCAACTACTTGGGAAGCTGAGGCAGGAGAATCACATTAATCCAGGAGGCAGAGGTTGCAGTCAGCCAAGATTGAGCCACTGCACTCCAGCCTAGGCAAGAGTGAGACTCTGTCTCTCAAAAAAATAAAATAAAATAAAGTACAAATTGATCACATCACTTTCCTTGCTTCAACCCCTCCAATGTCTTCCCAGTATATGAAGAATAAAATCTTTTTCATTCTAATTTCTTTTTTAACTTTTTTCAAGACGGGGGTCTTGCTACATTGCCCAGGCTGCTCCTGAACTCCTGGCCTCAAACAATCCCCCCACCTCATCCTCCCAAAGTGCTAGGATTATGGGTGTGAGCCACCACACCCAGCCACATGGAATAAAATCTAAACTCCTCTTCCTGGTCTATAGACCACTGTGTCAACTGGCCTTTGCCCATCCTGCTGACCATATAACTGGCTCATCTCACTCACTGGGCTCCAGCCACCCAGGCCCTTCTTCCCATCCCTTTAACACATCAAGCTCATTCTGACCTCAGAGCCTTTGCACCTGCTATTCCCTCTGCCTAGAATGCTCTTCCCCTAGATCTTCCTAACAGGTCTCAGTTCAAGCGTCGCCTCTTCAATGTGGACAAAAAAGCCCACTCCCAGGCATTGAGAACCCTAATGCCCTATTAGTCTTTTTTCATTATCCATCTCCTCCTAACTAGACTATCAGCTCCAGGAGGGCAGAGACTGGAGGGCCGGGTAGTACCTGGTGTCCATCCCCAAACAACACCCACTGAAAGCATGTTACTTTCCCACTGCCCATTCATGAGGCGCCACACATTTCACTTTTACTGTTCTTTGGTCTTTATGCTCGGGTGAACTACAAGCAACCTTGGGGAGAGGGCAGGGACCCCCCTCTCCTGCAGTTGTTTCAACGGAACTGAAGACCCTGGAGAGCCAGAGAAGCTGGCCTGGAATACAGATGTAAAACATTAAGGTGGAGTTTTTTTGTTTGTTTGTTTTTGTTTTTGTTTTTTTGTGTTTTTTTTGAGACAGGAGTCTCACTCTGTTGCCCAGGCTAGAGTGCAGTGGCGCGATCTCAGCTCACTGCAACCTCCGCCTCCCGGGTTCAAGCAATTCTCCAGTCTCAGCCTCCTGAATAGCTGGGACTACAGGCGCCTGCTACCATGCCAGGCTAATTTTTGTATTTTTAGTAGAGACGGGGTTTCACCTTGTTGGTGACGCTGGTCTGAAACTCCTGACCTCAGGTGATCCACCTGCCTTGGCCTCCCAAAGTGCTGGGATTACAGGCATGAGCCACCGTGCCCGGCCAAGATTTTTTTTTTTTTTTTTTTAAGACAGTCTCACTCTGTTGCCCAGGCTAGAGTGCAGTGGTACAATCTCGGCTCACTGCAACCTCCGCCTCCCAGGTTCAGGCGATCCTTCCACCTTAGCCTGGCGAGTAGCTGGATTACAGACACCCACCACCACGCCTGGCTAATTTTTGTATTTTTTGTAGAGACAGGGTTTAGCCATGTTGGCCAGGCTGGTCTCGAACTCCTGACCTCAAGTGATCTGTCGACCTTGGCCTCTCAAAGTGCTGGGATTACAGGTGTCAGCCACCGCGCCCGCCAGAGTTGTTTTTTTTTTTTTTAAAACATAAAGTGAGGTGGGGTGGGGGACACAAAGGCAGGCAGTGGGAGAGAGGCCCGGGCGGGCAGGCAGCCTCCCTTTCCACATCCCTGAGAAGGTCAACCAGCTGATAATCCCACCAAAAATAACATTCCCACTCTTCCCTGTGGCAGAGGAAGAAAAAGGAAAGTCCACAAGTACAGGCTGTTTCTAGAATTTCTCAGTGGCTCATGGAAATTTTGAGTTTCCCTGCCATCACACACATCCTGAAATGCTGGGGGAGGGGGCCCAGTGCTGCCAAGAGGGAGTGATGCCAGAGTCACCATGGCCACAGCCGGGAGCTGGCCAGCAGAGCCACTGCACACACCAGTTCACCCACGGCCAAGGCTTCTGCCGTGGGAGGCACCACAGAGCGTCTGCTGGGTGTTAGGGGGCGGCCGAGGAGCTGGGAACAGGAACTGAGACATGGAATTTCTGTTCTGAGAGCTGGCACTTGGTCAGCAGCCCGGGCCTGGGGGAGTGGGTGACTTTGTACTTTTTGCATCTTTCTGGGAAGGGAGATGGGAACAGCGTGGCTTGCTGCCCAGGGACCTGGTATCCTGAGAATTACCCAGCCCATCAGATGGAAAACAGCCAGCCCTGGAGAAACGGTCAGCATTGGAATTGGAATACAGATACGCCAATTGGAGTCACATGGGCCTGGGATGACAGGGCACAGGACGCGCCCTCAGTGAGCAGGAGAGAAGGGCGGAGGCAGGGAGGAATTCCAGGGCTCAAAGCCTTGTCATCTCTGTTTCCTGGTAGGGAAAGCAGGGCCAGCCTCCCTGCAGGCCAGCACGGCTCCACCTGGCCCCAAGCCTCAAGTACGCTGTGCTCTAAGAAAACAAGCGCCCAGTCCCTGGGGCCTGGCCGGGGCCCTCTGCTTCCAGGAAAGGACAGAGAGTGCAGACTGTTCAATCTTACAGGGCTCTTTCAAATAACAAGATAAACACCCCATACCCCACCCCACTTGCTCCCATACAACTTTTAGGGCTTCCAGTAAAATAAGTGAAACAATATAGCTGGTCCAGGTCTGTCCCTCCAGGACAGCAGCCCAGTAATCCCTGTGCGGGTGGATGAGGTGCTTCTGGTGAGCTGGCTGCCTCCTCCTCTCCTGGATCCTTGTTCCCCAGCAGGGAACAAAGAAAAGGATCAGAAGGGATCTTCCAAGAATGAAAGGAATCCTGAGATGCAGGGACAAAATTGGCTGGGAGGCAGTCCCTGCCCTCAGGGGTTACAGTCAACAAATATTTATTAGGAACTTACTATATGATTTGCTGAGGCTATCCTCCTGAGCAGAGGCAGTGGTCCTTTCTGGCTCATACCATACCACACCCAGCTTTCCACCAAAGCCAGCAGAAGACCTGCATGGACAAGGATCCCTATCCTCAGGCTAAAAGAAAAACACCGCCACCGGCCGCGGTGACTCACGCCTGTAATCCCAACACTTTGGGAGGCCGATGCGGGTGGATGGCTTGAGCCCAGGAGTTTGAGACTAACCTGGCCAACATAGTGAAACCCCGTCTCTACCAAAAAAAAAAAAAAATTAGCGGGGGCATGGTAGCATGCCTCTGTGGTTCCAACTATTCAGGAGGCTGAGGCAGGAGGATTGCTTGAGCCTGGGAGGCGGAGGCTATGGTGAGGTGAGATTACGACACTGCACTCCAACATGGGTGGCAGAGTAAGACTCTGTCTCAAAAAGGAACAAAACAAAACCCTCAAGGTTGTAAGTTTTATTTATTTATTTTTTTAAATAGAGTCAGGGTCTCACTTCTGTGGCACAGGCTGTAGTGCAGTGCCCGGATCATAGCTCCCTACAGCCTTCAACTCCTGGGCTCAAGGGATCCTCCTACCTCACAAGTAGCTAGGACTACAGGCACATGCCACCAAGCCTGGTGGGCTCATTTTTAACTTTTTTTTGTAGAGATGGGTCTTGCTGCATTGCCCAAGCTAGTCTCGAACTCCAAAACTCAAGCAATCCTCCCCAGTCTCATCTGTCCAAGTAGCTGGGACTACAGGCACATACCACTGTGCCTGACCAAGATTTAACTAGTTCCATACTCCCACTACCTGTGTATGAGTGCCTATTTCATAGGATTCTCACCAATACTGAGTATTAAATTATTCCGTCTTTATAATTTGATAGGTTAAAAATTACTTATTTTTCTAATTATTTTAACCTGCATTTCTTTGATTATCAACGTTTTAGGTTTACTTTTATATTTCTACTCCTTTTTACAAATTACCTGTTACTCTTCTTTGCCTGTTTTTTTTGGTTGTTGTTTTTGAGACAGAGTCTCACTCTGTTGCCCAGGCTGGAGTGCAGTAGCATGATCTTGGCTCACTGCAACCTCCCCCTCCCTGGGTTTAGGCGATTCTCCTGCCTCAGCCTCCCAAGTAGCTGGGATTACAGACCCGTACCACCACACCTGGCTAATTTTTGTATTTTTAATAGAGTCGGGGTTTCACCATGTCGGCCAGGCTGGTCTCGGACTCCTGATCTCAGGTGATCCACCTGCCTCGGTCTCCCAAAGTGAGGGGATTACAGACATAAGCCACTGCACCCAGCCTTCTTTGCCCATTTTTGCTGATATATTCATTTGTTTTTTTTATTGGTTTATTATATGGCAAGATATTAACCTTTTGTCACATGTTACAAATATTCTTCCTAATTAGTTGTTTGCCTTTTAATTTTGTTAACTGGTATTATTGACACAATTTTTAAAGAGGTAAAGTCAAATATGTCATACTTTTCCTTTTTAAAGTTTCTGCTTTTAGTAACATGCTTGGAAAATCCTCTCCTGCCCTGAAAGTATAGGCATATACAGCCGTGTTTTCTTGCATTTAAAAAAATTTAGGGGCCGGGCGCTATGGCTCACGCCTGTAATCCCAGAACTTTGGGAGGCCGAGGCGGGCGGATCATGAGGTCAGGAGATCGAGACCATCCTGTCTAACTCGGTGAAACCCCATCTCTACTAAAAATACAAAACATTAGCCAGGCCTGGTGGCGGGCGCCTATATTCCCAGCTACTTGGGAGGCTGAGGCAGGAGAATGGCGTGAACCCGGGAGGCGGAGCTTGCCGTGAGCCTAGCCCCACCGCACTCCAGTCTGGGTGACGGAGCGAGACTCTGTCTCGGGGAGAAAAAAAAAGAGTAGGGCTGGGCGCGGTGGCTCATGCCTGTAATCCCAGCAAGTTGGGAGGCCGAGGCGGGCAGATCACGAGGTTAGGAGTTCGAAACCAGCCTGGCCAGCATGGTGAAACCCCGTCTCTACTAAAAATACAAAAATTAGCCGGGCATGGTGGCACTCGCCTGTAGTCCCAGCTACTTCGGAGGCTGAGGCAGGAGAATCGCTTGAACCCAGGAGACGGAAGTTGTGGTGAGCCAAGATTGCGCCACTGCACTCTAGCCTGGGCGACAGAGCAAGACTCTGTATAAAAAAAAAAATTCAGAGGCCGGGCATGGTGGCTCACTCCCGTAATTCCAGCACTTTGGGAGGCCAAGGGGGTGGATTGTGTGAGCCCAGGAGTTTGAGACTAGCGTGCGCAACATGGCAAAACCCTGTCTCTACTAAAAATACAATAATTAGCTTGGCATGGTGGTACATGCCTGTAGTCCCAGCTACTTGGAAGGCTGAAATGGAAGGATCACTTGAGCCCGGGAGGTCAAATCAGTAGTGGGCCATTATGGAGCCACTGCACTCCAGCCTGGGCGACAGAGTGAGACCCCATCTCTGGGGGTTAAAAAAAAAAAACAGGAATGGAAAGGCTTACTGATAAGTTGGGCAGGGGGTAGGGTGCTGCAGGGAGGGATGGTGCTTTTTGCTCCCTTTTTGAGGATCTTCACTTGGAGGTATTAAACAGATTCCAGTCTTCGACTGCATCTGTGCGTGGGTCCCTAACCCAGTGGCAACACTGAGGCCTCATCTCGGTCCTGAATCACAACTTTCTGGGTGAGGTCCAGGCCACCTCGGGCTAGAGAGGTGCTGATGGATCAGCCTCTTTCTAGCCCCAGGAACTGGCCTGACACTTCAAGACTGCTGGACCAAACACTGCTGTCCCTTCTAAGTACGACACTCTGCAATCACTTAAGCTCTCTGACCTCAGTTTTCCCTCTTTGCCACAGGGGTACCACAATCTGTCCCCTGCCCATCCTACAGGACAGTGTCACACTCAACCAGAGCTCTCTGTACAGAGGCAAGTTGCTGGTACAGTCATCCCTTGGCATCAGCAGGGGATTGGTTCCAAGACACCCTCTCCGCCTCCAGGATACCAAAATCTACAATTGCTCAAGTCCCTGATATAAAATAGCATAGTATTTGCATATAACCTACGCACTTCCTCCCTATAGACTTTAAACCATCTCTAGGTTACTTATAGTATTGAATACAATGTAAATGGTATGTAATAATTTTTATACTGTGTTTTTTTATTTGTATTCTTTTTAACCATTATATTGTTAGTGTTGTTTCTTTTCTTTTCTTTTTTTTTTTTTTTTTTTTGAGATGGAGTCTCACTCTGTCGCCAGGCTGGAGTGCAGTGGCACAACCTTGGCTCACTGCAACCTCTGCCTCCCGGGTTCAAGGGATTCTCCTGCCTCGGCCTCCTGAGTAGCTGGGATTACAGGCACACCCCACCACCCCCAGCTAATTTTTGTATTTTTAGTACAGACGGGGTTTCACCATGTTGGCCGGGATGGTCTCGATCTCTTGACCTCGTGATCCACCCGCCTCGGCCTCCCAAAGTGCTGGGATTACAGGGGTAAGCCATTACGCCCGGCCAGTTTTGTTTCTTTTCTCAAATATTTTCCATCCGTGGTTGATTGAATCCACAAAGACAGAGACTGCGAGCTGACTGTACTGCAAAGTGTCTGGATCTTAAGGACACAGGGCCTCTAGGCCAGCCTTCAACCCACCTGGTTTTCAGATCTGTGTCACCATGAGGGGAGCAGATGGTCTGAGGATGGGCCCCAGCCTCCACAGCAGCCAAGCTTGCCTTCTCTCCTAGGTTTAAAAATAAATCTCTTTTCTTTGGCAGCTCCGTGAACCAGAGTTTAGTAAGCAACACTTCCCACAACCCTGAATCTAGTGGGGTGAATACTATCCCCGCAAATAACTGTCCACCTGAAATCTCAGAAAGTGACTTTATTTGGAAATAGAGACTTTGCAGATAAAATCAGTTACGGATGTCAAGATGAAATTGTCCTGGATTTACGATGGGCCCTAAATCCAATGACCTATGTCTTTATAAGAGAAAGGAGAGGGAGATTTGGACATGCAGACACACACCAACAGGGGAAGGCCACGTGAAGACAGAGGCAGAGATGGGAGTGGTGCAGCCAGAAGCCAAGGAATGCCAGGAGCCACCAAAAGCTGGGAAAAGAAGGAAGCATTCTCCCCTAGAGCTGTCAGAAGGAGTATGGTCCTGGTGACACCTGCATTTCACACTGCTGGCCTCCAGACCTATAAGAATACATTTCTGTCGTTTTTAAGCCACCAAGTTTCTGGTATCTTGTCAGGGGAACCATGGGACACAGATCCACAGGTAAATACTTTGGTGCCAGAATTAAGACCTGATCATGTTCAGCTGCAGCTGGCAGAACACTAAGAGTGACTCCAGTGACCCTCATTGCTGTGTATGGGCGGGACCCATGAATATGAGACGTCACTCCTGGGATCATGGCACATTATGTGGCAAAAGTGAGCCTGCAGGTATTTGCTGACCACATCAGTTGACCTGAGAAGGGAAATTACGTTGAGTGGGCCAGAACAAAGCTGGTGAGCCCTTACAAGGATGGCTCCTCTTGGCAAAAAGAGCTGAAGCATGAGCAGGACTCAATGTGGGAGACAGGCTGTGTCACAGGGGATGGAGGAGACCACATGGAAAGGAAATATGGGGGCCTCTAGGAACTGAGAGTGGCCCCTGCCTGGTAGCCAGCAATGGAAAATAGGGGTGAGGGGGCAGGGGACCTCAGTCCTATAGCCACAAGGAGCTGAATTTTCCACAACCATCTGAGCCTGGCAGAGGCCCTGAAAACCCAACTGACACCCTAAGTTTAGTCTTCTAGGACCCCCAGCAATGAAGCCAGTCATGCAATGCTCAGCCTTCTGGCCTACAGAATTGAGAAATGATAAACGGGTGTTGTTTCAAGCCACTAAGTGTGTCATACTAACACACTTGCCTGCTCTGATAGACCTCCACTCCCCAGAGCAGTGAAGTGACAAGTTCTGGTCACAGGTGGCAGGGCCAGGCAGTATGGGTCTCTGCACTCTGTCCTATTCCAGTTTACTTCCAATTAATCCATTCTACTGACACATGCCTACCAAGAGCAGGTGGTATGGAAATGAGTGGTAGTGGTTTCTGATCTTGGACCGGGCAGGCTTTAGAGCTTCTAACATTAGGCTACAGTTCTCATCTCACAAAGAATTCTAAAGCTAGGAACGGGAAAGGAGTATTGTTTAAGACAAATACAATTGGCAGGAGAGTTGTGAACTGCAGAGAGGGAGAGCATAGCCGAGCGGGCACAGATCCAAATGGGGTATTCAGCAGGTAAGATGCTGATCAAGCATTCAGTACATCCTAGTGCAGCTCTGGGTGCAGAATCACAGAGTATGTAAAATCAGAAACACTTGCCTCTGCCTCCAGATGTTATCATCTCAAAGGCGAGTTGAGTCAAATAATCTATAGTCCACATGTGGAAATGTGTGTTAATCAGGGCCACGATAATAGGAGCAAAACCAGTGGAAAATAACCTTCACCCCAACTAAGAAAATGACTGAGAGGGTTTTTCACTGTTGGAGAAAGAAGTCATCATGAAAAGGGAAAGACTAAAATAAAACGAACTTTTTGAGGTTAGATCAGAATAAGCGTTATCAGTACAAACTCATATTCTTTAGCATACATATATACAGATAGGTGCTGAATTATCTGTTTCCTAGCTTTGTCTGCTGAGAGGACCCAGAAGCAATGATAACTGCTGTAGCAATGAACATACCTAGCAACCAGACCTTGGTTTCTAAACAGCATTCTCCAATAAAGGAAAGCAGGACTCCGTGGAGAAGTGCCTGACTCTAGGGCTGGGGCAGCGAAGTTACAAGATGAGCCTGGAATATTTTGTAGTAAAGGAAATTAAGGAAACACTTAAAAAAAAAAATGGCAGGGGCTTACCAGAAGAACACAGGAGACAACCGGAAGGAGCTCCCAAAATGGTCAAAGCTAGAACAATTTGAGCCTCAAAAAATATTATTCAACTTTAACCCACAGAACAAAATCTGATTATGAATAACCAAATGCATAAATAAATGGGGAAGCAGGGCCAGCTCTTGCTTACAAAGAATTCCAATAAATAAATGTACAAGAGGGAAATAGAGAATCATTAGTCAAACATCACAGTCATCATTGTTGCAAGCAGGGTCTACAGATGGGTGCTAAAATTAGGGGATGAAAGTACAAGGAGAAACAGGATTTGCATAGTCTCAAAGTATCTCCTGAAACTACAAAGGGAAAGAAAGATAACTTCTTCAGTTTATCCATTCAGTATTTTTTTTTTCCCCAGACATTGTCTCACTCTGTTGCCCAGGCTGGAGTGCAGTGGCTCCATCTCAGCTCACTGCAGCCTCCACCTCCCAGGTTCAAGCGATTCTCCTGTCTCAGCCTCCCGAGTAGCTGCAATTACAGGTGCATGTCACCATGCCTGGCTAATTTTTGTATTTTTAGTGGAGATGGGGTTTCACCATGTTGGCTAGGCTGGTCTTGAACTCCCGACGTCGGCCTTTGCCTGCCTCGGCCTCCCAAAATGCTAGGATTATAGGTGTGAGCCACCGTGCCTGGCCCCATTCAGTTTTTGTAAAACAACAACAACAGAAAACCCACCTTTTTTCAGTGTGGAAATCAAGCAGACACCAGCCAATCTAGATAAATGTCACCAGTAAAAAAATACTCCAACATGGCCGAGTGCAGTGGCTCACGCCTATAATCCCAACACTTTGGGAGGCTGAGGTGGGTGGATCACTTGAGCTCAGGAGTTCAAGACTAGCCTGGACAACATGGTGAAACCCTGTCTCTACTGAAAATACAAAAAAAAAAAAAAAAAAAATTAGGTGTGGTGGCTCATGCCTGTAATCCCAGCTACTTGGGAGGCTGAGGCAGGAGAATTGCTTGAAACTGGGAGGTGGAGGCTGCAGAGAGCCGAGATCACACCACTGCCCTCCAGCCTGTGCACTGAGTGAGACCCTGTCTCAAAATTAACAACAACAACAAAAAACTGTGACATGATGAATACCTCTAAAGGATGCAACATCACTTTGCGTTCCAACATTCTAGCAAGAAAAGAGGGAGAGACTGCCACAGATTGCAGCAAACTAAGGAGAAATAACTAAACAGTGTGGGATCCCATATCAGATCCTGGAAACAGCAAATGGACATTAGTGAAAATATTGGTGACGTTTAAATAAGGCCTGCAGTTTAGTTAACAGTGTTATGCCAATGTTGATTTCCTGCTCCTGATTATATAATTATACTCTGGGGTGAGGAATATAAAGGAATTCTGCTATATTTTTGCAACTCTTCTGTACATCTAAAATTAGTTCAAAAGAAAAGTTTAAAATAAAAGGAAATGGTTAAGCAAACTAAGATACAGCCATGGCTGGGTGCAGTGGCTCATGCCTGTAATCCCAGCACTTTGGTAAGCCAAGGCGGGTAGATCACCTGAGGTCGAGTTTGAGATCAGTCTGGCCAACATGGCGAAACCCCACCTCTACTAAAAACACAAAAATTAGCCGGGCATGGTGGTGCATGCCTGTAATCCCAGCTATTATTAGGGGGCGCTGAGGCAGGAGAATTGCTTGAACCTGGGAGGCGGAGGTTGCAGTGAGCCGAGATTGTGCCACTGCACTCCAGCCTGGGCAACAGAGTGAGACTCCGTCTCAAAAAAAAAAAAGATACAGCCATAAGGCAGAATAAATGCTTAGGGAGAAATTTTGATGTCGAGGTAAGATGGGTGTAGATAGCCAATTGTATCCCCTCCCCCCAAAAAAAAAACAACTGTAAGGAAATATGCCAATATGTAAAGAGAGACTGCAGCAGGATTATCGACTTTCCCCCAAATACTTTTTTGCACTTTACAATATGCATGCATTACTTTTAATAATCAGAAGGAAATAAAGTCGACAAAAATACCAAACAATTGTTTGGGGGAATTCTGTGTATAGTTAATCACATCTATTACAGTTTCTGGGAGAGACTTCTAAGGGCTGTGTTCAGACTGGAAAGGAGGCTGCTAGATGCTTCTGAGGGCTAAGGAAGGTGGCAGGAGGCTGGAGGAAGTGGACTGGTACAGAGGACATGGACGTGGGGCCATGGAGTTGCTCCAGATAAGAGCAGGCTGGCCAGGCGCGGTGGCTCACGCCTGTAATCCCAGCACTCTGGGAGGCCAAGGCGGGTGGATCACTTGAGGTCAGGAGTTCGAGACCAGGCTGGCCAACATGGTGGAACCCCATCTCTACTAAAAACACAAAAATTAGCTAGGTGTGGTGGTGTGCACCTGGAGTCCCAGCTACCTGGGAGGCTGTGATGGGAGAATCGCTTGAGCTCAGGAGGGGAGGTTTCAGTGAGCTGAGATCATACCCACTGCACTCTAGCCTGGGCAACAGAGTGAGACCCTGTCTCAAAAAAAAAAAAAAAAAAAAAAAGAGCAGGCTGGCAGGCTGCACCCCAAGACAGAGGGCTGCTGGCAAGTCTCTGATATGGAAACAGCTCTGAGTTCCAAGAGAACACTCGTACCTTAGACACCCGAGCCATTCAAGACTCCTAGACCCAACGTACATTTCCAGCTACCTCACTTGCTGCTCCCTCTCAGCCACTCTGGGCCACGTGTACCATCCCACCAGCATTCACACGGCTCTCCTTACCAGGACCCTGCTCTCTCTCCCGCTTCCTAGCTTTCAAGATGTGGCTCAGTCCCTCCCCAAGAAGCCTTCTCTGTCACCTCCTGCCACTCCCTCCTCTGGCCTCACCCAGTACCCCTCCTCTGTTCCACTTACTGCAGCTTCAGGAAGGCCATCCTGCATCTGACTTTCCACACATGCATAGCTCCTCACACATTTCACAAGCATCTCGGGAATGGAGATGGTACTCAGCAGCTCTCTTAGCTGAGCGCCACTGGACTGCTCAAGGACCCCAGGTCTCCAGTCCCTCCCTGCAGCCAACAGGCCCCTCGCCAGGTGGCCAACCTCCCCCCAACCCCACCACCTGCTGTCACCATTGAGGGTTCCCATGCCAACAGCTGTGCCTATTCCCAAACCTCTTTATGCAGGTTCTATTTATTTAAATGATTATGATTTATTTAAATAACAACTGAGGGCTGGGCACGGTGGCTCACGCCTTTAGTCCCAGCACTTCAGTCCCAGCACTTCGGGAGGCCAAGACCGGTGGATCACTTGAGCTCGAGTTCGAGACCAGCCTGGCCACCATGGCGAAACCCCATGTCCACTAAAAATACAAAAAATTAGCTGGGCGTGGTGGCGCGTGTCTGCATCCCAGCTACTTGAGAGGCTGAGGCAGAAGAATCACTTGAACCTGGGAGGTATAGGTTGCGGTGAGATTGCGCTACTGCACTCCCGCCTGGGTGACAGAGAGACACTCTGCCTTGGAAAAAAAAAAAAAAACGAGAAAACAAAAACAAAAAACCCTGAAGAATAAATGCAAAGAAAAATGTCTGACTTCTGAGAAATTTAAGCTAAGTGATCTCGAACAGTAATTCTGAAATTACTGTCTTATATGACACCTGGGGTCCCTGAAGTAAAAGACTATTTTTATTCTAATATACAAAAATTAAAAGCTTTTCACTCTCACTTTTCAGAAGCTACATGAAATGTGACACGTACCTGTGTCATCTTGAGTCTTTGAGAAATTTCTAAGGTAGAAGTTTAGGGTATAATATAATATATAGGTGGTCTCAGAGATTAGCTCAATTTGTTCTCAGAACTTTTAACTGACTTCTTAACAGCAAATTTAAGTTACACCTATTATAACCTGTTATCTCATTATCATCCAATAAATAATTATTTTAAAATCCTGAAATTTCTAAAAATATGCTAACAAGGCCATTCTTTTGACTACTTTATTTTGGAAAATATAGTTATTTTTCATGAAACTTTTTTTTTTTTTTTGAGATGGAGTCTCGCTCTGTCACCAGGCTGGAGTGCAGTGGCGTAATCTTGGCTCACTGCAACCTCTGCTTCCCAGGTTCAAGCGATTCTCCTGCCTCAGCCTCCAGAGTAGCTGGGACTACAGGCGTGCACCACCACACCCAGCTAATTTTTTGTATTTTTAGTAGAGACGAGGTTTCACCATGTTGGCCAGGATGGTCGGGATCTCTTGACCTTGTGATCTGCCCAGCTCGGCCTCCCAACATGCTGGGATTATAGGTGTGAGTCACTGCGCCCGTTCAAAACATTTTTTTTTTTAATGTTAACGTGTAATCGCCTTATTTTTGCTTTTTAAATGAATAAATAACTATTTTAAAATTTCTCAGTCTTGAGGCTGAGGCAGAAGGATCGCTTGAAGCCAGAGTTTAAGACTAGCTTGGGTAACGTAGTGAGACCATGTCTCAAAAAAATTTTTCTTTACTTAGTTTTAATTTTTAATATACTATCAATACAGATAGCCACATATACAAAAGACAATGTAAGGGGTCCTAGCATCAAAAAGTTTGAGAATTACTCATCTAGAAAGATTTGTTGCAAATGGAAAAATAATAAAAAGCTGAAATTAAACTAGGTATGTACATAAAAGCAGTAACTGGATTCCGAACATGGCTGTTTTGCAAATATCTCTTGTCTTCGCTTCATTTTTTTATTTAGTGAAAGCTAATTAACAGATTTAACCTTTTACCCAGCGATTCCACTTCACAGATATATTCTGCAAACATAAGCGCAGACAGGGTGATATGTGTGTTGGTTAAAAAAGATGATACTTCCATACTATGCAATACTACACAGCTATGACAGAGAATGCTAAAAGCATTCTATGTGCTGATATGGAAAAGATCTTAATATAGTTGCTAGGTGAAAAAAGCAAGGTGCTGAATGATGTTTAAAATGCTACCTTGGAGCATTTATTGAAAAGCTGGGGGAAGACAAGGTTTTGCTGTTTTTTACCGTCTTGATTTTTCAACTATGTGAATACGGAGCCTAGTAGGAAAAAAAAATTTAATAAAATGAAAGAAATGAGAAATTACAGGTAATACATTTAAGTATGATTTTTATATACAAACAATTTCTAAGTAGTCTAAATAAGGGATCTAAAGACTCAAAGGAAAGGGCTTGGCCCTAAATCAAAGTTTTGGTGAATAAAAATACATACATGTTTTAAAGATAAAATAAAGGGGCCGGGTGCAAGTGGCTCACACCTGTAATCCCAGCACTTTGGGAGGCTGAGGCGGGCGGATCACAAAGTCAGGAGTTGGAGACCAGCCTGGCCAACATGGTGAAACCTCGTCTCTACTAAAAATACAAAAATTAGCCAGGCGTGGTGGCGGGCGCCTATAATCCTAGCTACTCGGGAAGCTGAGGCAGGAGAATGGCTTGAACCCGGGAGGCAGAGTTTGCAGTGAGCCGAGATCGTGCCACTGCACTCCAGCCTGGGCCACAGAGCAAGGCTCCGTCTCAAAAAAAAAAAAAAAGATAAAAGATATGATTTGGCTGGGCACAGTGGCTCATGCCTGTAATCCCAGCACTTTGGGAGGCCGAGGTGGGTAGATCACGAGGTCAGGAGTTCAAAACCAGCCTGGCCAACATGGTGAAACCCCGTCTCTACTAAAAATACAAAAATTAGCCAAGTGTGATGGCAGGCACCTGTGATCACAGCTACTTGGGAGGCTGGGGCAGAGAATTGCTTGAACCCAGGAGGCAGAGGTTGCAGTGAGCCGAGATCGCACCACTGCACTCCAGCCTGGGCGACAGAGCGAGACTCCGTCTCAAAAAAAAAAAAAAAAAAAAAAAAAAAAAAAAAAAAAGACATGTATTTTTTTTTTAGATATCCAACTTTTATCTGATTTTTTTTATTAACTACTAATACTGAATGCACTGCCTACGAGGGCCATTAGGAACTCGGCGGTAATAAATGTAGGGCATTCACCTTCTCATTCCACCAAGCCCCAAGATTCTCTGGGGCCTGCCCTTGGAGGGAGGTTAGGAGTTCTAACAACAGTCCGATCTCCAGTTGCCAAGGCGGAGAATTCGGTTTCCCATGGCTGGGCACTCTGGGCTCCCTTGGGCAGGCCAATTCTGTGGCTTTCCCGGCCTCTTTTCCTTGTGCAGGTCAGAGGGCCCAGCCTCTGCGTCTCTGCCTCTGCCAGGCCCAACCAGGGGCCCCCTGAGAGGTTTAATGCCCACGGTAGTGGGGGGAGGGGGGAACAAGATAGTGGGGCTTCGTGACCCTGTGTTCTAGGGCCTGCCCTCCTGTCCCCTAGGTGGGCATGAAGCCCTGGCTGGCGACAGTCGATGGGGCGGACTCTGGACTCCTTATCTCCTGGCATTCCACCAGCCCACCAGCCTGGAGGTCAGAGAAGCCCCACTGCAGACACCCGGTGAGTCCCGGCTGGGCTGAGCAGCAGGTCCCTTCCCTGCTCACTCCCCAGCCTCCCATGTCTCCAGGGAGTCTGGAAAGAGTAAGAGACTCCTCCAGAAGAAACTAACACCCCCTCCCTCAATAAGCACAGGGACAAATGGCCCCTTCCTCTTCTAGTTTCCAAGCAAAGACTGGAGGTGTCAGCAATTTCATAATCACATTTAGGATCAAAAATAGAACCCTTCTTTGGTCTTCTCCATCAAGTCTCTTGGCCACTGGCAACCATGTGACTCGGGAATACCAATTCACCTCCCTGGATCCAGTTTCTTTCACTGTAAAATAAAGGTGCTGGACTCCAAGATCACCAAAGTCCCCTGCTCAACATTCCATGGTTGTGGGGCTCAGCAACATGGTGCAGCATTACCTTGGCCAGGTCAGGTGCAGGCAGGCTATTATCCTGACATAGTGGGGAGAGGGAGGTCCTGGTTCCCAGGCACGCACAATCTATTCACAACACTACTGTGTAAACCCCATGATTCTGCAAATGTTGGACAGGGATTGAGTTTCCTCTTGGAATAGTGCAGGGTGTGAGCAGGTAAGGAAGGAGGAAGAAGGTAAGCAGGGTTTAAAAACAGAACCAGTCCTGTGAGTGATATATACCCTACACACACGCACACGCACATGTGCACAGATGTGCACACACACACACAAGCACACACCCACCACCCAGGCACACACAGGCATTGTTACTCCTTCCTGGCTACCATCAGCCCAGAGAAGGAGCATTTCTTCTCTGAAGAAATCAGAGCAGCTCCCAGAACCAAAGGTAGAAAAAAGTTTGTTTTCCCTAAAATTGCCCAATTGATCTGTGGGACAATCCCTGGCAGGCCACAGAAAAGCGGCCTTCCCAGAAGGGCAGGGAAATTGCATCCATGTTGCCAAGGAAGAGATGAATCAACCCTACGCCTGGGCTCACACCATTCCTACAACCCAACCCAACTATCAGCCTCTGGGACCCCTAAATAACCCACTCCACCCCACAAAAATTATGACGATGAGAATGATGACAAGCAGCCCTCTACTATGTTCCAGGCAAAATCACGACATCCTGCAAGCTGGTGAGAACAGAAGTTAAGAAATTTCTCACTGCTGGAGAGTGACGGGGCCAGGAATTGAACAGAGACCCACCTATCTCAAAAGGCCAGAATTATTCCCGTCTTTCAAGGATGCCCGCTCTCTGAACTGAACTGTGCACAGTATGGAGGCTTCTCTTGTGTTGCTATCTTGTTCTTCACCCGTGGATGCTGTTTCTCCCCAAGAGTTTGCACTGGAAGGGTGGGGGCCAGGCCTTCTGCGTGCACCCGCCATGGTGGCCACTGCAGAGCCCAGCACAGACCAGGCAATGTACATCCACAGGCTAAGAGTCCCAGAGCCCAAAATTCTTACTCTGGCCTAAAATACAAGGCCAATGATGCAGCTGCTCCAGCCCCCAAGTCCTCAGGTCAGTGAGTTCCTCTAGCCTCTGCACTGGCTGGCCAGCTGTCAGTCAACACCTGGATCGAATCTCCCGCTCAGCACTGCCCTCCCTCAAGGCCCCAGAGGCCAGATGAGTAAAATATGATAAATTAAGCAAGAACCTGCTTTTGGCCTGGCCCTTTGGGAAGAGACAGTATCCAGAGGACCCCCTTCCACTGTCTGGTGCCCTCTAGTCTTACCTGCAAACCAACCCCAGCAAGAGGACCACTAGCCTATCTCCTGGCTACCACACAGGTAATGGAAAACTCACCTCTCTGAGCCTCCACCAGGAAAAGGAACATGTGGCTTTTAATTCCAGCTGCTAAGTTATGATTCTGGACATCCCTTCTCTTGCTTTACCAAGGATGTATATCCTTGGGGTGGCTCCATGGGGCTCTGGGGTCTGGACTTCGCTTTTCAGGAGCTGCGTCCCGGGGGATATGCATCCAAGGATGTATATGGACAAGTTCTTGTCCATATTTAGGACTTAGGTTTTAAGAGGTAAGGATAGGCCGGGCAGGGTGGCTCACGCCTGTAATCCCAGCACTCTGGAAGGCTGAGGTGGGCGGATCACGAGGTCAGGAGATCGAGACCATCCTGGCTAACACGGTGAAACCCCGTCTCTACTAAAAATACAAAAAATTAGCCGGGCATGGTGGCACGCGCCTGTAGTCCCAGCTACTCGGGAGGCTGAGGCAGGAGAGTCGCTTGAACCCGGGAGGCGGAGGTTGCAGTGAGCCGAGATCGCGCCACTGCACTCTTGCGTGGGCAACAGAGTGAGACTCCGTCTCAAATAAAATAAAATACAATAAAATAAAATAAAATAAAATAAAATAAAATAAAATAAAATAAAATAAAAGAGGGAAGGATTACGGAATTGTATATGCTGTGGTTAAGGAGATCTAGTCTGACCGTGGTACTGACCTGACCCTCCCAAGGTCACAGGGCCAGTTAAGAGCAGAGCAGGGACAGAGGCCAGGGCTAACTCCCAGGCCACTCCTCAGCAGGAGCACAGCCGTCCCAATGGCCTGGGGCTCCTAGGGGAGAGCCACTAAAGACGTAAACCCAAACCAGGCTTGCTCCAGGAAGAAGGGTCAGGTCAAAGCTGCTCCTAACCCCACGCTTCCATTCGGGCCACAAGAGAGCACTTAGCCACTCCCCAATTGTGTCCGGAGTCCTCCTGTACAGCCGAGCCCTTTAACTGTTTAGAGAAGCCTGTCTCTGGAACCCAGGCCCTGGCAAGCACCAGATCCTCAAAAGTGAACCCCTAGTCCAGAGCTGACGAAATTTTCCCGGCTCAACTGGACCTCAGGATCAGATGATGAAACTGCTCGGATGGCGACTTTGTCCCACTGCCCTCACCCACCAAGAGGGGGCAGCCTGAACCCGACCACCTAACTTGGTCATTAAGGACCAAAAATAGCCAGAAAGCCATCCTCGTGGGCAAGCCAGGTTGGAGATTCGCTCAGCCGGAAGATTGGGTACATGTACCTTCAGAGGGGAGATGGACCGGCGGGGGCCCGGGGACGCAGCTCCTGAAAAGCAAAGTCCAGACCCCAGAGCCCCATAGAGCCGCCCCAAGAGCCGCCCCTCGGATTGGCCACCTACTGTCTGCGTTCTGCGTCCGTGTCCGCGCGGGGAATCCGGGAGCCTGGCTCAGCCTTCGGCGCGGCGACCCACGCTCTGGGCACCCTTCTGCGGCTCTAGCATCCCGCACCCTCCAGGCGGACAGGCCGCGCCTTGACCTCTCCCCTCGCCAGCGCGGCACCACGGCCAGGTGCAGCCTCCACCCAGCCGTCCGGGCGTGTGCCGGTGCCCGGGAGCGGCGCCCGGTCCTCGGCGCAGGGCTGTCCCCGCCCCCACCCACTGCCCCAGCCTGGGGTGCGGGGCTCCTCCGCCGCTGCCCATCCCGCGGCCCTTGGCGTCCCCGCCCTCACCTGGCGCTCGGAGGCGGCCTCGGCCCCGCGCAGCCTCACCGCAAGGTCCCAGGCGGCCGGCGGCGGCAGAAGCAGCTTAGCCGGTGCGTCCGCGTAGACACGCGCGCCGACCCCCCTCACTGCGTCCGGGCCCCGGCACCGCGCGCATGCCCGGCTATATACCCGGCGCGTCAGCGGCCGGACCCGCCCCCGGCCCGCCCCGCTCGCCCCGGGGCTGCCACGTGGGGCCGGCAGGCTGGGGACCTGGCCAGCCTGCGCCCTCCTGCGCCTCGCGGCCCTGGCTGTGGTCGGCGCCCGCTCCCATCCTTCATCCGGCCGTGACTCCCGAGGACCCGCAGGCTCCTCCTGCCTCCGGAAACCTCCCGTGAAGACCTGCTCCCTGGGCGCGGGAAGCTCTCACCGCCTAGCCTCCACCCCACACCCCCTGGAGGAGAGTCCTACCCACTCTATTTGAATGTGATTTTACCACTTCTGGTTCACCCAAAAAGCTTTTCTCTTCCCTCCCCAGTTCGGAAAGGTACTTCAGAAGGGGACGCGCCCTTAGATGGTGTTTCTTCTGCATATTTCCACCAGCCAAAAGAACCAAAATTTCCTGGTCGAGTTCCAAATAAACCATATTATATTCACTTTTCAGACTTGATGCCGCACCGCTTCCCACAATGATCAGACGCCTAAAGAACCCTACTAACCCAAAGTTGGGAGAAATGTTAATTTGGGGGTGAAGAAGTTCCGAGGAGACTCTTCCTCTGTGGGACAGTCCCATTGAGATGTATATCAGGCCTGGGAAATGTAGTCGATTTCTTGAGAAAATAAACCACCCTTTCCACTCCCATTGTTCTGTTCTGCAGGACATCAGGACAATTTCCTCTATGAGCTGAACCCGCTGCCACCTGGGCCTTGGGGGGCTCGGAGGAAGGGCTTTCTAGCCCAACTGTCGCGGCTTAGTACTCGAGCTGATCCTAGCACAGTGACTGGTCCCCAGACGGCACTAGCTGTCTCTAAATTTGCGCAGGGAAGGGGGCAACATCCCACTCTCTGCAGGTCTTGCGGGGAGGACCCCCGTGATGGCGGCGCTAAGGAGAAAAGGAAAGCAGACAGTCGCTGGAGCCGGTAGCAAGAACTCAGGAGCTTGCTCTTCGCCAGGCCAGAGGGGGTCAGATTCTTCATATTACTTTTGAAGAGTGTAGCTGGGCCCCGGGCGTTTCTAAAATTCAATTATCCTCACCCCGTAATTACAGTGCTGCAGTGGGTATGGGGGCAGGGTGATATTCCTCTCATTTATTTTCCAAGTGATTTCAAAGTAATGATATCTCTTGCAGAATTTCCCTCAGAGCCCCTTCATCTTTGTAATAACCCTATTTCTCTCTTGGTTAAACTCGGTGCTTTCCAGACATTATGTCATCCGTTTGGGACTCTCATCCCACTGCAGTGGGCTGTGAGAAAGGGGCCAGTCCCCGCCACACCTTTTGTTGAAGCACTGGAAAAGGAGTGAGAAGCCCACCCAGAGATAAAGTGAAATAAGTATGCTTCCAACACACAGAGCTCTGAAGGGTATGAAGCCCGTAAACACATATCCTAATGGAGTGTTAAATCTCTTAAAACCAAAGCTGGAGAGCAATCCCATGGCTTTTCCAGGCAAGTTGTCAATACTGTCCACAGGAGAACTAGGCACCCTTCAAGGAGATTGCTCGGCAGAGAGGGGGCAGGACCAGACACCCCACCACCGGGCCTATCATGGCGTTCTCACTTGTTTTCAACCACACTAAAGGTGGAGCTGTCAAAGTCCACATAGGCAAGCAGAGCTGATAAGCTATCAGTAATCCATTAGGGAATACAATTAATTATTAACAAAAGGTCTTAACTCTCCATATCTACCCACACACAAAATTCTTTAGGCATCTCTTAAATCCTTCCTTGTTGCTGGGTAGTTCTCAGTTTCTCATTCCTGGTGCCAGGCTTGGAGGCCCACTTCTCTCTGCTCTCCACTTTTTTTTTTTTTTTTTTTTTTGAGACAGAGTCTCTGTAGCCCAGGCTGGAGTGCAGTGGTGCAATCTCGGTTCACTGTAACCTCCCCCTCCCAGGTTCAAGTGGTTCTCCTGCCACAGCCTCCTGAGTAGCTGGGATTACAGGAGCCCGCCACCCTGCCTGGCTAGTATTTGTATTTTTATTAGAGACAAGGTTTCACCATGTAGGCCAGGCTGATCTCCAACTCCAAGCTCAAATGATCTGCCCACCTCGGCCTCCCAAAGTGCTGAGATTACAGGCGTGAGCCACTGCGACCGGCCTCTGCTCTCCACTTTTTCCTCTCATTACCCATTTTCACTTGTCAAAATTCTAACTCTCCAAAGTCACCTCTCGCCTGCAAGCTTGTGGATTTTTCTGAAGCATGTTTGAACTACCCTTTCCTATTTTTGACTGTAACCCACATTAAAAACATTTAACACTGCAACTCCAATATAAGTAACAATACGGCAAACAAAAATTTCACAAAATATCCATAAAGATATGCATTGCAATGATATTTTGTTATAGTTCAATTTAAAAAAAAAAAAGTGATAACAAACCCACTAAGTTGACTTCATGACCATTATTAGGTTGTGATCCACAGAATTAAAACTTTATATGGTTTATGGTACTTATATTTTTTCCCTTAAAATTATTTCACTTTAATCTCCAACCTTATTAGACCTTAATCTGCCTTGATTACACGAGATTTCCCTATATACCTGTATCTCCTAAAGTAACATCTTGCATATAACAGAGTCTCAATAAATATTTGCTGGATGAATGAACGGGCTGGCTCACTAAAAGTTTGGTGTTGGGCAATATTTAAGGGAACTTAGCACAAAAATCTGACATTTTCATTGCTACTGTTTTCCTTCTGACAAGACACCATAGCTACCTGCCAAAAGATACATAGCCAGATCTCCCGTAGCTGAGGTGACTAGAACAGCCTTGGGAAATAAGCCAGAGAAATGAGATTCTAGCCCTGATTGTGCAGACAGTGGGCTGGGGACTCCAGATGAAAGCCCTCTGTGCGGTTTGTGGTGACAAGGTAAGCAACTTGACCACGTAGATGAGGTAAAATCCCTCTGCACCCCAGGTCTTAAGGCCAGCTTTTCATTTTTCTTTTTTTTGAGATGGAGTTTCACTCTTGTTGCCCAGGCTGGAGTGCAATGGCATGATCTTGGCTCACTGCAACCTCCACCTCCTGGGTTCAAATGATTCTCCTGCTTCAACCTCCCGAGTAGCTGTGAATACAGGGGCACGCCACCACGCCTGGCTAATTTTTGTATTTTTAGTAGAGAGGGGGTTTCGCCATGTTGACCAGGCTGGTCTCAAACTCCTGACCTCAGGCAATCCACCCACCTCGGCCTCCCAAAGGGCTGGGATTATAGGCGTGAGCCACCATGCTGGCCTTAGGCGCACTTTTCTTACAGTCTGTCTGGAGGTCAGTGACCAGATTTCTCTGGTGCTTTATTGGGAAAAAATGAATTTTCTGTTTTGGGATGGCTTAACAAATTTAAGAGGATTGGAAGGAATGTGAAGGTTCTATTCAACCCGAAATCATGTCAGAGGGCTCAAGTACTAGCTCCCTACATTGTCAGCTGAAAGAGAAGAGCTTTAGAGGCCTCAATTGTTCATTTCTGTTGTCATCTGATGGTTTTGACACACAAAAAAAGACAACTGGGAAAAATACTTTGTTTAGTAAGCTATAGAAATCTGTGCATTTTAGCTAAGTTGTCTAATTTTTTGGCAAACAACTGTTCATAGTATTCCCTTACAGTATCTTTTCTTTATTCCCTGTAAGTTTGGTAGTAATGTGCCCTCTTTCATTCCTGATTTTAGTAATTTGTGTCTTTTTTCTCTGTCATTCTAGTTAAAGGTTTGCCCATTTTGCTAATATTTTCAAAGAACCAACTTGTTTTGTTGATTTTCTCTATTGGTTTTCTGTTCTTCATTAATTTCTGTCCTGATCTTTATTTTTAAAATATTATTTTTGCCCTCACCTGTGAATGAGTGTTTAGTTGGGAATACAATTCTAACTTTACAGTTGCATCTTTTTTTTTTTCTTGAGACGGAGTCTCGCTGTGTTACCCAGGCTGGAGTGCAGTGGTGCAATCTCGGCTCACTGCGACCTCTGCCTCCTGGGTTCAAGTGATTCTTCTGCCTCAGCCTCCTGAATAGCTGGGATTACAGGTGCACGCCACCACGCCTGGCTAATTTTTGTATTTTTAGTAGAGACGGGGTTTCACCATGTTGGCCAGGCTGGTCTCAAACTCCTGACCTCAGGTGATCTGCCCACCTTGGCCTCCCAAAGTGCTGGGATTACAGGCATGTGCCACTGCGCCTGGCCTACGATTGCGTTTTAAAATTTCTATTCCTCTTGTCTTAAGGCATCTATTGTGGTTCAGGAAGTGTGTGCTGGTGGTTTGACTAACTTTCTTTGTAAGCAATCTCTTCAACTTCTGGTTGGTTTTGTTTAATTGACAAATAGTAATTGTACATATTTATGGGGTACAATGTGATGTCTGGATACCTGTACACATTGTGAAATGATCAGATCTGGGTAATTAGCATATCTATCATCTCAAATATATATATATGTATATAATATATACATATTCTTTTTTGCCTTGTCTTTGTCAGGCTATTCCTTTTTTTAAAAAAATCATTCCTTTGTAGTGGGAACATTTAAAATTCTTTTCACTATTTTAAAATATACAGTATTAACTATAGTCACCATACTGTGCAACGGAACACTAGAACTTATTCTTCCTAACTGTAACTTTATACCCATTGACCAATGTCTCCCCTTTTCCCTGTCAACCTCCCTCTACCCCCACCGTGTATCTGGCAACTCCCTTTCTATTCTCTACTTCTATGTTTGACTTTCTTAGATTCTACATACAAGTGAGATCATATGGTATTTGTCTCTCTATGCCTGGCTTATTTCACTTAACATAATGTTCTCTAAGTTCATTCAGGTTGTCATGAGTGACAGAATGTCCTGTTTTTGATTTAAAGCTGAATAGTATCCATTGTGTAAATGTACCACATTTTAAAAATCCATTCATCCGTTGATGGGCACTCAGGTTGTTTCCATATCTTGGCTATTGTGAACAGTGCTGCAATGAACATGTGAGTGCACATATCTCTTTGGCATACTGATTTCTTTCTTTTTGGAGACAGAGACTCGCTCTGTCACCCAGGCTGAAGTGCAGTGACACCATCTCGGCTCATTGCAACCTCTGCCTCCAGGGTTCAAGCGATTCTCATGCCTCAGCCACCCGAATAGCTGGGATTACAGGCGTGCAACACCGCGCCCAGCTAATTTTTGTATTTTTAGTAGAGACAGGTTTTCACCAGGTTGGCCAAGCTGGTTTGGAACTCCTGGCCTCCAGTGATCCACCCTTCTTGGCCTCCCAAAGTGCTGGGATTGCAGGTGTGAACCACCATGCCCCGCCCAGCATACTGATTTCAATTCCTTTGGGTATATACCCAGTAGTGGAATTGCTGGATCATATCTGGCTGTTTTGTTTTCACGATTCTGTCTTTCATGTTCTATAGTTTCACTATAGTTTATCTAGCAATGGATATGCTTTTCTTTTATTTTTTTGAGATGGAGTTTTGCTCTTGTTGCCTGGGCTGGAGTGCAATGGTGCAATCTTGGCTCACCATAACCTCCGCCTCCCGGGTACAAGCAATTCTCCTGCCTCAGCCTCCCGAGTAGCTGGGATTACAGGCATGCGCCACCACGCCTGGCTAATTTTGTATTTTTAGTAGAGACGGGGTTTCTCCATGTTGGTCAGGCTGGTCTCGAACTCCTGACCTCAGGTGATCTGCCCACCACGGCCTCCCAAAGTGCTGGAATTACAGGCGTGAGCCACTGCGCCCGGCCAGATATATTTTCTTTATCCCCAGTACGTTTCTTCAGTTAGACGATTCTTTTTCTTTCTTTTTTTTTTTTGAGATAAGGTCTCATTCTGTCACCCAGGCTGGAGTGCGGTGGTGCGATCACAGCTCACTGCATCCCCAACCTCCTGGCCTCAAGTGATCGTCCCACCTCAGCCTCCTGAATACCTGGGATACATGCATGTGCCACCATGCCTGGCTAATTTTTTATTTCTTTTGTAGAGACAGGGTTTCACCATGTTGCCCATGCTGGTCTAAAACTCCTGAGCTCAAGTGATCCACCCAACTTGGCCTCCCAAAGTGCTGGGATTACAGGTATAAGCCACCACACTGGCACGTATCTTTCATTCTGGAAAATTCTCAGTCTTTGCATCTTCCATATTGTGTGCCACCCATTCCTTCTATTTTAACCTGCAGGAACTTCTCTCAGACACATGTTGGACCTGCTCATTCTCTCTGGTCTCTTCTCTTCCATAGGTCCTATTTATACCTCTTTGTGCTGCAATCTAATGGACCGCATTGGTTTCCACAAGGCTCTGGAACTTTCACCAGTCTGGGTCAATCTTTATGTTAATTTTTCAGCTTGTGGCCCTTCAGCATGCTGGTAACAAAAATTCAGGCTACACACGTCTATCTGTATGTGGCCCAGGCTTGGGGATTTTTCATGGATGTCTTTTTCGCCCTATCCATTTCCCTGGTCAAACACCACATTTCCCTGCGGCCGCCCCAGCATGATTGGCAGGGGTTCTCTAGTCCCCTTCCAGCTTCCAGCTCTCTTCATGCAGGAGACTCAGCTGTAGCAATCCTGCACTTCGCAGGGGCTCAGGCTGTGTATGTCCTGGCCCTACCTGGAATGAAACCAGAATCCTGGGAGCTGTGCTAGTACCACTCAGCTTCCCTTTCCTTCTTGTAACAAATATTAACCTTCTCCCCTCCCCCACTCCCCTCTCCTTTCTTCCCTGGTAAGTTTGTTATAGCTGATAAACCTACACTGACATATTACCCAGAGTCCATAGTTTACATCAGGGTTCACTCTTAGTGTACATTCCGTGGGATCAGACAGATTCATAATGACATGTATTCACCATTACAGCATCACAGTGAATAGCTCCGCTGCCCTAAAAATCCTTTGTTTCTGCCCATTCATCTCTCGTCTCTCTCTCCACAACTGCTGATCCTTTTTTCTCCGAGACGGAGTTTTTCTCTTGTCGCCCAGGCTGGAGTGCAATGGCGTGATCTCAGCTCACTACAACCTCTGCCTCCTGCCTCAAGCGATTCTCCTGCCTCAGCTTCCCGAGTAGCTGGGATTACAGGTGCCCACCACCACACCCAGCTAATTTTTGTACTTTTAATAGAGACGGGGTTTTACCATGTTGGCCAGGCTGGTCTCGAACTCCTGACCTCATGATCCACCCACCTCGGCCTCCCAAAGTGCTGGGACTGCAGGTGTGAGCCACTGCGCCCGACCAAACTGCTGATCCTTTCACTATCTCCACGGTTTTGCCTTTTCCGGAATGTTATACGTTGGAGTCATATATAGCCTTTCCAGATTGGCTTTTTCCAATTTAGTAATATACATTAAAGTTCCTCTGTGTCTTTCCATGACTTGATAGCTCATTTCCTTTTAGTGCTGAATAATATTCCACTGTCCAGGTGCAGTTTGTCCATTCACCTACTGAAGCACATCTTGGATGCTTCCAAGTTTTGGAAACGATGAATACAGCTGCTATGAATGTCCGTGTGCAGGCTTTTGTGTGGACATGAGTTTTCATCCCCTTTGGGTAAACACCAAGGAGTATGACTGCTGCTCCATATGATAAGATTATGTATGTGGTTTTGTAATCCTGTTTAATTTTATTAAGAACTCTCTTCTCAAGTGGCTGTACCAGTTCCTGCAGCTCTGCAACCTCACCAGCATATGGCGTGGTTAAGTGTTGTGGATTTTGGCTATTCTACCAGGTATGGAATGGGTGCCTTGTTTTAATTTGTGGTTCCCTAAGGAGATATAATGTGGAGCATCTTTTCATACGTTTATTTACCATCTGTGCATCTTTGGCGATGTCTGTACAGGTCTATTGCCGATTTTTAAAAAAACTGACTAGTTTCTTTATTAAGTTTAAAGAGTTCTTTGTATATTTTGGATAACAATCCTTGATCAGATGTGTATTCTGCAAATATTTTCTTTCAGTCTGTGGCTTTTCTTCTCAAGCTCTTGATGTTCCTCATTTTTTGAAAAAAAGAAAACTCTAGGCAGGAAAAGTTACTAAGTAACTCAGCTAGCCATAGAGCCAGAAAGAAAAAACAGGGTCTTCTCTAATAATCCCAAACCTCTAGAGAAATTAATTTCAGGCCCAAATTTTAAGGTTTTAAAATATATAGTCATTTCTAAAATTCCTTTTTCACATCATTCAACAAAATGCTGCCCAAGTAAAAAGGACCCTGTCACACCGTACAGCAGTCCCTCCTTTCCATGGTTTCATTTTCTGAGGTTTCAGTTGCCCTTGGTCAGCCAAAGTCCAAAACTATTAAATGGAAAATTCCAGAAATTCATGTTATAAATTGCAAACTGTTCTGAGTAGTGTGATGAAACTTCACGTTGTCCCACTCCATCCCCCGTGAACATGAATCATGTCTGTCCAGAGTATCCACACCGGTGATGCTACACATTAGTCACTTAATAGACATCCTGAGTTTCAGATTCAAATAACATAGTACCGTATAGGATTCAGTACTATCTGAGGTTTCAGGCAACTGCTGGGGGTATTCAAATGTATTCCCCATGGATAAGAGACTACTGCACAGAAATGAGGTTCTTTCTAGAATGAGTTCAGGAAGCACAGAGTTTCTAAATAAATAGGGAAACTGTAGTATTCTAAAGAAATGCAGTGCTTAAGTGAGCAGCTAGGTGCTTTGGGAAGGTACTTAAAATTTTATTTTTAATTTTTTGGATACATAGTAGTGGTACATATTTATAGTATACATGTGATATTCTGATACAAGCATATGATGTGTAAGAATCAAATCAGGGTAACTGGGCTATCACTTCAAACATTTATCTTTTTTTTTTTTTTGAGACAGAATCTTGCTCTGTCACCCAGGCTGGAGTGAGTTGGCACAATCTCGGCTCACTGCAACCTCTGCCTCCTGGGTTCAAGCAATCCTCCTGCTTTAGTCTCCTGAGTAGCTGGGACTATAGGCACACACCACCAAGCCTGGCCGATTTTTATATTTTGTAGAGTCAAGGTCTTCCCATGTTGCCCAGCTGGTCTTGAAGTCCTGAGCTCAAATGATCCACCTACCTCAGCCTCCCAAAGTGCTGGGATTATAGGTGTGAGCCACGGCACCCGGCTCATTTATCATTTCTTTGTGTTAGGAACATTCCAATTCCACTCCTCTATTTTGAAATGTACAATAAATTTTTGTTAACTATAGTTGCTCTACTGTGCCACTGAACTACTAGATCTTATTCCTTCTAATGGGATTTTTGTACCCAGGGAAGGTATTTCAATGGTGACAGACACCCCGTGAGGTATATGTAAAAAAGGGCAAGCGTTAAAATAGTGGAGCGGTGGGGAGGCTGCCCTTGCAAGTGGACACACTCTGGCTCTCACTTAGGGTAAAAGAAATTGTCTGATGGGAGAAAGAGAGCTAAAAACCACACACAGACACACACACACACACACACACACACACACACACACACACACAAAGTGCCTCATCTGTCTGAGAAGTGAGGTGGCTACTGTTTTTTTCAATAAGTCTTCTTACCCAGCTGATGATGAAATTACCTGGCTACTAACACTGGAGTTGCAACTTACAAGCAGAGTAATGAGTGTTTCTAGGAAGTGCTGCAGCTCTCTGAAGAAAAAGAGTTACATCAATATAATAATAAATAAACAACATTATTTCAAACACAACTACAAATTTATACAAAGTTGTTTTTATTTCCCACCCCATGACCCAATCATTTGGCATTAAAACCGAAAAACGAGGCAAGAAAACCAAGAATAAAAAGTGAAGAAATTTTTGTATTATAATGTATTCAACCATTTGTTCTGATTATCTAAGAGAAAAAAAGTATTAGGAAATCCAACTTCAACAGAAAAATTCAAAACGCTTCCAAGGAAAATCAGAAAACTGATCTGCTTAGCCAGAGACCAGTGGTTCACAGTGTTTGATTCTGTGGTTTTTAAATTCCAGGTCCTTGTCTCACCCTAATGTCCCACACTCCAAATGAAACCAGCAGTGCACCAACAATACCCATCCCTCCTCAACCTCGGCTGGGCACCGCAACAAACCAAAAACATTCTTGGTTTTCTTGTTTTAAGGAAATCTTTTTTCTTTTTTTCTATATGCTAATCTTCTCTATATCATTTTAATTTTAGTATATGTGCTGCTGAAGTGAGCACATTTTACGGAGTTTTAAGCTAAAGTTTCTTTTCTCACACATTGTCATATAAAAGGGGTATTTCTGCTTTGTCCCCTCCCTGCCATCATACCAAAAAATAAATAAGTACATAAATACAAATTAGAAAAGCTTAAATAAGACCGGTTTTTAAAACCCAATAAAGCAAGATGAGACAGAACTAGGCCCGAAGGGACTGGGAGAAGATTCTAAAATGGAGAGGGGGGAAAAAAAACCAGAAAAAAACGGGTTTCCAAAAACACTGAAACCCATGGTATGTGATAACTTTCTAACCATCTGGACTTTGGTAGGAGTGTCACGTTTTCCAAAGCTGACTTCTGGAAATCTTAACCTGGATTCAGAAAAATTCCAGCAAAGTGAGCCAACAGCCAGGAAGCGGTTATTTTGCAAGAGAAAGGGGGTAATTCCATTTACAAACATATATAAATAGAAATAAAGGCCACACACCTGGGAGAAAAGTTCACTAAAAACTCCCACCCCAACTTGAACTTTCCTAGCTGCTAGATTTTTTCTGCCTGTTAAAAAACTAAAAATTACTGAAGATCAGGCACAAAGAGCAAAAGAGCATGTGTATATTTGGGGAAGAAATCGTCATGGTATGCTGGAAAGTTACTGAAATCCACGGAAAAGGCTTCATCTGCACTCTTTCAAGAGGCCAAGGGAAGCCATTTTCGAATCCAACTCAAGTCACAGTCGTCATCAATTCAATCCCCAGAGAGGATTTAGTCAGCAAGGGCCGACCTATGCCACAAACTGATTTTACTACACGCCTTGCACACCTGCCAGTAATAGCAATATCTACTTGAAAACTTTGCTTCACAGACCTTCCACTGCCTTTCCCAGTTGCCTGAGTAATTCTCTTCAGGCAACTTGCAATGACTTAATTATCATCTCTGGCTCCAGAAATGGGAACCACTTAGTTGGCACAGCTTAGAAGTATAATGGCTGCTTCTGCTGGTTTCTGCAGCTCATGTTGGCTTTTTTTTTTTTTTTTTGAGACAGAGTCTTGCTTTGTCAACAGGCTGGAGTGCAGTGGCGTGATCTCGGCTCACTGCAACCTCCACCTCCCGGGTTCAAGCGATTCTCCTGCCTTAGCCTCCTGAGTAGCTGGGACTACAGGCGTGCACCGCCACACCCGGCTAATTTTTTTGTATTTTAGTAGAGACGGGGTTTCACCATGTTGGCCAGGATGGTCTTGATCTCCTGACCTCATGATCCACCCGCCTCGGCCTCCCAAAGTGCTTGGATTACAGGTGTGAACCACCGCACCCGGTCTGGAGGTCTTAATGGTCCCCCAGAGTCACCCGCTCCACCTGCAGAGTGGCAGTACCACCGTAACTTGCTCTACACAGGCAACAAGGCCATTTTCAGCTGTTACTCAGAAACTTGCTTCTTGGTGATATTAGGTTTAAAAGACAAGAAAGAAATCTTATTCTACAGGGTTGGAGAAAGGGAAAATTATAACACAAAAGCCCACTTCAGTCTCTGTTGATTCTGCAAGAGTCACAGCTGAGTTCTGAGGCCGCCTTTCTTCTCACCAGCCCATCTCCAAGCTGTGCAGTCACAGGAAGAACAGGTTCTCGCACAGCTGGATGGCTGGTTCATGATGCAAGATGTGTCCTGACAGGAAAGCTAGCTTGTGGGCATACTTGCAAGGAGCTGGAACTCTGATGGTGCCAGGCCAATTCCAGTACATGTGGCACAGTTTGAAAGTCAGCCTGTAGGCCAAGAAGAAAATATAATTCTCATCATCCCCCACCTTCAATTTGTGGCATGCAATACAATACAATAGTCACGGGGATATGACACAGAGCACACCTTCCTGAAAACTGGGGAGCAGAGGAATACATGATGCAGCTTTTTAGAATCACTATTTTTAAATGGACTTGTTTTTATTCCCACTATTCATAAGTCAGACGACATGGGTAAATCTTCTCAATTGAGGCATTTCCCTGTTTTTTTTTTGTTGTTGTTGTTTTTTGTTTTGTTTTTTTTTTTTGACAGAGTCTTGCTCTGTTGCCCAGGCTGGAGTGCAATGGCACAATCTCTGCTCACTGCAACCTCCTCCTCCTGGATTCAAGTGATTCTCCCAACTCAGCCTCCCGAGTAGCTGGGATTATAGGCATGCGCCACCACACCCAGCTAATTTTTCTATTTTTAGTAGAGACAGGGTTTTGCCATGTTGGTCAGGCTGGTCTCGAACTCCTGGCCTCAGGTGATCCGCCTGCCTCAGCCTCCCAAAGTGCTGGGATTATAGGCGTGAGCCACCGCACCCAGCCTCCTGTTTTTATACGAAAACAACACAAAGAGAAAATATTTCTTGTTTACAAGAAAAGGCTGGAGAAAGGTAAGTACCCTAGTGGAGTATTTATATAATCTGAACTCAACGGCACTGGGTCTCAAGTCTGGCTGTATGTCATAATCGCCTGGAACAGATTTAAAAAATACAGATGCCTCAGAATAGTTGGGGGGAAGCCTGGCATCAATATTTTTTAAAGCTCTTTAAGTAAAAGTAATTTTAATATAAAACCAGGATTTCCAATCTCTCCTCAAAAAGACACCATAATTGTCAAAGATATGAAGAAAAGTCAAGAGGTAAATATATTTTGGGGTGAACAGTGAGCCCATCTTAGCTAGCAGGCCAGAATTATTTAAGAAAGAGAAAGAGTAAGTTACTGATGGGCCCACCTCTGCATATGATCAGGGCTCAGGTTTGCGGTGTTGAGAACACAGACATAATGCGTAGGAATGCCACAGCCCTGCCGTACATGATGGGCAAGAAGATAGAAATCCACCCTAGGAAGGAAAACCATAAATCAGTGAAATGGTCGGATTCAGCCAGACAGAGCTGGCAAAGATCCTGGAGATCGTTCTAGCTCCTTCAACTAAAGCTCAGAGAGCTCAAATGACTGGATCAAGGACACAGAGGCCAGACCAGGATTAGAACCCAGGTCTCCTGACTCAAGAGGCTACTGAAGAATGGTGGTAACAGGCTGGGTGCAGTGACTCATGCCTGTAATCCTAGCACTTTGGAAGGCTGAGGCAGGCAGATTGCTTGAGCCCAGGAGATCGAGACCAGTCTGGGCAACATGGCAAGACCCTGTCTCTACAAAAAATACAAAAATTAGTTGGGCATGGTGGCATACGCCTATTGTCCCAGCTACTCAGGAGGCTGAGGTGGGAGGATCACCTGGGCCTAAGCAGGTTGAGGCTGCAGTGAGCTGAGATCACATCATTGCACTCCACCCTGGACAACAAAGCGAGACCCTGCCTCAAAAAAAAAAAAAAAAAAAAAAAAAAAAGTGGTAGAAACTCCCTTATCTTCCTGTAGAAGTTAAGCATACGCTATCTTAGCAAAACAAGGTATGTTCAACTTTTCACTTAAGAGGTAAAAGCTTTCTTGTTTTTAAATCTTTTTTGTTTCGTTTTGAGACAGAGTCTCTCTCTGTTGCCCAGGCTGGATTACAGTGGACTTACTGCAACCTCCGCCTCCTAGGTTCAAGCGATTCTCCTGTCTCAGCCTCCCGAGTAGCTGGCATTACAGGCACACACCATCACACCTGGTTAATTTCTGTTATTTACAGTAGACAGGGTTTCACCATGTTGGCCAGGCTGGTATTGAACTCCTGACCTCAGGTGATCTAACTGCCTCAGCCTCCCAAAGCGTTGGGATTACAGACGTGAGCCACCATGCCAGGCCCTTAAATATTTTTTAAACCTTCATTCTTTTAACGGTAGCCTCTCTGAGATTCTAGTCCACAACTCTCCAGGAAACCTCCCCATTCCAATACTCAGGAAAGTGACAACATCTCCAACTTATTCTTCCTCCAATACTACATATTTTGCTCACTTACCACTCACAGCTTGTTATTGTATGATCTACCACAGTTCCAGGAGTGGGAGTTACAAAGTTCTGAGGAGCAGCCAGATATAGATTAGTACTGATTTTCTTCTGAACTACAAACACCACCATCTTGGGCTGATAATTCTCAAAAGCTTCAAAACACTTCTGTAGTTGAGGAATCTCATAGTTGGCAACTGTCTTCAGTTGGCCATCAGACACTCCATCACGGTACACCACAATCTTCTCTGGTAGACAGTGGTTCACCTGAAATGACAGCGAGGATGTGGTGACTCACAGAGCCCTCAGGCTACGGACCACAGTCAGTGAGAGGCCCACTCGCATTGTGTAGCCTGGAATCATGGCAGATCCTTTTGCAGTTAGTGCCAAAGCTACTGTGCCTAGAGGGCAGGGAAAAAAAGCTTCTAATCATTTCTAGACTTCCTTGGGGTAGTAAAACACGCCTGGTGCAGCAAAGGTGTTATAAAACATGAAAGCAAAACATGCAAGTTATGAGTCACATGCATACGGCTTATCCACAAACAATGCAAACAAAGTTCAAAGGAATGCTGGGAAAACTGCAGGCTGAATCAATTTTCCTTCTACTTGGATTTAACACTAATAACTGTCGGGGCAAAGAATAAGGTAAAGTGTTAGAGAAATTCTAACATATGACCACATATGCCACAGATCCGCTGCCATCAGATTTTTACCTACTGGAAATATCCCAAGTTGCTGACAAGTGAAACGTCCCTTTACTAAATATTACCCTACAGTCTGGTATGGTGTAAAACATACAGTAAACATACAGTAAAACATTTTTACTGTAACTAAGTAATTAGCAAACAGCTAGCTATGTGAATTGTCTATGGGTCCAAATTAAATTAAATGCTTGCTTGAAGCAATTTGAAGAATAATTTTTCCCCCATTTAGGGAATATAATTGTGTTCTAGTTGTGTTCAACTTCAATAATTCAAGAAGGGCCAGGCACGGTGGCTCACGCCTGTCATCCCAGCATGTTGGGAGGCCAAGGCGGGTGGATCACCTGAGGTCAGGAGTTCAAGACCAGCCTGGCCAACATGCTGAAACCCTGTTTCTACTAAAGATACAAAAATTACACAGGCATGGTGGCACATGCCTCTAATCCCAGCTACCTGGGAGGCTGAGGCAGGAAAATCACTTGAACTCATGGGGTGGAGGTTGCAGCAAGCTGAGATTGTGCCACTACACTCCAGCCTGGGCAACAAAATTCAAGAGGGTAAGTTCACTTCAACTTAAAATGGAAGTTCCCTTTAAAAGTGCTTTAGTTTAATTCAGTTTTGATTCTAGTGGAGTGTGGTTCATTCTAAGTTTGTGTTCATACTTACCCTCAAAAACCTAAATTATGGGCTGGACACGGTGGGTCACGCCTGTAATCCCAGCACTCTCAGAGGCCGAGGTGGGTGGATCACCTGAGGTCAGAAGTTCAAGACCACCCTGGCCAACATGGTGAAACCCTCGTCTCTACTAAAAATACAAAAATTAGCCAGGTGTGGTGGTGCACACCTGTAGTCCCAGCTATTCAGGAGGCTGAGGCAGGAGAATTGCTTGAACCTGGGAGGTGGAGGTTGCAGTGAGCCAAGATTGCACCACTGCACTCCAGCCTGGGTGACAGAGTGAGACTCCGTCTCAAAACAAAAAACAAAAAAACAAAAAAAAAACACCAAAAAAACCTAAATTATGAATTAGGTTTAGATATAAATTATATATATATATATATATATATATATATATATATATATATATGTATGTATGCACTGTTCCTTACAGGTTACTCTACATGAAAATGTGATTTCCAAGAATACTTTAAAAAAATAAGCACTTAGAATCCCTTTAAAAAGTTGAGTTTCAATTTGTTTTTTTTTTTAAGAATTGAGGTCTCACTCTGTTGCTCAGGTTAGACTGCAGTGGTGTAATCATAGCCACTGCAGCTTCAAACTCCCAAGCTCAAGAGATCCTCCTGCCTCAGCCTGTCAAGTAGCTGGAACTACAGGTGCTTGTCACTACGCCAGTTAATTAATTAATTATTTTTTTTTGAAACAGAGTCTCGCTCTGTTGCCCAGGCTGAAGTGCAGTGATGCAATCTTGACTTACTGAAATCTCTGCCACCCAGGCTCATGCAATTCTTGGTCCTCAGCCTCTCAAGTAGCTGGGACTAGCTGGGACTACAGGTGTGCACCACCATGCCTGGCTAATTTTTGTATTCTTAGTAGAGATGGGGTTTTGCCACGTAGGGCAGGCTGGTCTCAAACTCCTGACCTCAGGTCATCCGCCTACCTTGGCCTCCCAAAGTACTGGGACTACAAGCGTTAGCCACTGCGCCCAGCCTAATTTTATTTAAAAACATTTTTTAGAGACAGGGTCTCACTATGTTGCCCAGGCTGGTCAAACTCTCAGCCTCAAGTAATCCTCCTCCCTCAGCCTCCCAAAGTGCTGAGGTTACAGGAATGAGCCACCACTTCTGGCCCAGAATTTCAAATATTAATGACCCCTTTTCCTAAGAAGCCTCAAGCACTACATTTACAAGTATGTAATTCATCTTCACAGTCTCAGATTGCACCAGTTTGTGGTACTTTTTATTTATTTTTTTGAGATGGGGTCTCATGCTCTTGCCGAGGCTGCAGTACAGTGGCACCATCTCTGCTCACTGCAACCTCCACCTCCCAGGCTCAAGCCATCCCTCCTGACTCAGCCTCCTGAGTAGCTGGGACTACAAGTTTGTGTCACCATGCCTAGCTAACTTTTGTATTTTTTGTAGAGATGGAGGTTTCACCATGTTGCCTGGGCTAGTCTCGAACTCCTGGACTCAGTGATCTGCCTGCCTTGGCCTCCCAAAGTGCTGAGATCACAGGTGTGAGATACCATACCTGGCCTGTAGTACCCTTAAAAAAATTTTTTTTGGCTTTCCAGCATCTACTCCATCTTTTCTCAGTAATAGCACTTGAGTTTCCTCCTGCCCCCAACAAGATATAGTCTGGTGGGACTATTAGTCAACGTGCCCTAGCCCAACCCAAGGTTTCCCAACCTGTCAGCTCTACTGACATTTGTGGGTAGATAATTCTTCATCCTAGAGGGCTGTCCTGTGCACTGCAGAATCTACATTTAGCATCATCCGTGGCCTCTATTCAGTAAATGCCAGGAGCAACCTCTCACCCTTATGACTAAAAACGCCTTTATATATCACCCACTGGGAGGACAAAATTGCTCCCAGTTGAGAACCACTTCACTAACCAAAGGATGTGTAGACGACTCGAGCCACACCAACAGACTGCTCCTCCCTTGCTTCCATCTTGAGTAGAGAATGCAAAACAGTGGAGTTTGGCCCTTCAATGGCAGTGCCTTTTCAGGCCCCTGCTTCTGAAACCCCAGGAGTTAGCCTGAATCATGCCCATTTACCAGCCTGGGGCTCCACCTTCTCACCAATCCTCTGAGCCTCTGTACGATCCTGCCAATTTCTATTCTGCTCAAGTTACCAGTTCCTGTTAATTCCCAAAGACTCCTAACTAACTCGCTGTGTTAAAAGGCAGGTGACCCAGGACCTCAGATCTGGAAGAAACCCTCATTTGACAGACAAGGAAACAGACAGTACAGTGGATTTGGGGTCAGGAGACCTGGGACTGAGTCTGACTCTGCTACTCCTTTAGCTGTGACCTTCAAGACTCAATTTCTTCAGTTGAAAAGTGAAGAAAAATGATCATCTCACCTTCTTCTCAGGGTTGTTAAAAGGGATAAAGTAAAATTTATATATATATATATATATATATATACACACACACATATATTGTACACAAAAGTTGAGACCGAGCTAGATCAAGGATATACAGATATTCCGAAGCACAAAGAAGGGACTTAATAAATCAATGGAGTGAAAAATAGAAGGCCGGGTGCAGTGTGGCTCACGCCCGTAATCCCAGCACTTTGGGAGGCTGAGGCAGGCGGATGACTTGAGGTCAGGAGGTTGAGACCAGCCTGGGCAACATGGTGAAACCCCGTCTCTACTAAAAATACAAAAAATAAGCCAGGCCTGGTGGCGTGCATTGAACCCGGGGGGCAGAGGTTGCAGTGAGCAGAGTTTGTGCCTCTGCACTCCAGCCTGGGTGACAGAGTGAGATCCCATCTCAAAAAAAAAAAAAAAGAAAAAAGAAAAATAGAAATCAAATTTGACTTTGGTAACTACTGGCATCACCTCCTTCTTTAACATTTGCCAACTAACCACTGAGTTCAAGGCACCACACTCAGCCCTAGGTAGGCCTCCAACAGAACCGAAAGGAATCAAGGAGCTGAAAAATCTAAAAATAATCAACAATGTTAAGCTGTCTAGGTCATCTAGTCTATTTTCTTCATTTTGTAAGTTATAAAACTATGATTGAGGGATGAGTCAGAATATAGGACAAATCACAAGGCTGAAACATAACTCTTAAATGTGTTTTTCTTTCTTTTGAGACAGGGTCTTGCTCTGTCACTCAACCTTCTGGGCTCAAGCGATCCTCCTGCCTCAGCCTCCTGAGCAGCTGGGACTATAAGCATAGCTGGGACTACAGGGATGTGCCATCAAGCCCGGCTAATTTTTTTATTTATAGTAGAGACGAAGTCTCAATATGTTGCCCAGGTTGGAACTCCTAAATGTATGTTATAAAAACCACTTCAGTACTCAGTAGATACTTGAAACAGTAAGTAATGAATGTTCTCGAAAGCAACACTGTGTTTATTAATTTTAGTATCCCTTAGCACTGCGCAGAGGGGCAAGGGTCAGTTAGGCAAAAAATATCTGCTGAGTGTTTGACATGTTTTTATGTGTGGCTCCATTCATTCACGGAACAAATACTTCACATCCACTAGATATGAGCCACTGCACTTATCTCAGAAAATTAAAACATTATTATTTTTGAGATGGAGTCTCGCTCAGTCACCCAGGCTAGAGTGCAATGGTGTGATCTCGGCTCACTGCAACCTCCGCCTCCCGGGTTCAAGCGATTCTCCTGCCTCGGCCCCCGAGTAGCTGGGATTACAGACACCCGCCATCATGCCCGGCTAATTTTTGTATTTTTAGTAGAGATGGGGTTTCGCCATGTTGCCCAGGCTTGTCTCGAACTCCTGACCTCAAGTGATGTGCCTCACTGTCTCAGCCTCCAAAAGTGCTGGGATTACAGGCGTGGGCCACTGTGCTCAGCTAAAACATTATTTTAATACTATCCAGATCCTCATGGAACTCAAATTAAAAAGGGGAGGCAGACGCATAAATGCCCTCAATATATTATAAATAACATAATAAAGATATAAATGCTATGGCAACAGAGGAGTGTAAGAGATTTGCTCCCTGGAGGGAGAAATGTATCAGGAAAAGGCATGAAGAATGAGTCTGCCAGGAGTGGTGGCTCACACCTGTAATCCCAGCACTTTGGGAGGCCGAGGTGGGCGGATCACCTGAGGTCAGGAGTTTGAGACCAGCCTGGCCAACACAGTGAAACCCCGTCTCTACTAAAAATACAAAAATTAGCCAGGCATGCTGGCAGGCGCCTGTAATCCCGGATACTCAGGAGGCTGAGGTAGGAGAACAGCTTGAACCCGAGAGGCGGAGGCTGCAGTGAGGCAAGGTCATGCCACTGCACTCCAGCCTAGGCAACAGAGCAGGACTCCGTCTCAAATAAAAAAAAAAAAAAAAAAAAAAAAGGCCAGGCACAGTGGCTCACGCCTGTAATCCCAGCACTTTGGGAGGCTGAGGCGAGCAGATCACAAGGTCAGGAGATTGAGACCATCCTGGCTAACATGGTGAAGCCCCATCTCTACTAAAAAAATACAAAAATATTAGCTGGGTGTGGTGGCGGGCACCTGTAGTCCCAGCTACTCGGGAGGCTGAGGCAGGAGAATGGCGTGAGCCCGGGAAGGGGAGCTTGCACAGTGAGCCGAGAGCACACCACTGCAGTCCAGCCTGGGTGACAGAGTGAGACTCTGTCTCAAAAAAAAAAAAAAAAATTATGTTAATGTGCTGAATTTGCTACTTTTTTTTTTTTTTTTTTGAGACAACGTCTTGCTCTGTTGCCCAGGCTGGAGTAAAATGGTGTGATGATGGCTCATGCAGTCTGAACTTCCTGAACTCAAGCAATCCTCTTACCTCAGCCTCCTGAGTAGCTGAGACTACAGGCATATACTACCATACCCAGCTAACTTAAAAATTTTTTTATACATATGAGGTCTATGTTGTCCAGGCTGGTCTTGAACTCCTGGGCTCAAGTGCTCCTCCTACCTCGTCCTCCCAGTGTTGGGATTACAGCCACGAGCGGCTATGCCCAACTAAAAATTTTCCTTAGAGATGGATCTTGCTATGTTGCCCAAGCTGGTCTCAAACACCTGAACTCAGAAGATCCTGCCACCTCAGCCTCCTGAGTAGCTGCGCCTACAGGCATGCACCACTATGCCTGGCTTATTGTTATTTCTAAGTAAATTAATAAACATTGAAATTTTTACCTTCTAATATGCTAATTATTGACAGATATGTATCCATATAAATAAAAACTCTTTGGGGCCTTCAATAATATTTAAGAATATAAAGGGGCCCTAATATCAAAAATTTTGAGAACTCCTGAACTAGAGCTACAAATCTAAATACAGATATTAAATAAATCACATGTGAGCTTAAGACTGTCTGGGAGGCTTCAGGTGGTGAACCATGAATTCTGAGAAGCCCTACAACTCAGGACAACTGGAAAAGCTGGGCAAAATATGAAAACATGTAGTTTGCGAAGGCCTTAGATGCATCCCAGCATCAGAGGAGGAAGGATGGGGCCCAGGGGAATCAGCCAAGCATGCGAAGGCATTCTTCCCTGGCAGGGCTGCTGATTCCACCACGGGAACTAAAAAGCTGTGAGGTGGAGGAGTGCTTTTTATTTTGAACAGCTTTATTGAAATATAGTTCGAAATACCATAAAACTCATCCTTTTATTTACTTTACTATTATTATTTTTAGAGACAAGGTCTCACTGCGTTGCCCAGGCCTGAGTGCAGTGGTGTGATCAAAGCTCACTGCAGCCTTGAACTCCTGGCCTCAAGCAATACTCCCACTTTGGCCTCCCAAAGCTCTGGGATTACAGATGTGAGCCAGCACGCCTGGCCAAACTCACCCACTTAAACTATACAATTAAATGGTTTTTTATTACTTTCAGAATTTTGAAACCATCACCACTATCTAATTTTAGAACATATTGATCACCCCAAAAGATTTTAATCCCATACCCATTGGCAGTCAGTCCCCCAGTGCCTCCTTCCTTTGACTCCTAGAACCTACTAATGCGCTTTGTCTCCATGGGTTGGACTATACTAGACAAATAAAATCATAAACTTTTTTATGTTTAAATAAATTTCACTAAACATAACGTTTTCACAGTTCATCCATGTTGCAGTACGTCTCAGTCCTTCGTTCCTTATTGCAGAATAGTATTCCATTATATGCATATGTCACATTTTGTTTGTCCATTCATCAATTTGTGGACATTTGTGGGTTTTTAAAATTATTTCATTATATTTTTGAGACAGAGTCTTGCTCTGTCACCCAGGCTGGAGTGCAGTGGTGCAATCTCAGCTCACTGCCACCTCTGCCTCCTGGGTTCAAGCAATTCTCCTGCCTCAGCCTCCCTAGTAGCTGGGATTACAGGTGCACACCACCATGCCCAGCTAATTGTTTTTGTATTTTTACTAGAGATGCGGTTTCGCCATGTTGCCCAGGCTGGTCTCAAATCCCTGGCCTCAAGTGATCCGCCCGCCTCAGCCTCCCAAAGTGCTGGGATTATAGGTGTGAGCCACTGCGCCTGGCCCATTTGTATTATTTCAATTTCTGGCCATTATGAATAATGTTGCTACGAACATTTGTGTATAAGTTTTTGTGTGGACTTGTGTTTTCAATTTTCTTGGGTACACAATGTTTTCAATTTTCTTGGGTACATACCTAGGACTAGAATTCTTGGGTCATGTGGTAAATCTGTTTAACTTTGATTTTTATTTTATTTTACATATGGAGTCTATGTTGCCCTGGCTGGAGTATTGTGGCTATTCACAGGTGTGATCCTCACACACTATAGCCTTAAACTCCCGGGTTCAAGTGACTCTTCCACCTTATCTTTAAGAGTAGCTGGGACCACAGGCTTGCACCTCTAAGCCCGGCATGCTTAACTTTTTAAGGAACTGCCCAACTGTTTTCCAAAGTAGCTGCATTATTTTATTTTACAATCCCATTAGCAATCTATGAAGTTTCCAATTTCTCCATGTCCTGGACAAGACTTTTATTACTTGTCTTTTAAATTTTATTTTAATCTTTTCTTTAAAAGGGTCTTACTCTGTCACCAAGGCTGGAGTGCAGCGGCACAATCACGGCTCACTGCAGCCTTGACCTCCCAGGCTCAAGTCATCTTCCCACTTCAGCCTCTTGAGTAGCTGGGACCACAGATGTGTACCATCATGACCAGATAATTTATTTTCATTTTTTATTTTTGTAGAGATAGGGGTCTCCCTATGTGGCCCAGGCAGTCTCAAACTCCTGGGCTCAAGCAATCCTCCCACCTTGACCTCACAAAGAGCTGGGATTACAGGCATGAGCCATCATACCTGGCCTCTTTTAAATTTTAGATATCCTCGTGCATACGATATGGTACCTCATTGTGTGTCTGTATGTTTTTAAATTAAGAGACTATTTTTTAGAGGAATCTTCAAGTTTACAAAAAAACCTGAGGCAATAGAACAGAGTTCCCATATGCCCTCCTCCCACCTCCTATCCCCACCCATAAACAGTTTCCCCTTTTGTTATCATATTGCATTATGGTACACTTGTTACAACTGATGACCAAATGTTGATACATTAACTATACTCCACAGTTTACATATTTGTGTTGTACAGTTCTATGGGTTTTGACAAATGCATAATGTTATCTAGTTTCAGTGCCCTAAAAATCCTGTGTGCCACCTATTCCTTTCTCCCCCTTCCAAACCCTTGACAGCCACTTTTTACTGTCACCACATTTATGCATTCTCTAGAATGCCATTTATCATACAGTTAGAATCATATAAAGCCTTTTCAGATTACCATCTTTCACTGAGCAATATGTATTTAAGATTCCTCCATGTCTTTTCATGGCTTAATGGCTTATTTCTTTTAACACAATATTCCATTGTCTGGATGCATGACAGTTTATCCACTCACCTACTGAAGGACATCTCTGTTTCCAAGTTCTGGCAGTAATGAATAAAGTTGCTACAAACATTCACGTGCAAGTTTTTGTGTGGGCGTAAGTTTTCAACTTATTTGGGAAAATATCAAGGAGCGTGATTGTTGGTATGTGTATGTAAGTGCACATTTAGTTTAGTAATTAGCTGCCAAACTGTTTTGCAAAGTGGTTGTACCATTTCCATTCTCACCAGCCGTGAGTGAGCGTTCCTATGGCTCTACACCCTCACCAGCATTTGGCATTACCAGTTTTTGAATTCTGATCATTTATAGGTGTGTAGTGGTATCTGATTGTTTTAATTTGCAGTTCCCTAAGGGCAAGTGATATTGAACACCTGCTTGTATGCTAATTTGCCATCTATCTATCTACCTATTTTTGAGACGGAGTCTCGCTCTGTCACCCAGGCTGAAGTGCAGTGGTACAATCTCAGCTCACTGCAACCTCTGCCTCCTTGGTTCAAGCAGTTCTCCTGCCTCAGCCTCCTGAGTAGCTAGGATTACAGGCATGCGCCACCATGCCCAGCTAATTTTTTTTTTTTTGAGATGGAGTTTCGCTCTTGCTGCCCAGGCTGGAGTGCAATGGCACAATCTCGGCTCACTGCAGCCTCTGCCTCCCAAGTTCAAATGATTCTCCTGCCTCAGCCTTCCCGAGTAGCTGCGATTACAGGCATGCGCCACCAGGATTACAGGATTACAGTCATGCGCCACCACACCCGGCTAATTTTGTATTTTTAGTAGAGACGGGGTTTCTCCATGTTGGTCAGGTTGGTCTTGAACTCCCTACCTCAGGTGATCAGCCCACCTCGGCCCCTCCCAAAGTGCTGGGATTACAGGTGTGAGCCACTGCGCCTGGCCTAAGTTTTGTATTTTTAGTAGAGACGGGGTTTCACCACATTGGTCAGGCTGGTCTCAAACTCCTGGCCTCATGATCTGCCCGCTTTGGCCTCCCAGAGTGCTGGGATTACAGATGTGAGCCACCACACCCGGCCTTATCTACCTATACTCTTTGGTGAGATGTCTGTTGAGGTATTTTGCTCATTTTCTAATTGGGTTGTTCATTTTCTTACTGTTGAGTTTTAAGAGTTCTTTGTATACTTTATAACAGTCCTTTATCAGATACGTGTTTTGCAAATATTTCTTCCTAATCATGGCTTGTTGTTTCATCCTCTTATCAGTGTTTCCCAGAAGTTTTTAAATTCGATGAATTTTCGATGAAAAATTTATCAATTTTTCCTTTCATGGGCTTTTGGCATCATATCTAAAAAGTAATCACCAAACCCAAAGCCACCTAGATTTTCTATGTTATCTTCTGTAAGTTTTAGAGTTTTGCATTTTAAACATAGGTCTATAATTTGTTTTAATTTTTGCAAAACGTGTATGGTCTATGCATAGAGTTTTTTGCATGCAGGTGGCCACTTGTTCCAGCACCATTTTTTGAAAAGATTGTTTTTCCACTGACTTGCCTTTGTTCCTTTATCAAAAATCACTTGACTATATTTGTGTGTGTCTATTTCTGGGCTTTCTATTCTGTTCCACTTATCTATCCGGCTGTCTTTTCATCAATACCACACAATCTTGATTACCGTAGTTTTTACAGTAAGTCTTTGAGCTAGGCAGTATCAGACCTCTGCAGTACTGTGTTGGCTATCCTTAAACCTTAAAATCAAGTTTGTTGATATCCACAAAATAACTTGCTGGGATTTTGAGTAAGATTGCATTGAATCTAGCAATCAAATTTGGGAAGAATTGATATCCTAACGATATTGAGTCTTCTTATCAATGAACACAGAATCTCTCTCCATTTTTAAGATATTCTTTGATTTTTTTCATCAGTTTTGTAGTTTTCCATGTGTACATCTTGTATGTAATTTGTTAGGCTGAAACCAAAGTACTCCATTTTTTTCTGCTGACACAAATATTTATTGTCTAAAATTTCAAATTCCGATTGTTCACTGCTGGTACACAGGAACAAAATTCACCTTTTTTTTTTTTTTTTTTACAGCAATAGACTTTTGTACAACTGTGTATCCTACAACCTTGCAATTCTCACTTACTAGTTCTAGCAGGGTTTTTTGTTGTTGGTTTCTTGGGATTTTCTACATAGACAATCATGCTATCTGCAAACAAAGATAGTTTTGTTTTCTCCTTCCCAATCTTCAAGGCTTTAATTTCCTTTGCTTACTGCATTAGCTAGGACTTCCAGGAGGAAGCTGATTAATAGTAGTGATAAAGAGTATCTTTATAGCATCTATCTTAGGGGGAAAGCATCTAGTTTTTCACGAGTATGTTAGCTGTAGCTTTTTTGTAGATTTTAAAAATCAAATTGATGAAGTTCCCCTCTATTCCTAACGTGCTGGGAATCTTTTTTTTTTTTTTTTTTGAGACGGAGTTTCGCTGTTGTTGCCCAGGCTGGAGTGCAATGGCACAATCCTGGTTCACCGCAACCTTCGCCTCCCAGGTTTAAGCGATTCTCCTGCCTCAGCCTCCTGAGTAGCTGGGATTACAGGTATGCACCACCATGCCCAGCTAATTTTGTATTTTTAGTAGAGACGGGGTTTCTCCATGTTGGTCAGGCTGGTCTTGAACTCCTGACCTCAGGTGATCCGCCCACCTCAGCCTCCCAAAGTGCCGGAATTACAGGCGTGAGCCACCGCGCCTGGACTTTTTTTTTTTTTTAAATCATGAATGAGTGTCAAATGATTTTTCTTCATCTACTAAAGTAGTCATATGATTCTTCTTCTTTAGCCTGTTGATGGATGGATTGCATTAACTGATTTTTGACTGTTGAACCAGCCTTGCATAACCGGAATAAAACCCACTTGGTTGTTTCACTAGTTTCCTAGGGCTGCTGTAACAAAGTACCATGAACTGGGTGGCTCAAAACAACAAAGATTTATTCTCTGATGGTTCCCAAGGTATCAGCAGAGCCATGCTTCCTCTAAAGGCTCTATGAACAAATCTTTGCTAGGGTGCAGTGGTTCATGCCTATAACCCCAGCACTTTGGGAGGGCAAGGCGGGAGAACTGCTTGAATTCGGGAGTTCCAGACCAGCTTAAGCAACACTGTGAGACCCTGTCTTTACAAAAAAATTAAAAAATTAGCCAGAAATGGTGGCGCATTCCTGTAGACCCAGCTACTTGGGAGGCGGAGGTGGGAGAATTGCTTCAGCCTGGGAGGTAGTGAGCTACGATCGTGCCACTGCACTCCAGCCTGGGTGACACAGAAAGACTCTATGTCTCAGAAAAAAAAGAAATAAAAAGAAAATAAAAAAAATCTTTCCTTGTCTGTTCAAGCTTCTGGTGGTTCAATCCTTGGTGTTTCTGGCTTGCAGATACATTCTTCCAATCTCTGCCTCCTCCTTCCTGTTGCCTTCTCCCGTCTGTGTCTGCATCTTCAATGGTGTTCTCCCTATGTCTCTGTGTCCTATCCCTGTCTTCTTAAGGTAATACCCATCATTGGCTTAGGACCCACTCTAATCTGGTCTTACCTCATCTTAATTTGATTACATCTACAAAGACCCTGCTTCCAAATATGGTCACATTCACAGGTTCCAGGTGGACATAAATCTGGAGAAGCTTTATTTAACGTAGTATGGTCTCAATGCAGAATTCTTTTTATAGGCCAGGCGTGGTGGCTCACGCCTGTAATTCCAGCACTTCGGGAGGCCGAGGCAGGCAGATCACCCGAGGTCGGGAGTTCAAGACCAGCCTGACCATCACGGAGAAACCCCGTCTCTACTAAAAATACAAAAAAAAATTAGCCAGGCATGGTGGCACATGTCTGTAATCCCAGCTACTTGGGAGGCTGAGGCAGGAGAATCACTTGATCCCGGGAGGCGGAGGTTGCGGTGAGCTGAGATTGCACCATTGCACTTCAGCCTGGGCAACAAGAGTGAAACTCCTTCTCAAAAAAAAAAAAAAAAAAAAAAAATTCTTTTTATACAGTTAGGTTCACTCTGCTAATGTTTTGTTGAAGATTTTTGCATCTATGTGCATGACAAACATCGGTCTGTAGTTTTCCTTTCTTGCAATGTCTTTATCTGGTTTTGCTGTGAAGTGGCATCTCATGGCTTTGATTCCCAATTCCCTAATGACAAATGATATTTAGCTTCTTTTCATGTGTTTACTATTTGTATACACTCTTTGAAGAAATGTCTAGTCAAAATGTTTGCCCATTTTAAAATTGGGTTGTGTTTTTCTTGAGTTGTAAGACTTCTTTGCATATTCTGGATACTAGAGCCTTTCCATATGTATCGGATGAATGACTTCTCCCATTCTATGCGTTGTCTTTTAACTTTCTTAATAGTGTCTTTTGAAGCACAAAAGGTTTTAATTTTCATCAAATCGATTTTTTCTTTGGCTGCTTTTGCTTCCAGCGTCATATCTAATCAACTGGTGCCTAATATTAATAGACATGGTCACAAAGATTTACATCTATGTTGCCGTCTACAGTTGCATAGTTTTTTTTTTGAGATGGAGTCTCACTCTGTCACCAGGCTGGAGTGCAGTGGTGTGATCTCGGCTCACCAAAACCTCCGACTCCCTGGTTCAAGTGATTCTCCTGCCTCAGCCTCCTGAGTAGCTGGGATTACAGGCGCGGGCCACCACGCCCAGCTAATTTTTTTGTATTTTTAGTAGAGATGGGGTTTCACCATGTTGCCCAGGATGGTCTCCATCTCCTGATCTCGTGATCTGCCCACCTCGGCCTCCCAAAGTGCTGGGATTACAGGCATGAGCCACCACACTTGGCCAGTTTTATAGTTTTAATTCTTACATTTAGGTCTTTGATCCATTTGGAGTTACTTTTTGTATACTGTGTAAAGAAGAGCTTCAATGTCATTCTTGTGTATGTGGATATCCAGTAGTCCCAGTACCATTTCTTGAAAACATTACTCTTTCCCCCACCGAATGGCAAACTTGCTGAAAATCAGTTAACCGGCCATAGGCCCATGGGTTTATTTTTGGACTCTCATTTTTACTTCACTGATTTGAGTCTATCTCAATGCTACTGACCACACTGTCTTGTTTATCTCTGTAACAAGTTCTGAAATTAGAAACTGTGAGTGTATTTTTTAAAGATGTTCTTGACTATTCTATGTTTTTGCATTTCCATATGAATTTGAGTATCTGCTTATCCACTCCTGCAAAAAAAAATGTTACTTTTGCAATGGATCTTGTTACATTTGTAGATTCACATTTGGAGAGTTAAACCCAAAGTACTCCATTGTTTTCTGCTAATGCATAAATGTTGTTATTTATTTATTTATTTATTTATTTATTTATTTTTGAGATGGAGTCTCGCCGTCACCCAGGCTGGAGTGCAGTGACGTGATGTTGGCTCACAGCAACCTCTGCCTCCTGGGTTCAAGTGATTCTCCTGTCTCAGCCTCCCTATTAGCTGGGATTACAGGCACGCACCACCACACCCAGCTGTTCTTTTGCGTTTTTAGTAGAGATGGGGTTTTGCCATGTTGGCCAGGCTGGTCTCAAACTCTTGACCTCAGGTGATCCGCCCACCTCGGTCTTCTAAAGTGCTAAGATTACAGGCGTGAGCCACCCCACCTGGCCATTAATGTTTTTAATTCCAAATTCCAATTGTTCATTGCTAGCACACAGGAAAGGAACTGACTTTTAAGTGATTGACTTTTGTGTAATAACTGTGTATCCTGCAACCTTGCAATTCTTGCTTACTAGTTCTGGCAGGTTTGTGTTGTCGTTGTTGTTGGTTCCCTGGGATTTTCTACATAATCACACAAACTGCAAAGATAGTTTTCTTTTCTCCTTCCCAATCTTCTCAATATTGCGTCTTAACAATATTGTCTTCCAATCCATAAACATGAGTTGTCTCTCCTTTTATTTAGATCTTCAATTTCTTTTTTTTTTTGAGATGGAGTCTCGCTCTTGTCACACAGGCTGTAGCAGTGGCATGATCTTGGCTCACTGCAACCTCCATCTCCTGGGTTCAAGCAATTCTCCTTCCTCAGCCTCCCGAGTAGTTGGGATTACAGGCATGCACCACCACACCCTGCTAATACTTGTACTTTTAGTAGAGACGGGGTTTTGCCATGTTGGCGAGGCTGGTCTCGAACTCCAGCCTCAGGTGATCCACCTGCTTCAGCCTCCCAAAGTGCTAGGATTACAGGTGCGAGTCACTGCGCCTGGCCTAGATCTTCAATTTCTTTAACAATGCTCTGTCATTTCCAGTATGTCTAGTATTATTATTTATTTATTATTAATTTTTTTTTTGAGACAGAGTTTTGCTCTTATTGCCCAGGCTGGAGTGCAATGGCACAATCTCAGCTTACTGCAACCTCCGCCTCCCAGGTACAAGCTATTCTCCTGTCTCATCTCCCAAGTACCTCGGATTACAGGCATGCACCACCACGCCCAGCTATTTTTTTTTTTTAATTTAGTAGAGACAGGGTTTCACCATGTTAGTCAGGCTGGTCCAAACTCCTGACCTCAGGTGATCCACCCGCCTCAGCCTCCCAAAGTGCTGGGATTACAGGTGTGTGCCACTGTGCCTGGCCTAGTATCTTTTTTGTTAAAAATTTTTCCTACATAGCTTATTTTTATGCAATCATAAATTGTTTTCTGAATTCCATTTTTGGATTGATCATTCTAGTGTACAGAAATACAACTGATTATTATATACTGATCTTGTATCTTCAACCTTGCTGCCCTCATTTATTAGCTCTAATTGTGTGTGTGTGTGTACTCTTCAGGATTTTCTAATGTAAGTTCTTTTCATTGTTCTACTTCTTTTCCAGTCTGGATCCTTCTGCAGTTTTCTTGAGATGGCTTTGTTTGGCTTTGGTATCAGAGTAATACTGACTTCATAGTATAAGGAGGGAAGTGTTCCTCCTATTTTGGGGGAAGTTTGTAAAAACAAAGCAAAACAAAACTGGTTTCTTATTTAAATATAAGGTCTAATTCTGAAATTTCAGTATTTTCTGTATTTCCAGGGATGTGTCCATTTAGGGCATCTAATTTGTTGGTACATAGTTGTTCACATTATTCTCTTATAATCCCTGTATTTCTGTTAGGTCAGTGGCAATGTTACCGCTCTCATTCCTGATCTTAGTTATCAGATTCTTCTATTTTTCATAAATGGTCTAAACTAAAGGTTGTCAACTTTATCTCCTCAAAGAACCAACTTTTGGCTTCATTGATTCTATTGTTTTTCTAGTCTCCATTTCATTTATTTATGCTCTAATATCTACTAATATTATTTTTAGAGACAGGGTCTCACTATGTTACCCAAGCAGGTCTTGAACTCCTGGGCTCAAGTGATCTCCCACTGCAGCCTCCGGAGTACCTGTAACTACAAGCATGAGCCACTGCACCCAGCTCTCTAATGTCTATTATTTCCTTCCTTCTCCTTGTTTTGGGTTTAGTCTGTTGTTCTTTTCTGGTTCCTTAAGGTGGAAGCTGGTTTGTTTTTAGATTCTTCTTATTTTAAAATACGTTGTTTATAATAAATTTTCCTCTAAGTACTGTTTTACTTACATCCATAAATTTTGATATGTTGTATTTTTGTTTTCAGTCATCTCCCAAGTATTTCCTAATTTCCTTTTAATTTCTTCTTTGAGCCACTGGTTATTTTGGAGCCAGTCTTGTTTAATTTCCATGTATTTGTGAATTTCCCAAATTTCCTTTATTTCAAATTTCATTCTATTGTGGGTTGAGAATGTATTTTGAAAGATTAAAGTCATTTTTAAATGTATTGAGCCTTGTTTTATAGCCTATCATGGAGAAGAGTGCCACGTACATTAAGAAGAATGTGTATGTGGTTGCTGGGTGGAGTGTTTTATAGATGTCTGTTAGGTATAGTCAGACTACAGTGTTGTGCAAATCTTCCATTTCCTTGTTGATCTTACATCTAATTATTATATCTAAGACTGAAAATAAAGTTTTGAAGTCTCAAACTATTGCTGAATTGCCTATTTCTCCCTTTAATTATATTAGTTTTTGTTTCCTCTGTTTTTGGGTCTCTACTGTTAGGTGCACATATATTGTAATTGTTATGTCTTTCTCATGGATTGACTCTTTTGCTATTGTAATATGTCACTCCTTGTCTCTACTTACAAGTGTTATCTAAAAGTCTGTTTTGTCTGAGGCCGGGCACAGTGGCTCACGCCTGTAATCCCACCACTTTGGGAGGCAGAGGCAGGTGGATCACTTGAAGCCAGAAGTTCCAGACTAGCCTGGCCAACATGGTGAAACACTGCCTCTACTAAAAATACAACAACAACAACAAATTTAGCTGGGTGTGGTAGTGTACACCTGTAATCCCAGCTATTCGGGAGGCCGAGGCAGCAGAATTACTTGAACCCAGGAGGCAGACGCTGCAGTGAGCCGAGATCATGCCACTGCACTCCAGCCTGAGCAACAGAGCAAGACTGCGTCTCAAAAAAAAAAAAAAAAAAAAAAGTCTATTTTGTCTGATATTAATATAGCTATTTCATTTCTTTTGGTTACAGTATAGCTATACTAGGCAGAAAGATTGCTTGAGACCAGGAGCTTGAGGCTGCAGTGAGCTATGTATGATCACACCACTGCACTCTAGCATGAGCAACAGAGATCCTGTCTCAAGAAAAAATAAATAGGACTACAGACATGACCACCACGTCTACCACATTTTTCTTTGAATTTGTACTGTCAACCACTATCTTTTGAGTGTTGAGTTCAGTTACACTTAATGTAATTATTAATAAGGTGATCTTTACATCTACCTTTTTGCTATTTGTTCTTCTATCCCTTACATCTTTGTCATTCTTCTATTTTTCCATTACTCTGTATTTTGTATTAAATAGCTATTTTCCAGTTACTGTTATAATTCTCTTTTTTACTATATATCTTGGAGTTATTTTCTTAGTGGTCCTTTTGGGGATTAAAATTGACTTTTTTTTTTTTTTTTTGAGACAAGAGTCTCACTCTGTCACCCAGGCTAGAGTGCAGTGGCACAATGTTGGCTCGCTGCAACCTCCATCTCCTGGGTTCAAGTGATTTCCCTGCCTCAGCCTCCTGAGTAGCTGGGATTACAGGTGCCCGCCACCACGCCCACCTAATTTTTGAATTTTTAGCAGAGATGAGGTTTCACTATGTTGGCCAGGCTGGTCTCGAACTCCTGACCTCATGATCTGCCTGCCTTGGCCTCCCAAAGTGCTGGGATTACAGGTGTGAGCCACCGCACCTGGCTAAAATTAACATCTTAATTTACAATAATCTTGCCAGGCACAGTAGCTTATACCTGTAATCCCAGTGCTTTGGGAGGCTGAGGTAAGAGAATCACCTAAGCCCAGGAGTTGGAGACAGTTGGGCTTGACCCAACTTGACCCAACAGCCTGACCAACATGGAGAAACCCCGTCTCTACTAAAAATACATTAGTATTGACAAAGTCATGTACCTATCAAAATTACCAAATTTTGTATTTTCTTTTCTTTTTTTTTTTTTGAGACGGACTCTCACTGTCACCCAGGCTGGAGTGCAGTGGCAAGATCTTGGCTCACTGCAACCTCCGCCTCCTAGGTTCAAGCGATTCTCCTGCCTCAGTCTCCCGAGTAGCTGGGGCTATAGGCGCCCGCCATGATGCCCAGCTAATTTTTGTATTTTTAGTAGAGATGGGATTTCACTATAGGTGTGAGCCACCTGGCCCCAAATTTTGTATATAATCACCCCAAAAAGAACCTTGTACCCAGGGCCAGGCGTGGTGTCTCACGCCTGTAATTCCAGCACTTTGGGAGGCCAAGGAAGGTGGATCACCTAAGGTCAGGAGTTCGAGACTAGCCTGGCCAACATGATGAAACCCCATCTATACTAAAAATACAAAAAATTACCCAGGTGTGGTGGTGGGTGCCTGTAATCCAAGCTACTCAGGAGGCTGAGGCACAAGAATTGCTTGAACCCACAAGGCGGAGGTTGCAGTGAGCTGAGATCCTACCACTGCACTCCATCCAGCCTGGGCAACGAGTGAAAAAACTGTCTCCAAAAAAAAAAAAACACAAAAAAACTCTGTACCCATTAGTAGTTCCTCCTCATTCTTGCCCTTCCTCCTTATTCTCTGGAAACCACTAATCATCTGCCTCTGTGAATCTGAGCTATAATTCATATGCTACAATTCACCGAATTAAGGTTTTTTATTATATTCCTACATGTGTAACCACCACCATAGTCAATTTTATAACATTTTCATCACCTCACAAAGAAACCTCATACTTTTGAGTAATTATCACCCTATCCATACTCCAGTTCCCTCCTCGACCCCAGCCCCAGGCAACCACTAACCTTCTGGTTTCTATAGATGTTCGTGTTCTGAACATTTCTTATAAATGTTCAGAAACATTTTTTTTGTTTGTTTTTTGAGACAGAGTCTCGCTCTTGTTGCCCAGGCTGGAGTTGAATGGCGTGATATTGGCTCACCGCAACCTCTGCCTCCCGGGTTCAAGCGATTCTCCTGCCTCAGCCTCCCGACTAGCTAGGATTACAGGCATGTGCCACCATGCCTGGCTAATTTTGTTACTTTTAGTAGAGATGGGGTTTCTCCATGTTGGTCAGGCTGGTCTCGAACTCCTGACCTCAGGTGATCCGCCCTCCTCAGCCTCCCAAAGTGCTGGGATTACAGGCGTGAGCCACTGCGCCCAGCCCAGAAACATTTCTTCCATGTGATCTTTTGTGACTGGCTTCATTCACACAGCATGTTTTCAAGACTTAGGTATTGCTTGCTGTTGATCCTGTTTATTTACCTGTATTCTTCTTACATTAAATTTATTTTGTTTTTTCCTCTCATATCTTGATAGTTATACACTCTTTTATTCTTCCTTTCGTAGTTACCCTAGAGAGTACAACATCTATAGCATATCAAAGTGTAACGTAAATGAGTACTTTTACCTTTTCCTCAACAATTCAAAGACCTATGAATATCAGGACATCATTTACTTCTTCCTGATATATGCACTGTTGTCATAAATTTCAAATTATATGCACAGACAAATATATAGCCACATGACATTTTTTTCTTGTTTTAGATGGAATAGATTTAAATTTACCTTCATAATGGTCACTTATATTGTTACTTATTCCTTTAACCATTTCTAAACTTCTATCTGGGATCATGTTCCTTCTAGCTGAATAATGCTTTTTATATTTTCCTTCAGTGTAAGTCAGCTGGTGACAGTCTATTTTTTATTTGCCATGCAATGTCTTTTTTCACCTTCACTAGTGAAAGTTATTTTCAGTGGCTATGAGACTGAAGCTATGCTGGCAGTTACTTTCTTTTAGTGCTTTGTAGCTATTATATTATTATCTTGTGGCTTACGCTGTTTATTTTGATGTTAGCTATTAGTCCATATTGATCCTTTGAAGGAACCTCTTTTTAATTTTTCCTTGACTGTTCTTACTATATATATATTTATCTTTACCCTCAACAGTGTTATAATGTGCCTAGATGTGCTTTTCTTTTTATAAATCCTGCTTGAGATGTGTTGGGCTTTCTGAATCTATGGTTTGGGGTCTTCTAACAGTTTTGGAACATTCCTCACCATCGTCTTTTCAGATGTTTCTGCCTTCTTTAACCTCCTTCTGAGCCACTTCTTATGTACATATTATATTTTAACCTCCTATCTATTGGCCTGTTACAGTTTGATTATTTTTATTTTTGTTTTTGAGAGACAGAGTCTCACTGTGTAAGCCCAGGCTGGAGTGCAGTGGCACAATCTCAGCTCACTATAACCTCTGCCTGCCTCCCAGGTTCAAGCTGTTCTCGTGACTCAGCCTCCTGAGAAGCTGGGATTACAGGGGCGCAGCACCACACCTGGCTAATTTTTGTATTTTTAGTAGAGATGGGGTTTCACCATGTTGGCCAGTCTTGAACACCTGACTTCATAAGTGATCCACCTGCCTCAGCCTCCCAAAATGCTGCGATTACAGGCTAGTTTGATTATTTTCTGCTCACCTATCTTTCAGTTGACTCTTTCCAGCCTCAGCTATATCTAAGCTACTGTTATCCATTGTTAGGGGATGAATTATGCCCTCCGCAACATTCATATGTTGAAGTCCTAACCCCCAGTACCTCAGAATGTGACTGTTTTTTACACATAAGATCTTAAAAGAGGTACTTAAGGTTAAATGAGGTCATGGGGGTGGGCCCTAATCCAATATGACTGATGTCCTCATAAGAAGAGGAGATGAGGACACAGACACAAGGAAGACCAAGGCCCCCAAAAGAAACCGACTCTGCCAATTCTTTGAGCTTGGATTTCTGACTTCCGAAACTGTGAGGAAATAAATTTCTGTTGTGTAAGCCAGTTGCTGGTACTTTGTTATGTCATTTGTAGCAAACTAATACACCCATGTACTGAGTTTAATTTCAGTTACTGTAGTTTTCATTTCTAAAAATTCCAATTTTTTTCATGCTTTCTAATTCTTTGTTAAAATTCTTAATGTTGTATTTCATCTCTTTGAAGAATTTAGGTAAAAGTCATTTTTATTTTTATTTGCAACAGGGTCTCGCTCTGTTGAAAGAGGGAGTGCAGTAATGCGATCATGGCTCACTGCAACCTTGAACTCCTCGGGCTTTAGAAATTAAAGAAAATAAAATAGAAAACAAAAAAAAATAGAAATTAAAAATTTTAATTTCTTTTTTGTAGAGACGAGATCTCACTATGTTGAGCAGGCTGGTTGCAGACTCCTGGCCTCAAGCTATCCTCCTACCTTGGCTAAAAGTTACTTTTAAATGTGTCTGATCAATTATCTGAATCCTCTGTAGGTCAGAACTTTTTATTTTTTATTTTTATTTTTTTGAGACAGAGTCTCGCTCTGTAGCTTAGGCTGGACTGCATTGGCACAATCTTGGCTCACTGCAACCTCCACCTCCTGGGTTCAAGCAATTCTCCTCCCTCAGCCTCCTTAGTAGCTGGGATTACAGGAGTCCACCACCACACCAGGCTAATTTTTTCTATTTTTGGTAGAGACGGGGTTTCACCATGTTGGCCAGGCTGGTCTCGAACTCCTGACTTCAGGGGATCCACCCGCCTCAGCCTCCCAAAGTGCTGGGATTACAGGCGTGAGCCACCTCGTGCCCAGCTTAAATTTCCAGTTTTCAACAAAGAATTATGATGCTTGCCAAGAAATAGAAAAGTAGGACACGTATGCATGGGGAAAAAAAGTCAACAGAGACTGTCCTTGAGGAAGCCCAGACGTGGTCCTATAGACAGTCTTTATATCAACTATTTTTATTTATTTATTTATTTATTTATTTATTTATTTATTTATTTATTTTGAGACAGAGTCTCACTCTGTTGCCCAGGCTGGAGTGCAGTGGCATGATCTCGGCTCACTGCAACCTCCGCCTCCCAGGTTCAAGCAGTTCTCCTGCTTCAGCCTCCTGAGTAGCTGGGATTACAGGTGCCCGCCACTACGCCCAGCTAATGTGTGTATTTTTAGTAGAGATGGGGTTTCTCCATGTTGGTCAGGCTGGTCTCGAACCCCTGACCTCGTGATCCACCCGCCTCGGCCTCCCAAAGTACTGGGATTATAGGCGTGAGCCACCACGCCCGGCTATATCAACTATTTTAAATATTGTTCAAAGAACTAAAGGAAACCATGTCTTAAGACCTTAACGAAAGTATGAGAATGTGTCTCACCAAATAAAGACTATCAATAAAGGCACAGAAATTACAAGAAAGAACCAAATAGAAATTCAGGAGTGAGAAACTATGGTAACTGCAATGAAAAATTTACTAGAGGTGCTTAACAGCAGATTTGAGCAAGCAGAAGAAATAATTAGGAAACCAGAAACGATGTCAGTTGAGATTATATCCAGTATAAGAAAAAGAAATAAGAAAGAAAAATGAAGACAGCCTCTGAAACCTGGGAGATACCAACAAACACACCATCATATAAATATTTGCTGTCTCAAAAGGAGAAGAACAAGAGGAAGGGGCAAAAAGAATATCTGAGTAAATAATTAACACAAAAATTTCCCAAATTTGAGGAAAAACATTAACGGACACATCCCCAAAGCCTAAGGGACACCAAGCAGGATAAACTCAAAGCTGACCTGCAACATCAGCTATCCCCTGGGTCTCCAGCCTATTGGTTCATCCTGCAGATTTTGAACTTGCCAGCCTCCATAACTGTGTAAGCCTATTTGTTAAAATAAATCTATACACATGCTCACACCCTATCAGTCCAGTTTCTCTGGGGAATGCTAATACAGAATTAGCACCAAGAAAGTGGGAGAGAATAGAACTATACAGGAACAAAGTTTCTATATACTATTGCTACAGTCTGAATGTGTGTCCCTGCCAAATCTCATGTTGACATGTAATTCCCAATACTGGAGGTGGGGCATGGTGGGAGGTGTTTCGATTATAGGAGCAGATCCCTCAGGAATGGCTTGGGCCATCCCCTGGTGATAAGTGAGCTCTTGCTTTGAGTTTACACAAAGATTTGGTCACTTAAAATGTGTACCGCCTCTTCTTCTCTCTCACTTTCTCTCTCTCTCATTTACTCCTGCTTTCACCATGTGAAGTGCCTGCTTCTGCTTCACCTTCCACCATGACTGTAAGCTTCCTGAGGCCTCCCTAGCAGCTGAGTGGATGCCAGCATTATGCTTCGTGTAAAGCCTGCAGAACCATGAGCCAATTAAACCTCTTTTCTTTATAAATTATCCAGTCTCAGGTATCTTGTTACAGCAATGCAAGAATGGCCTGACACAACTATTAAAATTAATTTGGTATTAATCTGAACAAGACTGTTAAAAGTTAATATGCAGAAAAATCATCTGATAAAATCCAACACACTTTCATTATAAAAATACTCAGCAAATTAGGAGCAGAAACTTTCTTAACATGATAAAGGAAATTTATGAAAAACTCAGAGCTAACATCATATACAATGGTGAAAAACTGAAACCTTTGCCTCTACTATCAGGAAAAAGACAAAGATGCCTGATTTTAGCACTGCTATTCAATACCATAATAGAAATCCTAGCCATAACAATTAAGGAAGAAAAGGAAATAAACTAAGCAAATTAAGAAAGAAAAGGAAATAAAAAGAATTCAAACTGAAAAGAAAGAAGACTCCATTCCCATAAGCAAATGACATTATTCTGTATCTAGAAAATCCCAAAGAATTAAAAAAAAAAAAAAAAAAACGACTAGAGCTCATAACCACATTCAGAAAAGTTACAGGGTACATGATCAACACATAAAAACAGTTGTGTTTCTATATGCCAGCAATGAACAACCCAAAAATGAAATTAAAACTATTCCATTTACAATAGCATCCAAAAGAATAAAATAGCTAGGAATAAACTTCAACCAAACAGGTAAAGACTTATACATGGAAACTACAAAACACTGCTGAAAGAAATTTAAAAAGATCTAAATAAATAGAAAGACATCCTGTGTCCATATGCTGGAAGACAGTATTGTTAAGATGACAATACTCTTCAAAGTAATCTAGATATTCAATACAATCCCTATGAAAGTTTCAATGGCCTTTTTTTGCAGAAACAAAAAAACCTTCTCTCAAATTCATATACAATTCCAAGGGGGCACTGAATAGCAAAAACAATACTGAAAAAGAAAAATAAAGTTGGAAGACTCACACTCTCCAATTTCAAAACTTATTACAAAGCAACAATAATCAAAACAGTGTGTTACTGGCATAAAATGAGATGCACAGACCAATGGAATAGAATTAGCAGTCCAGAAATAAACCCAAACATCCATGACAATTGATTTTCAAGTAGGGTGCCAAGATTTCTCAATGGGGAATTCTCTCAACGAATGGTGCTATGACAAGTAGATATCCAGATGCGAAAGAATAAAACTGGACCCTTACCTCACTTTGTATAACTCAAATCAGTGACTTATATGTAAGAGTTAAAAAGTATAACATTGTTAGAAAAAAAAAACAGGGGACAAGCTTTTATGACCTTGGATTTGGCAATGAATTCTTAGATTGAGCACCAAAACCATAAGGAACAAAAGATACAATAGATAAATTGCATGTTATCAAAATTTAAAATTTTCGTGCAGCAGAGACCATTATCAAGCAAGTGAAAATCTAAAGAATGGGGGGAGATATTTGTAAATCATACATCAGATAAGAGTATAGTTTCCAGAATATTTTAAAAACTCCTACGACTCAACAACAAAACGACAAATAGCCCAATTTAAATGGGCAAAGGATTTGAATGACACAAACGAGCAACAAGCACATGAAGGATGTTCAACATCACTGGTCATTAAGAAACGCAAGTCAAAACCACAATGAGATACTTCACAACAGTGATGATTCAAGCCGGGCATGGTGATTCATGCCTGTAATCCCAGCACTTTGGGAGGCCAAGGTAGGCGGATCACCTGAGGTCGGGAGCTTGAGACCAGCCTGACCAACATGGAGAAACCCCGTCTCTACTAAAAATACAAAATTAGCTGGGCGTGGTGGTGCATGCCTGTAATCCCAGCTACTCAGGAGGCTGACGCAGGAGAATCGCTTCAACCCGGGAGGTGGAGGTTGTGGTGAGTCAAGATCGCGCCATTGCACTCCAGCCTGGGCAACAAGAGTGAAACTCCGTCTCAAAAAAAAAAAAAAACGAAACAAAAAACCCCACAAAAAACAGTGATGATTTAAAAAAACTGAAAAGGCCAGGCGTGGTGCCTCACTTTGGGAGGCTGAGCTGGGCGGATCACCTGAGGTCAGGAGTTCGAGACCAGCCTGGCCAACATGGTGAAACCCCATCTCTACTAAAAACAAAACAAAACAAAAATTAGCTGGGTGTGGTGGCGTGCACCTGGAATCCCCAGCTACTCAGGACGCTGAGACAGGACAATCTCTTGAACTTAGGAGGTGGAGGCTGCAGTAAGCCAAGATCGTGTCACTGCACGCCAGCCTGGGTGAGAGAGCAAGACTCTGTCTCAAAAAAAAAAAAAAAAAAAAAGTAAAAAAACAGAAAATAGCAATTGTTGGCAATTGTTTGGAGAAACTGAAAACTTCTGCATTACTGGTAGGAATGTAAAATGATGCTTGGCCACTGGGCAAAACAGCTTGGTGGTTCCTCTAAACGTTAAACACAGAACTACTATATGACCCTGTAATTTCACTCCTAGGTATATATCAAAAAGAACTGAAAATGGGAACTTAAACAAATACTTGTTCAGGAATGTTTACAGCAGCATTATTCACAATAGTCAAAATGTGAGAACAGCCCAAATGTTTATCAACAAGTGAAAGGATCAACAAATCGTGGAATAAATACAATGGAATATTATACAGCCACAAAAAGGAAAAAAGTATTAATATATGCTACAACACAGATAAACCTTGAAAACATGTTCAGTGAAGTAAGCTAAACACAAAAGGTCACACATTTTAAAATTACTCTACAATATAGGCAAAATAGACAAATCAGTAGAGACAAAAAGCAAATTAGATGTTACCAGAAATTAGGAGAAGGTGTGAATAAGGAATGATTATTTAATGGGCATGGGGTGTTTTTATGCGGTGATGAAAATGTTTTTAAACTAGAGATCCTCTTACCTCAGCCCCCCAAGTACCTGGGACTACAGGCATGTACCACCACGCCCAGCTAATTTTTCTATTTTTTATAGAGATGGGGGTTTCACCATGTTGCCCAGGCTGGTCTCATATTCCTGAGCTCAAGCAATCCACCTGCCTTGGCCTCCCAAAGTGCTGGGATTACAGACACGAGCCACTAAACCTCACCTATTTCACCTCAATTTTTTTTTTTTTTAAAGCAAGCAAGCAGGACATGTTGATGGCCAACAGTAAAACCTTCCAGGCTGGGAAGGCGAGGGGAACTCTGGGAGTGGATATCCCAGTTTCCTTGCTTGAGGAAGTCCATCTGGCTCCATGAAATGAGTAGACACTGGAGAACTACAGCAGTGCAGAGATAGGCTGAATCTATTCTACATGTTCCTCTTGAACCCTGTGAAGCACTATCAACAACTGTTCTTTCTGAACAAGAGAGTGCGGATGGCTATGGAGCAGATTCCCCAGCAGTAAGGCTCTGCACTTGGCTGGCAAGTTGGACTTACTCTGGTAGTCCCAGGAGGCTGTGACAGTGCCTGACATGAGCAGACACTTACTTACTACAGACTGGATTTTGCATACCTGCTGGTAGATGCAAATGCCCAAAATACTATGAAAGGACTAAAACAAGGCTGGGCGCGATGGGTCACACCTGTAATCCCAGCACTTTGGGAGGCTGAGGCAGGGAGATCACTTGAGGTCAGGAGTCTGAGACCAGGTTGGTCAACATGGTGAAATCCCATCTCTACTAAAAATACAAAAATTAGCTGGGTGTGGTGGCGCACGCTTGTAATCCCAGCTACTTGGCAGGCTGAGACAGGAGAATCACTTGAACCTGGGAGGTGGAGGTTGCAGTGAATGGAGATCACGTCTCTGCACTCCAGCCTGGGTGACAGAATGAGACTGTCTCAAAAAAAAAAAAAAAAAAAAAAGACTAAATCAAAAGATAATGCATCATTTTAGACCATGGAGTCCCATTTCTTCAAACCAAAGAACATACTTTCATCCTCACAGTAATGGTTTGATAGAGAATTAGAATGGGCATCTGAAACATCTGTTGTCTAAAGTGGAAGAAAGGAAAACCTGAAGGGCTGGCTTACACACTTTCAGGAGTGTGTGCTCACACTCAACAGGGCCAGAGCCTAGCAAACATCTCCACTAGGTAGATTTCTCCCCTTTTTCTGCTGAATCGAAGGAAGTGGAGTGGGCAGGATGCTATTGTGACTTTATAATTCTTCCCTGGGGGCAGGATGTGGTACAACTATACTTTTTTCTTTCTTTCCCACATGACCTCAACAGTCTTTTTTTCCTACCTGATGTAGTATTCCTACACTGTAGGTGCCAGAAGCTGGGATGACTTCTGTATTAGTCTGCTACGGCTGTCATACAAAACAAGCTGGCTTAAACAACAGAAACTTATTGTCTCACAGTTCTGGAGGCTAGAAGTTCAAAATCAAGGTGTTTACAGACCTTCTGAGGGTTGTAAAGAAAAAGATCTGTTCATGCCTCTCTCCTAGCTTCTGGGATTCTCAGGTGTCTCTTGGCTTACAGATAGGTGTTCTCCGTGTCTTCAGATTATTTTCCGTCTATGTGTGTCTGCCTCTGTGTCTAAATTTCCTCTCTTCATAAAAACATAGTCATATTGAAGCAGGGCCCATTCTAATGACCTCATTTTAATTTAATCATATGCAAAGACTTTATTTCCAAACAAGGTTACATTCACAGGTACTGGGGATTGGGACTTCATCTTCTTGGGAGCACAAACTCATAACAAGCTCTAAGCAAGAACTATACTTTTAAACCTTCATGTTAGAGTTCCTAAGGACCTGATGGGGGTGAACTGTACCTTCATTCCATCTGGCAAAACTGGGGTTCACAGGGAATGCAGTTATGTTGCCTAGTAGTAGAGAAAACCCACTAGTTCTGTACCTGTGTAACACTGCTCTATATGAATGGGAGTAGACTGAGTGGGAGACGTTTGCTAGGCTAGTATTGCTGCCGGCAGTCTAGATCAGCACAGTGGCCAAACTTAATGTCCCTTTCAAAAGTGGAAAGGTGGGGGTATAAATGGAGAGAAGGAAGAATGATATCTGAGGATTAGGGAAAGAATAAATGGTTATACAGTGAGCAAAATCCAATATTCCTTTTTTTTGAGACAAAGTCTTGCTTTGTCGCCCAGACTGGAGCGCAGTGGCGTGATCTTGGCACACTACAACCTTCACCTCCCAGGTTCAAGTGATTCTCCTGCCTCAGCCTCCCAAGTAGCTGAGATTACAGGTGCCCACCACCACGCCCAGCTAATTTTTGTATTTTTAGTAAAGACAGGGTTTCATCATGTTGGTCAGGCTGGTCTTGAACTCCTAACCTCAAGCCATCCACCCACCTCAGACTCCCAAAGTGCTGGGATTATAGGCATGAGCCACCAAGCCCAGCCCAAAATCCAATATTCTACTGGTGCCTTGGGAGAGGCTTAGAGCAAGATGTGATATTGTTTGTTAGCTCAACTAAATGGGATGCCTAAAGGGGTAAAGCCATGTTACTGAGAGGACTCCTGCTTTTGAAAACTGACAATGTAGAATGGAAGCCTGCAAACCTAAGTGGCACATATCTGGGAGACACTTTAATCATGCAGTATGATGATAATCTGGACTAATTATTTATGACTGAGTAGGACTCTAGTAATGTGCCAGTATCTTTGACTCTTACATTTCAGGTTATATCTACTATTGTACTATGAGATGAAATAACACTAATATTGTTGGGAAGATTCAACTAACTCATTGTAAACAAGTCTTATGATGATGCTGATATTAATAATCAATTGTGTTGGGAAATTAAGTTAAAGACACTCCAAGATGTAACACTGATTTAAAAAAAATGACTGGGCTGGGCACTGTGGCTCACGCCTATAATCCCAGCACTTTGGGAAGCTGAAGTGGGTGGATCACGAGGTCAAGAGATCAAGACTGGCTGGGCGCGGTAGCTCATGCCTATAATCCCAGCACTTTGGGAGGCTGAGGCCGGCGGATCACGAGGTCAGGAGTTCGAGACCAGCCTGGCCAACATGGTGATACCCCGTCTCTACTAAAAATACAAAAATTAGCCAGGCATGGTGGCACACGCCTATAGTCCCAGCTACTCGGGAAGCTGAGGCAGAAGAATTGCTTGAACCCGGGAGGCGGAGGTTGCAGTGAGCCGAGAATGTGCCACTGCACTCCAGCCTGGGCGACAGAGCAAGACTCTGTCTCAAAAAAAAAAAAAAAAAAAAAAGATCAAGACTATCCTAGCCCTAGCCCACACAGTGAAACCCCGTCTCTACTGAAAATACAAAAATTAGCTGGGTGTGGTGGTGTGTGCCTGTGGTCCCAGCTACTCGGAAGGCTGAGGCAGAAGTGCTTGAACCGGGGAGGCGGAAGTTGCAGTGAGCCGAGATCATACCACTGCACTCCAGCCTGGCAACAGAGAGAGACTCTGCCTCAAACAACAACAACAACAACTGGCCTGGGGAAGGTGTCTGGCTCTTGAGATATGAGAGTAATCACAACCTGAGATAATTCTAAGAAAACGGTATTCAGCTGGGCACAGTGGCTCACGTCTGTAATCCCGGCACTTTGGGAGGCCAAGGCAGGCGGATCACTTAAGGTCAGGAGTTCGAGACAAGCCTGGCCAACACAGTGAAATCCCGTGTCTACTAAAAATACAAAACTGAGCTGGGTGTGGTGGCATGTGCCTGTAAAGGACAGGACAAAAAAGGACAGGACAAGGACAGGACAAGGAAAGGAAAGGACAGGACAGGACAAGATGGGATGGGACGGGACAGGACGGGACGGGACAGGACAGGGTATTCAGCTGGGCTCAGTGGCTCACAGCTATAATCCCAGCACTCTGGGACGCTGAGTAGGCGGATAGCTTGAGGCCAGGAGTTTGAGATCAGCCTCAGTTTGAGACCAGCCTGAGCAATATAGTGACCCTCTGTCTCTACAAAAAATACAAAAATTAGCTGGGTGTGGTGGTATGTGCCTGCAGTCCCAGCTACTTGGGAGGCTGAGGTGGGAGGATCCCTTGAGCCCAGGAGGTTGAGGCTGCAGTGAACCGAGACTGTGACTCTACACTCCAGCCCAGGCAACAGAGCAACCCTGTCTCAAAAAAAAAGGTGGGGGGGAGGGGCATGTATTCATCAAGGAAAAGCCTAGTTACAGAAAAAGGAGAAGAGCAAAATCAACTATTCAAGGAAAAGGATAAGAATATTTGGAAACATTTATGTAACACAGCTAGCAAGGCAAGACGTTGACAATGAGGGAAAACTGGATGAAGGATGTATGGGAACTCTATCCTCTAACCTATTTTGCAACTTTTATTCCAAAATAAAAAGTTTATTTACAAAAAAAAAAACCAAAACAGTATTTGGAAGCATTTTATTATTGCATGCGAGTCCAGAGGACAAGTGAGAGATTTAGAATGGAGAAAATGGGCTTTGGACTAGCGAGCCGTGATGCAAAATGGGGCTGAAAATGTGTAAGGCGGCAACTGTTCGGAGGTGTTGGAACTTCCGGTGGTTACTGCCATTCCTAGGGGAAGATATTAATAAAAATGGGGAGTCCAGAGGTAGTCAGAATCTTAGAACCCCAAAGCAAATTTGTTGAGGCTGCTGAGTCAGGATAAGCTCTGGGAGAGGCATGATCAAAATCGTTTATTTTTTATTTTATTTGTTTTAGAGGCAGGCTCTGTCAACCGGGCTGACATGATCATAGTTCACTGGAGCACTGGACTCCTAGGCTTAAGGGATCCTCCCACCTCAGCCTCCTGAAGAAGTGGGACTACAGGTGCATGCCACCAAGCCTGGCTTATTTTTTCAATTTTTTTGTAGAGATGAGGTCTTCATTTTGCAAAACAGTTTAAATACAAAGATTCCTTCCACTAGGTGCAGAACAACTGGGGAAATGGCAAAAGCTGGCATAGGACTAAGCCAATAATGAGGACCTGAAAGAAATGAAACCTTTTGGCCAGGCGCAGTGGCTCATGCCCGTAATCCCAGCACTTTGGGAAGCTGAGGTGGGAGGATCGCTTGAGCCCAGGAGTTCCAGACCAGCCTGGGCAAAATAGCAACACCTCATTTCTACTAAAAATTTTTAACAATTAGCCAGGCTTGGTGGCATATGCCTGTAGTCCCTGCTACTCTGGAGGATGAGGCAGAGCAAGAACCTGTCTCAAAAAAAAAAAAATTCTTTTGATTCAGAGAACATTTATATTCAGATGAGCCAGTTTTATTCTAGATTTAAAAACAAATTTATTTTTTCTTTGATCTGGTTCTACAGAATTTAATAAATACTACTTAAGTTCATAGTTCAGATAAAGAAACAGAGACCAAAACAAACTGTTAATTGACTTAGAATAGAATTGTGATACTAGAAATTCAACGTAAATCACCAGGAGTGTCAGCTTAGTAGTGTAAGAGATGGAAAAGGAATCAAGACAGTCCCTGTGCTTGCAGCAGACTGCACTTTTACAAAATAGCCACAGTGGCTAGGCACGGTGGCTCACGCCTATAATCCCAGCACTTTGAGAGGCTGAGGGGGGTGGATCACCTGAGGTCAGGAGTTTGAGACCAGCCTGGCCAACGTGGCAAAACCCCATCTCTACTAAAAATGCAAAAAAATTAGCCAGGCGTGGTGGCGGGCACCTGTAATCCCAGCTACATGGGAGGCTGAGGCAGGAGAATTGCTTGAACCCGGGAGGCGGAGGCTGCAGTGAGCCCAGATTGTGCCATTGCACTTCAGCCTGGGCAATAAGAGTGAAATTCCGTCTCAAAAAAAGAAGAAAAGAAAATGGCCACAGCAGGCCAGACATGGTGGCTCACACCTATAATCTCAGCACTTTGAGAGGCTGAGGCGGGCGGATCACTTGAGATTAAGAGTTCGAGACCAGCCCAGTCTGGCCAACATGGCAAAACCCCGTCTCTACTAAAAATAAAAAAAAAAATTACCTGGGTCTTGTGGCACATGCAGGTAATCCCAGCTACTCGGGAGGCTGAGGCAGTTGAATTGCTTGAATCCGGGAAGCAGACAGAGGTTGTGGTAAGCTGAGATTGCGCCACTGTACTCCAGCCTGGGTTACAGAGTGAGACTCCGTCTCAAAAAAAAAAAAAAAAAAAAAAGCCGGGCGCAGCAGCTCACACCTGTAATCCTAGCACTTTGGGAGGCTGAGAAGCGTGGATCATGAGGTCAGGAGTTCAAGACCAGCCTGGCCAAGACGCCGAAACCCTGTCTCTACTAAAAATACAAAAATTAGCCAGGTGTGGTGTCACATGCCTATAATCCCAGCTATTCAGGAGGCTGAGGCAGGAGAATCGCTTGAGCCTGGGAGGCAGAGGTTGCAGTGAGCCGAGATTGTGCCACTGCACTCCAGCCTGGGCAACCAGAGTGAGACCCTGTCTCAAAAAAAGAAAATAGCCACAGCAATATCTCTGGTGCCACATGTTCTTTCAGACCCTTGCCACCCTTGGATTAGAAGGTGGAATCAACTGCCCTCCCCTCAAAGCTGGGTGGGACTTTGTGACTCCTTGGACAATTAGAATGCAGCAGAAGTGATACTGCATTACTTCCACAGTTAAGGCATAAAATGCAGCATGACTTCCACCAGCACTCTGTCTTGTGGAACATTCAGGCTTTGAATCCAGCCAGCATGCAAGGAGGAGGCCCAAAGAGCCCATGTGAAAAGACCATACAACAAGGCCCACATGGAGAAATGGAGCCCTCGGCTGTGCCTTGTCCAGTTCCTGATTGTGAACATCAAACTTGCTCATTTCATGCCACTAAGTTTCAGGGTAATTTGCTACATAGCCATCCACAACCAGTGTTCAAGTAATTTACAACCCAGTGGGATGCATAAATAAGGATACAACCCAGTGGGATGGATAAATAACAAATATAAGGCAGCTTAAGAATGGAGCAGTGAGGGAAGAAGGGAAAAGTCTTCACAGATAGGTATTAGAAGACAGATCAAACTTCGAAGGAAAACAATTAGAACAACAACAAAAAGGAAAGTCTGGTAGAACTTGGTGACTCAGTAGCATAACATATGGACCTTGCTGGAGACAGACTTTAAAAAAAAATAACCTCTAATAACTGAACAGTATTAAAGTATTTGCAGGATGCTATAGGAAACATTATTCTATAAAGAGACAAGGTGGAGCCTTAGAGACTGAGTTCAATCATATGAAATTACGACATTTCTTGCTGCTTAGCCTCTATGCAAAGGTTAAGGTCTAACCCTGACCCTAAGAAATGAAAGGCACTTATCAGTGCTTCCTTTGATGTACTGGCCAAGGCAGAAATCAGTACCTTGCTTGCTCACTGTTCTAGATCCAGTATCAGCTTAATTATAGCAATCCTCCATGGTTAGCATTCTTTAGAGTTCGAGGGGTGATTTATAAGGAGGCATTTGTCTTGAACCAAAATGAAAAGAGCCAGCGCCTAATAAGTTATAAAAAGCTGAGTACACTCATAAGCTGCTTTAATTGCTGAAACTTATCCCCAACTTCCCCGATAAGGGCATGAAGATTATGTCTAGAGACATCAGGCTGACAACCTGAGAAAAAATTATTACTTACTAAACCAAATGAAAGCATTTAGCTCTTTAAGCTGATCTGTACAAGCTGAAGCCTGAAAGGAGGAGCTCTGAGCTGCCTGCTCAGTAGCAGCTGTTTAGGAGACTCACCTTTGATTTGAGATCCCTCTCACCACATCAGACTTCCTGTAAAGTGTTCACATAGGTAATCCTTAAAATCCCAGAAACTTGGCCAGGCGCGGTGGCTCACAGCTGTAATCCCAACACTTTGGGAGGCCCAGGCAGGCAGATCACCTGAGGTCAGGAGTTCGAAACCAGCCTGGCCAACATGGTGAAACCACATCTCTACTAAAAATACAGAAATTAACTGGACGTGCTGGTGCACGCCTGTAATCCCAGCTACTTGGAAGGCTGAGGCAGGAGAACCGCTTGAACCCAGGAGGCAGAGGTTGCAGTGAACAGAGATCGCACCACTGCACTCCAACCTGGGCGACAAGAGTGAGACTCTGTCTCAAAAAAAAAAATAAAAAAACAAAAAACCCCAGAAGCCTGAGAATTTCTGTTCTCCTCACCTCATAAAACTTTTTTAAGGAGCCCACGAGGCATAGCTTCAGGCTGTCCACAATCTCCTGATGCGGCATCTGGAACACCACCCGGGAATACCATTTTGTGAGGGTGCTAGGGTCAGGGTGAGCAGAGAGACAGAGAAAGGAAGATGAACAAATGCTCGAAGGGGACAGCCTATGGCTTATGTCAGTAACACAGGTTTCTCTACCAATCAATCCAAAAACAAGTACCTAGAAAATGCATTTATATGTAAGAACAAGCAGTGACATGGAGAAAAGACATATTTAAGTCATATGCAGAACATAAAAACGTGTAATTGTGGCAGAGCGCGGTGGCTCATGCCTGTAATCTCAGCACTTTGGGAGGCCAAGGTGGACAGATCACGAGGTCAGGAGATCGAGACCATCCTGGCTAACACGGTGAAACCCCGTCTCTACTAAAAGTACAAAAAAAATTAGCCGGGCGTGGTGGCGGACACCTGTAGTCCCAGCTACTCGGGAGGCTGAGGCAGGAGAATGGCGTGAACCTGGGAGGCGGAGCTTGCAGTGAGCTGAGACTGTGCCATTGCATTCCAGCCTGGGCGACAGAGCGAGACTCTGTCTCAAAAAAAATAAATAAATAAATAAATAAAAAATTTAAAAAAAGTGTAATTGTGGATATTTCCTACAAAAACTGCTCCAATAGAAAAAATTTAACAACTTAAGATATCCACCAAGAGAGGATTGGTTAAATAATGATACACAGAATAAATTCTGAGCAGCAGTTGAGTTGGTGGAGATTTATTTGTAATGATACAGGAAAATGTACAGTTTAACTGCATATTAAGCTAAGGAATAGTATGCCTAGCAATATCCCATTTGTACAAATATATATATGTGTGTGTGTGTGTTTCAGAGATATATATCACATGTATGTGTTAATATAGGCATAGAAGAGAATCTGAAAGTATATATACATCAAACCTTTGGCAACTGTTAATATGAATAAAAGCTGGACCATGAGGAATTCTCACTTTCTCAATTTCTGCAGATATTTGGGATGAGCATGGCTTATTTTTACAGTTGGAACAAACAATCAAAAAAACCTCATTTCTGGGGGAAAAATGCCAACAACAAGGCAGCACAGCCCCAGCCTTGGAGGAGGTCGCTCTTCAGCTGGGAAGCACATTCACACCCGTGCCAAGTTTGTTAAATAAGCTGCAAAGCCAGGTGCAGTGCTCATGCCTGTAATCCCAGCACTTTGGGAGACTGAGGCAGGTGGATCACTTAAGCCCAGGAGTTTGAGACCAGCCTGGGCAACATGGTGAAACCCTGTCTCTACAAAAATTAGCTGGGTATGGTGGCACATGCTTGTGGTCCCAGCTACTCGGGAGGCTGAGGTGGGAGGATCACCAAAACCCAGGGAGGTTGAGGTTGCAGTGAGCTGTGATCATGCCACTGCACTCCAGTGGAGTAAATCCCAGTCTCAAAAAAAAAAAAAGTTGCATAAACAAATTTCATAGCCGGGCATGATGGCTCACGCCTGTAATCCAAGCACTGTGGGAGGCTGAGGTGGGCGGATCACCTGAGGTTAGGTGTTCAAGACCAGCCTGGCCAACATGGTGAAACGCTGTCTCTACTAAAAATACAAAAATTAGCCTGGCATGGTGGTGCGCACCTGTAATCCCAGCTACTGGGGAGGCTGAGGCAGGAGAATCACTTGAACCCAGAAGGTGGAGGCTGCAGTGAGCTAAGATAGCACCACTGCACTCCAGCCTGGGTGACAGAGGGAGACTCCATTTCCACCCCTCCCCCCCGAAAAAAAAAATTCACATGAAGATAGAGGAAGAAAATGTTTAGAAATCTTTATATTGTAATACATAATGCTAAAAAGATTTGCTGGATTTATAATAAGATTAGGCACTAAAATGAAATAATCAAACAAGATGGCACTGTGAGCAGTACTTACAGATTGATGCTTGCCACGAAGCCAACCACGGAGCGCATGCCTCTACTGGGGTCATGGTAAACATCCATCCCGATCACCATTAACTGTTTCTAGTTTAGAAAACAAAAACAAAAACCAAACCCCAGACCTGAGCAATGCATTCCTCCATTTTTAATTACTGTCTGAATCCCAAAGCAACCTCCCCTTACTGTTTATACATGAAAGTAAGTTCTGGGAAAGAAAAAAAAAAGACAATCAACTTGACATTTTTTAAACACAATAAGCACAGTTAAGATCTAGATCAGGGATCAGCAAAGGACTAAAGGGTAAATAACTTAGGCTTTGTGAGTCTTATGATTTCTGTAGAAAACACAGGTTGAGCATTCCCAAATCTGAAAAGCTTTTGAGCACCGACATGACACTCAAAGAGTTTCAGATTTTGGAGTGTTTCAGATTGCAGATTTTTGAATTTGGGATGCAAGCAAATGAACCCAAACCCCCAGAAATCTAAAATCCAAAATGCTTCTGGTCCCAAGTATTTCAGAAAAAGCATACTTGACCTTTATTTAATTCTATCTGCTTAACACAAAAGCAGTCATGGACAGTATGAAAAGGAGTATGGCTGTATTCCAGTGAAATTTTATTTAAAGACACTGAAAACTCACTTCATATAATTTTCATGTGTCACGGAATAATCATCTTAGTTTTATTTTTTCCGCCATTTAAAAACATAAAAACCAGGTTGGGCATGGTGGCTCACACCTGTAATCCCAGCATTTTGGAAGGCTGAGGTGGGCAGATCACCAGGTCAGGAGTTTGAGACCAGCCTGGCCAACATGGTGAAATCCCATCTGTACTAAAAATACAAAAATTAGCTGGGTATGGTGGCGGGCACCTGTAATCCCAGCTACTCAGGAGGCTGAGGCAGGAGAATTGCTTGAACCTGGGAGGTGGACGTTGCAGTGAGCCAAGATCGTGCCATCGCACTCCAACCTGGGCGACAAGAACAAGAATCCGTCTCAAAAACACAAAAAACAAAAAACAAACAAACATAAAACCCATTCTTAGATAATGGGCTGAAGAGGCAGGGAGCCATTTAGACTACTGAGTAAGTGTTGAGAAGAGGAAGCATAACGAATAAGGAAAAACAGGAAAACAGCTTGGAGGATTCTCTGGAGAGGCAAACTGAACCATCTCGGCATCACTCACCAGAGGAATATCCACTCCCCAGAGCTCACCACCCAATTTACAGTTAATCTGAAGTAAAATCTTCTGGGCCACACTCCGAAGCCTGGTGGGCTGACCAATGGTTCGAACATTGACAACCTATAATGAAGGGACCAAAAGGTGTCAGGAGAAGCAGGTCACTATCAACCTCTCAGAAAATCTGAACTCTAAAGTAAACATTACATTTGTTTAAGAAACTCAAGTTAGAAGATAACACATTTCGCATTAATAATTCTAATTCTAGGGTTTCTAGGCATGCATGCACATGGGCAAAATACAACACACACACACACACATACACACACACCACAAACCCAAAACAAAATAAAACCAACAAATGAAAACTTTCAAAAGGATCTCACGCAGAGTGGAATGCTTTTTTAACTCCCATAGGAAAAATAGCTTTCCCCTTTCAGAATGAAGCCTATATTCACTCTCAGAACTCAGTCACATGAAACCACCTGGTGACTCAACCTCGGAACAAGCGAAACTGTTCATTTGGAAGCATGAGGGCAGCTTATGAAGAGCAATCTACTCTTTGCCAGGTTGCTCTAATCAGGAGAACCTTTCACCAGAAGGCTCAGCACATACTGGCTTCTAACAGCTACTTTAGTCTTTGTGAACACACATATCCCTCTTCTCAAGCCTCGGGGAGGCGAGAGGTGCCATCTGCGCCTCCTGCCCCAACACCCACTCACCTGGGAGGGCACTGGGGACTGCACACAGCACAGCTTCTTGATGGCCCCATAGAGATCATCACGTGGGCCCATGATGATGCAAACAACCATCTGTATCTTCCCCTTGAGGAGATAAGGTATATACAAGTCAGGCTGTGGAATTCTCTGGGGACTTTTACAGGACTCTAGTTGGCAGTATTCTGAGTATGCAAAGCCATAGGACCTTTAAGGAAGACAGGGAACTGAAATAAAGAGGGTGGACATTCCAACCAGAACAAGGTCCTTGGAGCTGAATTAGCATTCTTTGGCTCAGGGCTGTTCTGTATAGATAGGTAATATGTTACTATTAATTACCCAGAGCTGGCCCTGATTACCAAAAGATTTATCTATTAGAAGACTCAGATGGCTGGAAAAGGACCAGGTTTGAATGCATGCAAGGTTTACATTACTTGCTGCTTCCAATTCAGTATAATGTTTTTTACTACTCTCTTTGGTTTACTAAACAACTTATTACACTCATACCACAGAACTTTAACCAAGGAAACAGGGAATGCAATACTACAAGAAAGCATTCAGAACTAAATGCAAACTGGAATGAAGCTATTGCCAAATTCATGAGCAGCCACTCCTAACTCTGGTGAAGAGACAGAATGATATTGTCAGCAGCACAGCATGTCAGTATCATCTATTCCTCACTGCTGAAGGAATCCAATATTGAAAAAAGAGGACCTTTCAAAGCCTGAATAAAGAAAAGCAGCACTCAAGTGAAAGAAGGTTGCCAACCCTTTAAGCCAGAAACTGCTACAAATGGTAAATCAGTGGTACCCTACTCCAAATCAAGATTGGTGTAATGTTAAGACTGTTCAGAGGACACATTGAGCAACGACACCAAGCATTTCCAAAGGCATGAGAACAGAGCTGCGCACTGGGAGCCTATGGACTGGACACAGCAAACAGGTGCGTTTTTTCAGGCCCTACAATGACTTAAAAGTGTTTATGTTTGTTTAAATTAACATTTAAACATAGGAAGATACACACATATGCAATTCCAGGTTTTTGGCCTTTACCAACAAACAAGCACATTAAGAATCATTTTGGCAATCCTGGGTTTATATCTCCAGTCACAGGAGTTACCCTCTTTAGTTCATTTCACTCCCCTCCTGGCCCACTTCACTCATTTATACTCCTTATCAGGCTCCTGGAGACATACGAGTTTGTGATTCCTCATAGAGATGATAATGGAATGCCTTAAAGATGAACAGACAGAGCAAGGCCGCTATGAGATAAGTTGGTAAGCGATATGAATGAAATTCACATCCATGCCACATGAAAACTGTCAGTTGTACCCTCTCAAAAAGGGAACACAAGTTGTGAAATGGGGGAGCTGATGTACTGGGCTGGGTTATTCTTTTGAAAGCAGAGCAGAACTTATCTATGATCAGGTCTGAGGGAGGCCATGGTAGAGTATGACAGGCATGGTAGATCAGGATGGAATTATAGAGAATGCACAGGCTGGGTGCAGTGGCTCACACCTGTAATCCCAGCACTTTGGGAGGTGGAGGTGGGAGGACTGATTGAGGCTGGGAGTTTGAGATCAGCCTGGGCAACAGAAGGAGACCCCATCTCTACAAAAAATTTAAAAATTAGCCAGGAGTGGTGGTGCACGTGTACAGTTACAGCTACTCAGAAGGCTGAGGCAGGAGGATCCCTTGGGCCCTCAAGTTTCATGTTACAGTCAGCTATGATCATGCCACTGTACTTTAGCCTGAGCAACAGAGTCAAGACTTTGTGTCTAAAAAAAGAGAGAGAGAAACACACCAAAGAAAGAACACAAGTGTGCTGTTGTGAATGATACACCAAGAGTGCCAGATCAAAAACAGAATGCTGCTGGGCATGGTGACTCACGCCTGTAATCTCACTGCTTTGGGAGGTTGAGGCAGCAGGATCACTTGGGGCCAGAAGCTCGAGACCAGCCTGGGCAACATAGTGAAACCCTACCTCTATAATTTTTTTTTTTAATTAGCCAGGTGTGATGGCCCACGCCTGTAGTTCCAGCTACTTGGAAGGCTGAGGCGGAAGGATTGCTTGAGCCCAGGAGTTTGAGGCAACAATGAGCTAAGATCGCACCAGTGTACTCCACATGGGTGACAGAGTAAAATCCTATCTCATTTTTTTTTTTTTTTTTGGAGAAAAGGTCTCACTCTGTTGCCCAGGTTGGAGTAAAGTGGCATGATCATAGCTCACTGCAGCCTCAACCTCCCCAGGCTCAGGTGATTCTCCCACCTCAGCCTCCTGAGTAGCTGGTACTACAGGTGCATGCCACCACACCCAGCTAATGTTTAGATTTTTTGTAGAGACAGGGTTTTGCCAGGTTGCCCAGGCTGGTCTCAAACTCCTGGGCTCAAGCAACCCGCCCACCTCAGCATCCCAACGTGCTGGAATTCCAGGCGTGAGCCACTGTGCGCCCAGCTGACCCAATCTCTCAAAAAAAAATTTAAAAAAAGAACTCTATGATGCCAAGATGATTGAATTCTAGGATTGAACTCACCAGAACAATTTACCAGAATGTTCAATTCAAGGGCTAATTACTTCCAAAAGCCTTCCCCTTGCTTTTTTCTCTCCCTATTCCTCTTGTTCGATTTTATTTACAAACAGGTAAGAACTGAAAAGCCTGAATAACTAAGTTGTGAGTGCTATGACCTGGCCAGCTCTAGTGTTCCTGATCAGTCATCAGGACCCAATCAATGGGCCATCTGCCAAGTTCATCACCAGAGTAATTTTAATCTTGAACCAGGCCGGACTGAGGCAGCTCAGTAGTGAATCGTGCAAGACGGCACCTAACCCAAGCTGCTGCTTTCTGAGCACAACATGTTCTATAGATAATGAACCACAGTTAAGTCAGCTATTCTCTCAGCCAGTTACGTAAGAAAAAGAAGACTAGAGTAAGTGAGGGTGCCAACACAGAGTGAGAGAAGCAAAATTAACCAAAGGGCATAAAGAACACTTTTCAATCAGTATTTCATGTGCGCATGGGTAAGACAAGTTCTAGGGCATCATCAACAGCAGACTGATAACCATGATACATTAAAATTAAGTATTTAAGTAATTTAAAATGGACATCCTATAAATTTATTTGAATTACATTTTTACCTCAGCTCCTAACGTGGATTGAATGGTTCTGACATAAGTCTCTATTCGGTCATCCTTTAGTTCAACCCAGGCCGGTGGGCTCATACGCATGCCAATGGGGCCGGCTATCTTCTCCAACATGTTGACCAGTTCTCGAGCCTGGTCCATTGCTCTCTTTGGGTAAAAAAGTGCCCAGAAATGCATGGGGATCTAGGAACAACCAAGAGCTTTTAGTATTTCTCACAATTTAAATATCCCAAACTCATACTTAAGATTTCATTCTAGAGAATAAATTACTTTTCACTCTCATTGCTTGAATCCTGTCTTATCTAACTCCTGTATTAACATGAACGTACATGATAAGAAAACTGTGGCGTAGTCTCAAAATGGAATGTTATACAGTAATGAGAATGGAAGAGCAACAACCATGCCTAACAACAGGATGAAACTCACTAACACAAATTTAAGAAAAGAAGCCAGACACAGAAGAATATATAATCTATGATTCCATGTATATGTAAAGTACAGAAATTGGTAAAATCAATCTGTGCTGTGAAAAGTCAGGACAGTGGCTATACTGGGTGTGTGAGGGGTAAGGGATAGGCAGGAACTGGGAGAATGGAGGGGGCTTCTGGAGTGCTGGTAAAGTTCTGCATCTTAACCCTTGGTGTGGATTACACAGGTCTATTTAATTAAAAAAAAACTCATCAAGTTACACGTTTATAAGTGTGCTTTTCGTTTATATTTCAATAAAACATTTAAAAACATGCATTTTATATATCTGTTTTTATATATCTGGCCATGAAGTCCATGTTGGTCAAAAACACTGAGAAGTAATTATATGCCATTTTGTACCTTGATACAAATAGCTAGTGTATTATTAGTTCCCTAGGTGAGGTACTGTTTTAATCTAACTTCTTTCACGGATACAAATACCCTCTAGATACTCCCGGGGAAAAAGAGGGGGAAAAGAGAAAGAAAGAAGGGAGAGTGGGTAACAGGTTGGCACTATGTGAATTACCACAGCAATTTATTTCCTTTCCCTAAGTCTATGGTCAGGCAAAGGGCTTACCTCTAACAACTCATCAACTGCTCTGTTTGAAGGATCCCTGGTTAGTAGGTAATTCAGAATGGGGATTCAATTGGTACTTTCCCTCAAAAAAGAAGACTCTAGATCATTCCTGCTTCCTAATTCCCACACTTTGGGGAATACTGGTCCTCTCTTTATCACTTCAAAAATCACTTACAGTCAAGATGGAAGGGTCTCTGGTTACTTCCTTAACCCAGTTTAGTTCCTGAGATGTGATAAACGAAGTATTTTTTAAGTTAATTCTTTCCATTGGCAGAACACGTCCTTCAATCTAAACAGAAAATAAACCATCTATGACATGAGCCTTTTCAAACGCTATTTAGAAAAACACTGCTACTGCTCTATAAGGCCTGCTCAGCTCCACCACAGACACTTGTCCCTGTTAGAACTTTTGAGACTAGCAGAATAATAAAGCTTCTAGCAGTGAAAGTCCCTGTCAATAAAAACCTACATTTATATAGGTAAAATTATTATAGGTACTAGTCTTTCATTATTGAAGCTTCCACATGATATCCCAAGAAAGGGATTTGAAAACATTGTCTATTTAGAATGACTGAATAAAGGAAAACAATCTTCAAAAAATATTTTAAAGGGGCCGGGCACCGTGGCTCACGCCTGTAATCCCAGCACTTTGGGAGGCCGAGGAGGGCAGATCACTTGAGGTCAGGAGTTTGACACCAGCCTGGCCAACATGGTGAAACCCTGTCTCTACTAAAAATACAAAAATTAGCTGGGTGTGGTGGCGCATGCCTGTAGTCCCCAGCTACTTGGGAGGCAGAGGCAGGAGATTTACTTGAATCCGGGAGGAGGCTGCAGTGAGCTGAGATCACACCACTGCACTCCAGCCTGGGTGACAGGGCAAGACTCTGTCTCAAAAAAACTTTTTTAAATAAATAAATAAAATATAAGTATTAAAAACATAAATGTCCCTAAATTATTTTACCTTCATAAATTGGACTTAATATCCAAGGGGGCCGGGTGTGGTGGCTAACACCTGTAATCCCAGCACTTTGGGAGGCCAAGGCGGGTGGATCACGAGGTCAGGAGTTCAAGACCAGCCTGGCCAAGATGGTGAAACCCCGTCTCTACTAAAAATACAAAAATTAGCCGGACGTGGTGGCACGTGCTTGTAATCCCAGCTACTTGGGAAGCTGAGGCAGGAGAATCGCTTGAACCTGGGAGGTGGAGGTTGCAGTGAGCCGAGATTGCGCCATTACACTCCAGCCTGGCCAACAAGAATGAAACCCCATCTTAAAAAAACAGAAAAAAGAAAATAAACAAGGGCTAGCGTGGTGGCTCACACCTGTACTCCTAACACTTTGGGAGGCTAAGGTAGGCGGATCATTTGAGGTCAGGAGCTCGAGAGACCAGCCATGGCAACATGGTGAAACTCCGTCTCTACTAAAAATACAAAAATTAGCCAGGCATGGTGGTGTGCGCCTGTAATTCCAACTATTCGGGAGGCTGAGACAGGAGAATCACTTGGAATCCGTCTCAAAAAAATAAATAACACACACAAAGATTCAGTTGTAAGGATGTACACTGCATCGTTATTTTTTTAAATTAGTTAATTTTTTTTGAGATGGATTCTCCCTCTGTCTCCCAGGCTAGAGTGCAGTGGCCCCATCTTGGCTCACTGCAACCTCCACCTCCCGGGTTCAAGTGATTCTCCTACCTCAGCCTCCTGAGTAGCTGGTATTACAGGCTCGTGCCTCGACACTCAGCTAATTTTTGTGTTTTTAGTAGATATGGGGTTTTACCATGCTGGCCAGGCTCTTCTCGAACTCCTGACCTAAGGTGATCCACCTGCCTCAGCCTCCCAAAGTGCTGGGATTACAGGCGTGAGCCACCACGCCTGCCCTGCATCATTATTTATAATAGAAAAATACTAAATTCAATTTGAATGTAAAAGGATAGAAAACCGTTAATAAAAAGTATCAGGCAGCCATTAGAAATACTTAGAAAAATATGACCACGCACAGAGGTTCATACCTGTAATCCCAATAAGACTCTGTCTCAAAAAAAAAAAAAAAACTTAGAAAAATATTAAATGACATGGACAAACATTCAAAATATACTGACAACAAAAGGAAAGTCACATAAATATTGCACACGTGTCTCTGTACATGTGCATACACCATCACGTTTTTTGGTTTACCTTATGTACATCCTTTTGCAGACGGAGCCCCCAACGCATCAGTTCATTGGTGGCTGCCTCGTTCTTTGCAATTCTTTGCAGCAAGCATTCCAAAGCACTATGGTGTTGCTTGGGGCTCAGATTGATTTGCTGAGCCAAATCCTAAACAGAATTAAAATAAAGATAACTTATAAAGATAACTTCACCAATATGAAGTTAAATAAACCCCAGTAGGTCTAAAATGTTTCTCTTTCCCATTGAAATCAGCAGAAATTTTCAAACATCTTCAAGGACTTATTAAATATATCTCTTAGGAAGGTGAATGTGATATAAGGTTAAAAATTGATTGGAAGGATGAGGTGGGTGGATCGCTTGAGCCCAGGTGTTCGAGACCAACATGGGCAACATGGGCAAGACTCTGTCTCTATAAAAAACTTTTAAAAATTAGCCAGGTATGGTGGTGCGTGCCCTGTACTCCTAGCTACTCAGGAGGCTGAGGCAGGAGGATCACTTGAGCCCAAGGGATTGAGGCTGCAGTGAGCCATGATTGTACCACTGCCCTCCAGCCTGGGCAACAGAGCAAGATACTATCTCCAAAAAAAAAAAAAAAAAAAAAAAAAATGAATAATAAAAGAATTTCAAATGTCATCGACTCTCTCTTTCATGATGTGTGGATCTTATTTCTTTCTCAAAGCATATTTTGACTTTAAAATTCCTATAAGAGCCTATGAAACAGGAACAAAGGGGCTTGATTACACCTACTTAAAATGTGGGGCCTGGCACAGTGGCTCACGCCTGTAATCCCAGCACTTTGGGAGGCCAAGACAGGCAGATCACTTGAGCCCAGGAATTTGAGACCAGCCTGGGCAACATAGCTAGACCCCATCTGTATAATAAAACAAATATTGAAAAAGAAATAAAATTTGGGAAAAAATGTGTAAAAAATGCCATGTGTGAGGCATCCAGCCAAACAAAACAGAAAACCATATTCATTCTAACACTATATGCCATAGCATACTAGTCATTTGATGTTACCATAAGTCACTTTTTTGCCCAGAACTTGTCATGGTGTTTGACTCATTTATAGGTACTTGCTAAATATTGTTGAGTAAAATCTAACAGGTATGCAGGAAGATTCTGAATCACATAAGTGAGTTCTTTCTTTATTCTTCTGAGATGAATGAATTGCACAGCTGTTATTCCCTCTGAGGTAGTCATTAGGGTCAGTAAGTCTACAGGGGTAGATACAGCTCTGTGATCATAAAGTCATCAGGCAACTGGGAGTTGTATAGAAAAGGCCTTGACCTACAAGGTAGGTGAAAGTAGAAGAACTGGAAGGTAAACATGAAAAAAATCTCTCATAGGAATTTGGAGCTTCACTTCAAGCTCTTTCTTTATGATGTTACCAAAAACTGTATGTGGCATATGGGTCTAAGACAGACATGGACTGGAAAGTGAGGCAGCAGAGAGGAGTTCAAGCGTGGACAGCCCCAGACAGAGTGTGGCGGGCCGGCTCTGGGGTCTGGACTCACGCCACCTAGGTGCTAGGTGCTGTACCCATCTGTGCTACTCAGCCCTGCCCACAGGAGCTGAGCCCAACACCCCCAGGACACTCAGGGCCCCACAAGATAAACCATCCTCATCTCCTGACTTATTTGCTTTTTGCCTCATTATCTTCTCCATGCCTTCAAATAAACTGAAGGCTTTAGAAATGTTACAATAACTCAGTGCTCTCAAAGAACCTCACCCATGGTCATATGACCAGTTTACAATTATCCACCTGACTGGTGAGGATGAAGACAGAGTTGTTTGTTTCTTCTTATTTTATAATCCAGTCCCTCTACTGTTCTAACGACCTTCAAAAGGAAGTTCTGATATGCTTTTTCACATCGTGTGTGGGAAGGGACATGGATCATGTTTTACAGAGGAGAAAACTGGAGGCTGGAAGAATGGACAGGCCCAGGTTACAATGCAAGCCAACATCAGAGTTGGAACGTGGCTCGGTTCTAACTCAAACTGTTAACCAAAAGGCTGCCTCACAAAGTGGGCATTTCCGGCTGAAAACACAGGACTCCAACCTTCATGGCTCTGAAGTCCTTCTTCATCTTCTCTGGGATTCCGGTCATAAAAGAAAGCTCAGGCAGCAGCAGGATTTCCCCTTTTAGCAGCTTTGAAGAGAGAACGAAGAGGGAAAATAAGGCAGTACAAGAGGCTCATGTTCCCGACCATACAGGACATGTCATGGCCAGGGCTGCTCCTGCAGTGATATACCTTGCGCACTAAGGAGTATAAAATCCTGGAGGAGAGAGCAGTGAAATGCTAGAAGTATTTTAACCTTTCTCCCTCAGTCACTGTACATACAGCCTGTTGTATTAGGTCAAAGGAAAAATACTAAAACTGTCAAAGGAGAGTAAAAACTAGAAAAAAAAAAATCTGTCCCTCTTGGGCCTCAAGACAATGGTTAAGACAATGCCTCCTATTGCTAAGCAGTGTGCCTCAGTCTCACTGTATCCTACTGGTCTTCAATCTTCACATTTAAGACAGAGGAGTCAGGTAACAAGGTACCTTCCTTAAGCCTCTGGCCCTGTTAAAGTAAATGTCTAGGCCAGGCGCAGTGGCTCACGCCTGTAATCCCAGCACTTTAGGAGGCCGAGGCGGGCAAATCACGAGGTCAGGAGATCGAGACTATCCTGGCTAACACGGTGAAACCCCGTCTCTATTAAAAATACAAAAAATTAGCCGGGGGTGGTGGCGGGCTCCTGTAGTCCCAGCTACTCAGGAGGCTGAGGCAGGAGAATGATGTGAACCCGGGAGGCGGAGCTTGCAGTGAGCTGAGATTGCGCTGCTGCACTACAGCCTGGGTGACAGAGCCAGACTCCGTCAAATAAATAAATAAATAAATAAATAAATAAATAAATAAATGAATATCTATACCTTTCCTCATGGATTCAGAGTTTTAATCTTCCTTCACTGGAAATTCTCCTTAACTCTTTAACCTAATAGCTTATGTGGATATTTAGTTCCGCCTCGTGGGGACTTCTAAAGCAGATCTTACCAGTGTGAGTGGTGCCTCTGGCTGGATGAGACAGACAAACACTTGCACAGCTTTCCGCAACTACACTACGATTGCTACTCCACAGCTCCCACAAAGCCATGAGGACGGCTAAAAGCAGCTGACAGGATGAAGAACTTAAGCTGGAATTGTAAGCCTGACAGCCCTACTCACCATCCCATGATTATCCTGTCTCTCACTGGGCCTGTGAATCAGCAATGGCTGGTCCTCTTCCTTAACTGTGATCCCATAATTTTTGCTAGAGCAGAGTAGAGGCAGGAAAAAATTTCAGAAGCAGCATCAATACTCTTAGAGCACCATAGTCTGAGTCTCTTAACCAGGACTGAGGTATATAATTTGCATAATACTCTTGTCAAGGAGCCACTGCAAACCGATCATAATATATTTATAACAGGAAAAAGCAGGCTCAAATTATGTTGCAATTAAATATAGGAGAAATAAGGCTAAAAGTTCAAGAAAGACTTTGTTAAAAACATCAGGCTAAAGGGTTCAGGCAATAGAAACATGAAATGACAGTCAAATGATTAATGACTTGAATTTAATCTCTCCAGACTTCTAATAAAATCAGAAAAACAATTCAAAGCCCTTAATTTATATAGTAACTTCCAAATTACTAAAATAATTGAAGATATAATGGTAGCATACTCAAGTCAAATCCCACAAACAAGCTCATTCAGTGTTAGACACATTACCAATTCAATTATTTTGAAAAGTGTCAAGTGGTATGCTATTGCAGAACTCAATATCTGCTGGAGAACGTGGACTACATCCAACCCCCACCCTGAGGCCCAAACCCAGTCTCTTCTTGCTACCTGTAGTATTCCAAGAATGTGATCTCTTTCCCATCAGACATCGTGAAGCTATCCTTTGGAGTCTTATTCCAATCCACATCATCAATACGATAGGTACGATTGTTATATCGGGTGATAACAATATTGCCAACCAGAAGCTTAGTACACTCATCCTGGAAGTGTTCTTTATTCTGCTGATAAATGGCATGCCTTTGGAAAGAGATAAAAGACTTTTGGATCACAGTATATATCCAGAACAGTATGAAAGGGATAGGGGATCAAGTAATTGAGGAATCTAATCACAGCTATATAGCACCAGAAGGCTCCAGTTGTGTTAAAAGATGGGACTCTTGGCCAGATGCAGTGGCTCACGCTTGTAATCCCAGCATTTTAGGAGGCAGAGGCAGGAGGACTGCTTGAACCCAGAAGTTGGAGACCAGCCTGGGCAACATAGTGATACCTTATTTCCTTGGTGGGGGAAAAAAAAGGAAAAAGCTTAAGAGGGCCTGAACTGCAGGAAATAAGAGAATATAGGCCTACCAGGCATGATGGCTCACAGTTGTAGTCCCAGCTATTCGAGAGGCTAAGGTGGGAGGATTGCTTGAGCCCAGGATATTGACATCAGCCTGGGCAACATGGCGAGACCCCATCTCTAAAAAACTTAAAAAATTAGCCAGGTGTAGTGGCGTACCTTGTAGTCCCAGATACTCCAGAGACTGAGGGAGGTGGGAAGACGGCTTGAACCCAGGAGTTTGAGGCTACAGTGAGCTATGATAGCATCACTGCACTCCATCCTGGGTGACAAAGTAAGGCCCTGTCCCTAAATTAATTAAAATTAATTGTTTAAAATTTCGTACTTTGAAATACTCATCAAATCATAGAAAGTTGCAAAATGTGGACATAGAGTCTCATGTACAAAACTGCCATTGCTATAATATCATTAACTAGACTACAGATCTTACTCCATTTTCATTGTTACTTACATACACTGGTGTGTTTGTATGTGTATACAGTTTCCTCACATCTATAGGTTACCACAATCAGATACCAAACTGTTGCATGTCACCACCAAGGGACTATTTCCTGCTGCCCTTTATATTCACACTCCCCCTCCTTCCCTAGATCTGGTAACTACCAGTCTATTCTCTAGCTTTGTCATTTTGAGACTCCTACAGAAATAGAACCAAAAAGTGTACAACCTTTTGAGATAGAGAAAACTTAATCTAGGGGTAGGGATGGGAACCCATGGCAAGCCAACTACAAGTGGCAATGGAGAAAAGCAAAGTTCTGTTAGCCTAGATTTGTTGTCTAAGTTGAGGTGGGCAGTGCATCAACTAGAAATTTAAGGGCTAAATCCTGGTAATCAGAAAGCCATAGAAGGCCACACATCCTTGGCTGACTGGGAAACCATCTATGCTTAGAAGAGAGCCAAGAAATCTCAGCTGAGAGTTAAAAGCCAAAAAAGATGGGAGAACTACATTTAATTTTGAAAGCATTCTTCAATCTACACACAAATCCATTAGCAGAGATGGAAGCCTTATGGAGTCATGGGGTTTGAGTATAACTGCTCTCCAAATCATTATCCGAATGACTAAGCTCTACAGACAAGGGGGTGATCACTAGGAAGCCAGGTTAAAAAATGATAATAAGGAAAAACCGAGCAAAGACATCAGCAGCCGCACGCCACAGAAATAACAGAGTCTTTAGTCTCAATATGGATAGGTTAGTTTAAAAAAAGAAATCAGAAAAATAGGCTGGGCGCAGTAGCTCACACCTGTAATCCCAGCACTTTGGGAGGCCGAGGTGGGCGGATCATGATGTCAAGAGATCGAGACCATCCTGGCCAACATGATGAAACCCATTTCTACTAAAAATACAAAAATTAACTGGGCGTGGGGGTGCGCGCCTGTAGTCCCAGCTACTCAGAAGGCTGAGACAGGAGAATCACTTGAACCCGGGAAGCAGTGATTGCAGTGAGCCAAGATCGCGCCACTGCACTTTAGCCTGGTGACAGAGCGAGACCCCATCTCAAAAAAAAAGAAAAATCAGAAAAATAAACCATCTAGACTTGCCAAAATGTATTAAACAGAAAGAAAAATAAGAAATCTCCAAATATTTGAAAATTATAATACACTCTAAATAACCCACAGATCAAAGAAGAAAGCACAAGAGAAATGAGAAAATATCTTGAACTGAAGGAAAATGAAAAATCAGACAATAAAAAAATCAGGGACTGTAGCTAATGCAGTGCTCAGAGGGACATTTGTGCCTTAAATTACATGAGAATGAAACACAGAACCTACACATTTATGATCAAATAATAACTGACAAAGGTGTCAAGGTAAATCAGTAGGGAAGGACAATCTTTTCAAGAAACAGTGCTATGATACTTAAACATGTAACAAAAGGAACTCAGACCGTTACCTGACATCACCTGTAAAAGTTAACTCAAAATGGATCGCAGATCTAAATATGAGTCAAAACTATAAACCTAAAAAAAAAAACAGAAAATCTTTGCGACCTCGAGTTAGGCAATGATTTCTTGGATATGACAACAAAACCAAAACCTATGAAAGAAAAAGTATAAATTCTACTTCATCAGAATTAAAAATGTCTACTCCTTAAAAGAGACCACTGGGCCGGGCATGGTGGCTCATGCCTGTAATCCCAGCACTTTGGGAGGCTGAGGCGGGGGGATCACTTGAGCTCAGGATTTAGAGACAAGCCTGGGCAACATGGTGAAACCCCATCTCTACTAAAAGTACAAAACAGCCAGGTGTGTGGTGGCGCATGCCTGTAGTCCCAGCTACTCAGGAGGCCAAGGCATGAGAATCAGCCCAGGAGGCAGAGGCTACCGTGAGCTGAGATGGCGCCACTGCACTCCATCCTGGGTGAAAGAGCGATACGCTGTCTCAAAAAATAAATAATAAAAGAATAAAAAACAAATAAAAGGGACCACTGGCCGGGTGTGATGGCTCACATCTGTAATCCCGGCACTTTAGGAGGATCACTTGAGCCCAGGAGTTCAAGAACAGCCTGGGCAACGTGGTGAAACTCTATCTCTACAAAAAAAATTTTTTTTAATTAGCTGGGCATGGTGGTGCATGCCTGTAGTCACAGCTACTCAGGAGGGTGAGGTGAGAGGACTGCTTGAGTCCTGGAGGCCAAGGCTGCAGTGAGATGTGACTGCACCTCTGCGCTCCAGCCAACAGAGCAAGACTCTGTCTCAAAAAAAAAAAGTCACCTTTAAGAAAAATGCAAAGACAAGCTACAAAATGGAAGAAAATATGCATATATCATATGATACGTGCATATCATTCACCTGATAAAGTATCTGTACTTCTTATATGTAATGAATTACTGCACAACTCAGTAAAAACAACAACCCAAATATTTAAAATAGGCAAAAGATATGAACAGATACCTCACCAAAGCAGACAAATGAATGGGAAGTACACACAGGAAAAGATGCTCTACATCATTATTCACTAGGAAAATGTAAATCAAAACCACAATTCGATACCACTGTACACTGGTTAAAATTTCTAAAATTAAGACTGACTACACCAAGTATTCGTGAGAATGTGGAACAATCTGAATTCTCAGGCACTGCTAGTGGGAATGTAAAACAGTACAGACACTTTGGGAAAGACTTTCTTATAAAATTAAACACACACCTACCATATGACTCGCCATTCCGCTCCCAGGTATCTACTAACCAAGACAAATGAAAGTATAAGTCCACACAAAGACTTGTACACTAATATTTATAGCAACTTTATTTGTAACAGCCAAAAGCTGGAAAGAACCTGGAGAAACAATGGGTGAATAAATTGTGGTAGAGCCACAAAATGGAACACTACCCAGTAATTAAAAGGAATGAACATTTGCAACATACAACAATGTGAATGATTTCAAAATAACGCTAAGTGAAAGAAGCCAACCAAAAAACAATAGCAGGCAGGCAGGTGGGTGGGTGGGCTGCTGGGTGGGTCTTCTTCCTCGCCCCCCTTATGCCTATAATCCCAGCACTTTGGGAGGCTGAGGCTAGGTAGGAGAACTGCTTGGGCCCAGGAGTTCAAGACCGGCCTGGGCAACATAGTGAGGTCCCATCTCTATTAAAAAAAATGTTTTTATATAGCTGGGCGTGGTGGCAGGCACCTGTAATCCCAGCTAGGCAGGAGAATCACCTGAACCCGGGAGATGGAGGTTGCAGCGAGCTGAGATCGCACCATTGCACTCCAGCCTGGGTGACAGGGAGAGATTCTGTTCCCCCCACCCAAAAAAAAAATAATAAAATAAATACAATAAAAAAGAACAAGAACATAGCGATTCCATGTATATAAAATTCTAGAAAATGCAGAAAAATCTCTAGTGACAGAAGGCTGACCAGCATTTGCTGCCCATGGCGTGCAGAGGAGGAACAGAAGTGGGAAGAGGCTTCAGAGAGACCTGAGAACATTTTGGGGCAATGGCCATGTCTATTTTCTTCACTGTAACGTTTCACAGGTGAAATATATCAAATATATATCCATATATCAAAACTCATCAAACTGTATACTTTAAATGTGTGTGGGTTTTTTACGGATGTCAATTGTACCTTTACACATCTGAAAAAAAGAAATTAATGGAACAGAATAAAAGATCTGGAAATAGACTCAAACAGATTAATACTGAGTGTAGAATAAGGTGGTATTTCAAATTTGTAAGAAAAAAGATCATTGACTGGGCGCGGTGGCTCACGCTTGCAATCCCAGCACTTTGGGAAGCCGAGGTGCGTGGATCACCTGAGGTCAGGAGTTCAAGACCAGTCTGACCACCATGGAGAAACCCTGTCTCTACTAAAAATACAGTTAGCCAGGTGTGGTGGCACATGCCTGTAATCCCAGCTACTCAGGAGGCTGAGGCAGGAGAATCGCTTGAACCCAGGAGGCGGAGGTTGCAGTGAGCCAAGATCACGCCATTGCACTCCAGCCTGGGCAACAAGAGTGAAATTCCATCTCAAAAAAAAAAGAAAAAAAAGAAAAAAGATCATTAAAAAAACAGGTTAGCTTGCTAGCCAATTTTAGAAAATTCTTTATGAATTTAAGATTAATATCTAAGAAACTAAACCATAAAACTAAATGAAAACAAATATTCATATACTCCTGAGAATAAAATAAAATTCCCACAAACTGGAAAAGATGGATTACTCTGTCACCATAGTAATAAGTAGCCATAAGAATGGGTTTTAAGCCTGTTAAATCAATCTACATCAATTTATTCAGCAAACACACTTTTGCAAGCCAACTAATCAACGTCATCCCCTTGTTTCTATAAGCCAGCCAATCACTGATGACTTAATCCAATACGCATACCTCTCAGGGCAAATCAACTCACAAGAGTCTCGCCTGAGTAACCACCCTTCCTCAGAAGATGCTGACCTACTTGTCCATCTGCAAGTCTGCAATCCCTGAACTATACTCTTCTCAAATATTCTATAGAAGACCAATAGTCTCTAACTGCAGTAAGCAAGAAATTCAGCTTTATTTTTATTTCCGATAGAACAGAGGTCTCACCATCCTCTGACAATTCTGAAGGTCCAACCAAGATAATTTTGAAAACTTCCCAGGCAACATTCCACAGATTCTCAGACCAACAATCCACTCACTGGGCCCTTGTGTTTAACTCTTTGTTCTTCAGATCTGCTGTCAAGTGAGTCAATCCCAACAACCATCTGAGGTGTGACTAGTTTCATTAAGCTCTAGTTGCTGAATCCCAATATTTATAATCAAACAGGCCTTTGTCATTAGCCTTAGGTCTTTATGTAAGCCAATCAGCCTTACTTCCTTACGTAAAATAGACCTTTTGGTTTAGAAGTACAGCCTCCAGCATATAATCAGACCTAGATCTTTGTGTGAGGTCATTAGCCTTTTTGTTTTGAAAGTATATCATTTGAAAATATTTTTGCCATTATCCTTTTTTTTTTTTAAATAGGGTCTCACTCCATTGGCCAGGCTGGAGTGCAGTGGTGCGATTATGGCTCACACTCACTGCAGCCTTGACATTCCAGCTCAGATGATTCTCCCACCTCGGCCTCCCGAGTAGCTGGGATAACAGATGTGTGCCGCCATGCCCAGCTAATTTTTGTATTTTTTGTAGAGACAGGATTTTGCCATGTTGCCCAGGCTGGTTTCGAACTCTTGGGCTCAACCAATCCACCCTCCTCAGCCTTCCAAAATGCTGGGATTATCAGCATGAGTCACTGCACCCAGTCAATTCTGTTTTTCATTTGCTTGCTTTGCTTTTACTGCTGTCTATACATATAAGGCATTTTTGTTTGTTCCGGACTGTCTTTTCTGCTCAACATAGAAAACAGTGCTCTTTAGAAGCCAGATAAGGCTTCATACCAATTTAGGCCTTTCCTGAGAGCCTATGGTTGGAGGCCCATTAGACCAGCAACCCAACTGTAAAAATTTGGTGAAACCCCCTGACTCCAAATGGTTCCTATCAGTAATTTTTCATCCACTGACCCCGATCCTTCTCCTAGACTATAAATTCCCACTTTTCCTTGTTGTATTCTGAGTTGAGCCCAATCTCTCTCCCATACTGTAAATCCCCACTGCAGGGGTCCTTGTGCCCATTGCACTGGTTCTGAATAAAGTCTGCCTTATCATTCTTTAACAAGTGCCATGAATTTTTTTTTAACAGAAATCACAACTAGATGCATTACAGTAAAACTTCGAAAGCCAAAGACAAAAATAAAAAAAAATTAAAAAGATAACAGTATCACTGGTGATTGATTTGTCAACAGGAACAATGTAAACCAAGGGCCAGGTGCAATAGCTCACACCTGTAATCCTAGCACTTTAGGGGGCCGATGTAGAAGGAGGATAACTTAAGGCCAGGATTTCGAGGTCAGCCTTGGCAACACAGTCAAACTGCATCTCTACAAAAATAAAAATAAAATAGGCTGGGCACAGTGCCTCACACCAGCACTTTCGGAGGCTGAGGTAGGAGAATCACTTGAGCCCAGGAGTTCGAGACCAGCCTTGGCAACACAGTGAGACCCTGCCTTTATGAAAAAATTAAAACATTAGCCAGGTGTGATGGTGCATCCCTGTAGTCCCAGCTACTTGGGAGACTGAGGTGGGAGGATTGCTTGAGCCCAGGAGTTTGAGGCTGCAGTGAGTTGTGATCGTGCCACTGTACTCCAACTGGGGTAACCAAGTGAGATTCCATCAAAAAATAAAAATAAAAAAAAAAGGAAAGAATGTAAGCCAGAAAATATTTCTCAAAGGGCGAAAAGAAAATAACTGCCAAATCCAGAATTTTAAGTTAAAGGCAAGTTGGAAAACATTTTTAGATAAAAATTAAAAGAATTTGTCACCAGCAGAGTCCACACTAAAGGACATATTACAAGCAGTTCTTCAGGCAAAGGGAAAATAATCTCATATAGAATAGTGAGGGATGCAGGAAGGAATAAAGAACAAATAAAATTTCAGAAGACAACAGTAAAGAAAAACTCCCAAAGCTCCCAAAGGGGCAGGACAGGGTGAGGAGAGACATACAAAGATTCTGGAATCAGAAATTAAAACAGCTTTAGATCTTTCAACAGTAAATCTAAAAGCAAGGACGATGGAGTAGTGCCTTCAAAATTCTCAGGGTAAAGTATCTCCAAACTAGATTTATAACCTAGAGTTATACACCCAATCAAACTAGACAACTACTTTGTAAGCTAAAGACATTTTTCAAACATGTAAGGTCTGAAAATAATTTCCTCCAATGCATACTTCTTCTGGAAAATACTGGAGTATATATGCTACACTAAAACAAGGGAATAAATCAAGAAAGCAGCAGTTATGAGATCTGACATACAGGAGATTCCCCTTAAGAAGGGAAGAGGGGGCCAGGCGCGGTGGCTCATGCCTGTAATCCCAGCACTTTGGGAGACTGAGGCAGGTGGATCACAAGGTCAAGAGATCGAGACCGTCCTCATCAATGTGGTGAGACCCTGTCTCTACAAAAATTAGCTGGGCGTGGTGGCGCACGCCTGTAGTCCCAGCTACTCAGGAGGCTGAGGCAGGAGAATTGCTTGAACCTGGGAGGTGGAAGTTGCAGTGAGCCGAGATCGCACCACTGCACTCTAGCCTGGGCAACAGAGCAAGACTCCATCTCAACAACAACAACAACAAAAAAAAAAAAAAAAAAAAAAAAAAAAAAAAAAAAAAGAAGGGAAGAGGAACCCCAAGACAGTGATGGTTCAGCCAGCCGGGAGAGCAACCAGCCGAACTGAAGCCGATCAGATTCTAACAGACATTTCTAAGATGGTATTGAATTCAGTAGGAATGGCTCATTAAATCAATTGAGAACTTACAAGTGACGTAAGAAAGTAACCTTATTTTGTAAACCTTAGTTGACTTACTACCCTTTAGAAGTATGCAAACCATTCCTGGGTGATGAAAAGAAAAGCTGTTACATTTTTAAACACCGAGCTCTTCTCACCTCCAGGAAAATAAATGCTCTTCTGTGGTTTCCAGTGATCCATAAGAACAGGGAACGAAGGTGGTAGAACACCAAGCCAGTAACAGCTGCAGGGGACAAGGGAGGACAGCCTGCAGAGCTCCCTGACAGACATGGACATGCTCTCGGGGCTGAGCAGCTACACTGAGAGGGTCCATGTGTGACATAACGGGGTAATGCCTGACACAGGCCTTCTCACTATCTTGGAGAAGAGGTTCTCAAAGCTAGATCTAGATCACCCCAAAAATGTGGTATTTGGACGGGAGGGGAATGAAACTGACAAAATACCTAGTGTTTTCAATGTATAGTGAAGGGATTACACAACTCGGTGTGAATTTGAGCTTAAATTAGTGGTAAGTACATATAAAATTACGTACTTAGAAAAAAAAAAGCTGAGCATAGTGGCACAAGCCTGTAGCCCCAGTTACTCAGGAAGCTGAGGCAGAAAGATCACTTGAGCCCAAGAATTCAAGGCTGCAGTGAGCAATGATCATGCCTGTGAATAGCCACTGCACTTCAGTCTGGGCCATGAAATGAGACCTTGTCTCGAAGAAAGGAGGAAAGAAGGAAGGAAAGAAAGGAATGAATTTTTTTAACAAAAAAAAATCCAAGATAACTGTGGAGAAAATAAAAATATTTTTTTTTTCCCCCAGACGAAGTCTCGCTCTGTTGCCCAGGCTAGAGTACACTGGCACGATCTCGGCTCACTGCAACCTCCACCTCCCAGGTTCAAGCCATTCTCCTGCCTCAGCCTCTGGAGTAGCTGGGACTACAGCCCTGCGCCACCACGCCCAGTTAATTTTTTTTTTTTTTTTTTTTTTTTTTTTTCCAGTAAAGATGGGATTTCACCATGTTGGCTAGACTGGTCTCAACTTCCTGACCTCAAGTGATCCGCCTGCCTCGGCCTCCCAAAGTCCTGGGATGACAGGCATGAGCCACTGTGCCTGGCCAAAACAAAATACATTTCAATAAATATGGAAAGACATGCCATATTTTTCAATAGGACTCATTGAACAGTCTCCCTAGTCAATGACCATCAAAATGCCAACTGATGTTTTTCTTTTTTTTTTTTTTTTTTTTTTTTGAGACAGAGTCTTGCTCACTCTGTCGCCCAGGCTGGAGTGCACTGGCACAATCTCGGCTCACTGCAAGCTCCGCCTCCTGGGTTCACGCCAATCTCCTGCCTCATCCTCCTGAGTAGCTGGGACTACAGGTGCCCGCCATCACGCCCGGCTAATTTTTTGTATTTTTAGTAGAGACGGGGTTTCACCGTGTTGGCCAGGATGGTCTCGATCGCCTGACTTCATGATCTGCCCGCCTCGGCCTCCCAAAGTGTTGGGATTACAGGCGTGAGCCACCACGCTCGGACCTTTTTTTTTTTTTTTTTTTTTTAAAGACAGTCTCACTCCGTCACCCAGGCTGGAGTGTAATGGCATGATCTTGGCTCACTGCAACCTCTGCCTCCCGGGTTCAAGCGATTCTCGTGCCTCCGCCTCCTAAGTAGCTGGAATTACAGGCGTGTGCCACCACGCCTGGCTAATTTTTGTATTTTTAGCAGAGACAGGGTTTCACCATGTTGGCCAGGCTGGTCTTGAACTGCTGACCTCAACTGATCCTCCCGCCTCGGCCTCCCAAAATGTCAGGATTACAGAGGTGAGCCACCGCATCTGGCCAAAACAAAATAAATTTCAATAAATGGAAAGACATGCCATATTTTTCAACAGGAAGACTAAGTGAACATTCTCCCTAGTCAATGCCCATCAAAATGCTAAACAACTTTTTTCTTATTTTCACTAAATTATTCAAAGGATCAAATGAAAGAGTATGTGGGTGACATTCACCATGAAAATTCTGAAAATAAAATTCTGACAAATATCAAAAACCAAAAAAAGTACAGTATTTTAGATAGAATCACATTAGTTTGGACCAATAGCTCAAACTGAAAGTTCAGAAATAAATCCAGGTATTTTAGCATATAAGGCAGTGATTTGAATCTGTGGAAAAAAAGAATGTTTTTCAATAATTGTATAATAGTACAGAGACAACCATGATAATCCCAACTTCATATCAAGGTAAATCCATAGAGTTTGAAACACTGAAAATAGGCCTGGCGTGGTGGTTCATGCCTGTAATCCCAGCACTTTGGGAAGCTGAGGCAGGCGGATTACCTGACGGCAGGAGTTCAAGACCAGCCTGGCCAACATGGCGAAACCCTGTCTCTACTAAAAATAGAAAAATTAGCCAGGTGTGGTGGCAACTACTCAGAAGGCCTGAGGCAGGAGAATCACTTGAACCCGGAAGGTGGAGGTTGCAGTGAACCAACATCATGTCATTGCACTCCAGCCTGGGCAACAGGAGTGAAACTCCATCTCAAAAAAGACAAAAAAAAAAGGAAAATAAAAACTAGTTCTGTTTTTTTGAAGACAGGGTCTCACTTGCTTGCCTAGGCTGGAGTACAGTAGCACTACCATAGCACATTGCAGCCTTGAACCCCTGGCCTCAAGCAGTCCTCCCACCTTGGCCTCCCAAAGCGCTGGATTATAGCCATGAACCAGACCATCCCTGGCCAAGCAGACCTTTCTAAGCAGAAAAGCAAAGGCATTCACTGAAAGTACATGCAAGAAAAATAAATATATAAAAGCAAAGGCAGAAACTGCAAAAAAAGAAATAGCCGATTTGAAGACATATACTTTTATTTAATAAATATTCTTGAACATTTACTGTGTACAATTAAATAAAACTTACAGGAGGCTATTGGCTTGGACTGGGCTCCTGCACTAGGCCCAACAGAGCAAACCAAAAATGGAGTTACTCATGCTGAAGTTCCATGCCACCAAATAGAAACTAAGATCTTTATCTGACTTTCTGAGAAATCAGGAGAGACACATAATAGCCAAATCCCCAAACAGGCCAGTTTTAGTATGATAAAGATGTCCCCTCTGCTTTAACCTTTACAAGGAAAGTAACAAACGACCAATCTCCTTTTTGTTCTGTTTCTGATTCTCTGGCCCTTTTCTGTCTATAAAGCCAACCTCCGCTGCTCAGCTCATCAGAACCCTCAAGGTGTTACCCAATTCATGAACTCCAAATAAAAGCCAATAATTGTGTCCTTTGACAGTGCTAAGCCCTATATTAAGTCTAAGTGTACAGGGTGAGCAAAAAAGACACGGCCTCTGCCAGAGGAGCTGACAGTCTAGGAGATACAGAATAATTATAAAAAAGTTCAAGGCATCTTCAGCTTCTCTTTCTCTTATCCCACATGCACTCAGGAAATCCACTTAAGTGCCACTTTCAAAATACAGATGTCCAGAATCTGACTCCTTACCACCTCCATCGCTACCATCCTCATGGCTCCACTGGATTACCACAGCCTCTTGACTGGTGTTCCCACTTCCATCCTCAGTCAGCCAAGTCTATTCTCCACACAGCAACAACAGGGATCCTTTCAACAGTCCAAGTTGGGTCTTGCCCGTGCACTGCTCAAAGTCCTGCATTTCACTCACAGTGAAAGTTAAAACCCTCACAAAAGCCCTACAAAGCCCTGTGTAATCAGCTCCTCCATTTGCTCTGCCCCTCCATCACCCTGCTTGCTCACTCGGCTCTAGCCACCCTGCATGTGCCTGCACCAGGCCTGTTTCTGTCTTAAGGTCTGTGCCTGAGCTGTCCACATGCCAAAAGCTTCTTCTCCCTTCACCTGGCTAACCTCTTACCTCTTTCAAGCGTTTGCTCAAATGAGCTTGACCACTCCACTTAAAACTGCAATTCTCCGCCCCCTGCCCCACTACTTCTGATTGCCCTGACCGTGTGCTCTTTTTCTTTTTTCCATGGCTCTTATCGCTTTTATTACACTATACAATTTATTTATTACATTTATTATTTACTGTTCATCTCCCCTGGTAACAACAGAGGCTCTGTGAGGGGAGGGATCTTTGTTTTGCTATCTGATAGGTCCTAAGACTCTGGTTCATAACTGGAGCTCAGTAAGTATACACTGAAGCAATGAATGAAATGGTCAGAGGAGCAAAGATTTACAAGCCCGATAACACCCAGTGGTTGTACATAGCTGGTGGGAAAAGAAACTGAATAAATCTTCTACAGGGTAATTTGTCAAGATACAGTTAACTATCATATTATATTAGATATATATTAAAAGGATTTAGAATGTTCAGCCCTTCCATTAAGTAATTCTACTTCCAAGTACATGGCCTAAAAAAATCAGATGTACAGACTTATGTGTAAGATGAGATTTCATGCAACCACTAAAAATTATACACATCTGGCTGGGCACGGTGGCTTGTGCCTGTAATCCCAGCACTTTGGGAGGCTGAGGCGGGCAGATCTCCTGAGCTCAGGAGTTCAAGACGAGCCTGGGAAACATGGTGAAACCCTATCTCTACTAAAATACAAAAAATTAGCCAGACATGGAGGCATGCACCTGTGGTCCTGGCTACTCGGGAGGCTGAAGCAAGAGAATTGTTTCAACCCAGGAGGCAGAGGTTGCAGTGAGTTGAGATCACACTACTGCACTTCAGCCTAAGCAACAGAGAGAGACTCTCTCTCAGAAAAAAAAAAAGAAAAGAAAAGAAAAAAAAATTAGCCGGACATGGTGGCGGGCGCCTATAATTCCAGCTACTCAGGAGGCTGAGGCAGGAGAATCACTTGAACCCAAGAGGTAGAGGGTGCAGTGAGCCAAGATTGCACCACTGCACTCCAGCCTGGGTGATAGAGTGAGACTCTGTCTCAATTAAAAAAAATATATATACACATCTGTATTTACTACAGTAACACATACATTGTATATTATTATATGCAAACTCAGCATGCGCATATATCAAACCAAGTTCTCCTAACCACAAATTTAAACAAAACTCCTTCTCAAAGCACAGCAGATGTCTATTCAGATGCTTATCTCAGGAGGACTAGAGACGAGGGCACATATATTCAGTTCAGTTATTCTACAACTAAAAATCTAAACAGGGCTGGGTGCCATGACTCATGCCTATAATCTCAACACCTTGAGAGGCTGAGGTAGGAGGATCCCTTGAAGCCAGGAAACATAGCAGGCTGGGAAACATAGCAAGACCCTATCTCTACAAAAAAAAAAAAAAAAAAAAATTAAAAATTGGCTGGGCATGGTAGCACACCCGTAGTCCTGGCTACTCAGAAGGCTGAGGTGGTAGGATCACTTGAACCCAGGAGTTCAGGGTTACAGCGAGCTATGATCAAACCACTGTACTCCAGCCAGGGTGACAAAACAAGACCCTGTCTCTGGGGGAAAAAACAAACAAACAGAACAATGTCTAATGTGTGTTATTACCAGCTGTTACTGAACTTTTCAGAAAATCATCAGCATGTTAAAGATAGACCCCACCATTCACTCACATGACATCCAGCACACAGTCATTCCGAATGACCTTATGGGAGACATCAGCTAGCAGGAAGAGCCCTCCATCTGTCCTTCGGATGCTAGCTGCATAGCCTGGCCAGATCTGCAATCTGGAGAGAGAGGTGGTCTCAACTGTAGGATTTTCAAAGAACACATATACTTCCATGCCCCCATGTGAACAAAACATTGAGGTGATACTGCCCTTCCCTAATAGTAATGAGAAAGCCTCAAGAAACTAAGTTAATTGACATTATTGCAAACTTACTGAAAAACCAAACTAAGGAAGAGATTTAATTGATAAACTGTATTCACTACCATAAACTACTGCTGACATTATAGTACTAAATACAATGGTTGTAATGGAAACTTTCTTTCCAGAACATTCAAAAGTGAGGGAAGGGAAAAAAGTACCAACCTGTGTTGCTGTAGTACCATAGCACTTGTAGGGTCATAAAAGTTTCTCCCCACAAGCTTCATATCTAAAAGTTTCATTACCCTGAAATAAAAAGCAAGTATGAGTTTTCTAATAGAAGAGTAATAAAATTATGTTCCATTATTCTTAGCTACATTTGCCTTTGGAAGTCTGAACGGTTAGAAATGTTTGTGCTCTTTGCAGAAGACAGCTTTTATATTGAGAACAATCTTGTTAAAAGAAAACCAAAAACTGCCAAAGCATTTGACTGAAAAAGCAAAGCAAAATGACAGCAGTCTTTTCCACTTACTAGCTGACCAAACACTGAGTTGGTTTCCAAGGTTTTATTACGTTACTTTTCACCACTAACTACGAAGAATGCAAGACAGCCCATTGCTAAGTGTGTGAATAACAGTGTGGCAAAGGGAGCTATGTTTACTCCTGGCAGTTCAACTTACTAGGTAGAAATTAGGTTCCATGGGCCGGGCGCGGTGGCTTACGCCTCTAATCCCAGCACTTTGGGAGGCTGAGGTGGACAGATCACGAGGTCAAAAGATCGAGACCATCCTGGCCAACAAGATGAAACATCATCTCTATTAAAAATACAAAAATTAGCCAGACGTGGCAGCGCATGCCTGTAATCCCAGCTACTCAGGAGACTGAGGCAGGACAATCACTTGAACCAGGGAGTCGGAGGTTGCAGTGAGCCGGGATTGCGCCACTGCACTACAGCCTGGCGACAGAGCGAGACTCCGTCTCTCAAAAAAAAAAAAAAAAAGAAAAAAGAAAAGAAAAGAAATTAGGTTGTGTTTCATTAAATAAGAGAATAGCGGCTGTATGAAAACTAGGATGTTTCAAAAGAAGTTAAACAATTATGAGCTGTCTGTAATCCAAAAATTCAAGACACTGAAAAATCCTTCCAGCAAATATTTTTACACACAACCTCTTTAAGTAGCCCCCTTGTTACCGTCACCATTAAATATGCACTATCAACAGCCGCTTTCAAAGTTCCTGAACACAACTGGAGGAACCCGTTCCCCTATCCAGCTACCTCCAAACCTAATTTCATATATTCAAATCTGGTCTACCACTTGTGAGATAATTTTTGAGTAAGTTAGCCTCAATACCATCCATTTATTCATTAAATGCTTCCAAACCCATCTAGAATATACTGTCACGTATTTCCATCCAAGTATCTTGAAGAACATTACTGTAAATACAAGACTGAAGTTACAGGACAATAGAACTTCAGCTGTTTTCTTACCGACGGAAAACAACATTGTAGAAGGGAATGCACAGGTCAGAGCAGGGCTCCAGGATCTTTGTCATCTGAATCTTAATGCTGATTTCAGCACTGTCTGTTTTCCTTTGACTTTTTAACTCAAGAACCTAACAAATAAATACACACAGGTGAAACAAAATGACAAAACTAAGAACTAATGACCAAGTCCTAATCTAATTCAACTGTGTTCTTAAGAACACTAAAGTATCTTAAAACATTTTTCTACTTTTCCCCTCACTTTGTTGCCCACACTAGCAAAAGCACAGCATGACAACTACGATTCAGAAAAATGATTTGGTAAGAGAATTCCAACCAAGTTTACATTTGCAATTTTTTTTTTTTTTTTTTTTGGAGACAGAGTCTCGCTCTGTCACCCAGGCTGGAGTGCAGTGGCGTGATCTCGGCTCACTGCAGGCTCCGCCTCCTGGGTTGACGCCATTCTCCTGCCTCAGCCTCCTGAGTAGCTGGGACTACAGGCGCCTGCCACCATGCCCAGCTAATTTTTTTTATTTTTAGTAGAGACAGGGTTTCACCGTGTTAGCCAGGATGGTCTCAATCTCGTGACCTCGTGATCCACCTGACTTAGCCTCCCAAAGTACTAGGATTACAGGCGTGAGCCACCGCACCCGGCCTACATTTGCAATTTTAAGTTACTCTTTATCACTGAGGTCACAGACTTCCAACCATTCCTCTCATGTGAGAAGGTGCTTCTTGAGGAATTCAAACCTAAAATGTGCTGTGATGTCCTGCAGAAATCTGTCTTCCCCTCTATGAACAGAAAAGCACAACTCGAACATACAGGAATTCTATGGTTTCCTACCCCTCAAAACACCAGTCCTGGGCCAGGTGAAGTGGCTCACACGCCTGTAGTCCCAGGGCTTTGGGAATTCGAGACCAGTCTGGGCAACATAGCAAGACCCAATCTCTTAAAAGCAAAACCAAACAAAAAACGCCAGAGCACTCTTAGGGTTCATCTCAAAGTCCATTTCCTGTTTGGTCTCACTTGTTGAAGCTTAACAGGCAGATAGAGAATAGATCCATCAAACGCAGTGACGTTGCCGGTGACAGCTTGATGGTCCTTCAACATGCCGAACCTCATGCTTTTGCACTCCACATTGGGGCTGGAAAATAATGAAGAGGATTTTCCTTTAACTTGACTCAAACTGCAATCTTTACCAGAGCTGTGCAACAGGTGCTAGTTACCCAGTAACTGCTGCTCCATCTAGCGGGCATATTAAAAATTATCTATCTGCCTAGAACTTTGACTCAAGAAGACCTGCTCGCAGCTGAAACATCAGAAACCATAGGTCATAAAAAAATAAAAACCACCAAATCCTACCACCAAAGGACACCTGCCTTAGCACGTCAGTGTATATTCTTTCATATATACACATTTGTTTTTGAGACGGAGTCTCGCTCTGCCGCCCAGGCTGGAGTGCAGTGAAGCCATCTCAGCTCACTGCAATCTCCACCTCCCAAGTTCAAGTGACTCTCCCTTTGTTTCCTTAACATTTGTCACTCCATTTTAAGAGGAAGACTTCTCCCCATCTCCCTTTTTTTTTTTGAGATAGGGTCTTCCTTTGTCACCCAGGCTGAAGTACACTGGCATGATCATAGCTCACTGCCATCTCAAACTCCTGGGCTCAAGTGATCCTTCTGCCTCAGTCCCCCAAGTAACTGGGACTATAAGGGTACCACCACACCTGACTAAAAAAAAATTTTTTTTTGCCCTGGCTCGGTGGCTCATGCCTGTAATCCCAGCACTTTGGGAGGCCGAGGTGGGTGATCACTTGAGGCCAGGAGTTCAAGATCACTCTGGCCATCACGGTGAAACCCTGTTCTACTAAAAATACAAAAAAATTAGTGGGGTGTGGTGGCATGTGGTTGTAATCCCAGTTACTCGGGAGGCTGAGGCATGAGAATCATTTCAGCCTGGGAGATGGAGGTAGCACTGAGGCAAGACTGTGCCACTGCACTCCGGCCTGCGCAACAGAGTGAGACTCTGTCTCAAAATAAATAAATAAATAAAATTTTTTGTTGTTGTTACCTAAGACAGTCTGGAACTCCTAGCCTCAAGCAACTCTCCCTCCTCGGCCTCCCTAAGTGCTGGGATTACAGACGTGAGCCACTGCATGCAGCCCTCTCCCCTCTGTTTAATGCTCACCTCTTTGCTGTATGTTTCACAACAAGCCTGTTTCCTGGGATCCAATTTCCCCCACTTTTCTGGCTACTTCCCTCTACCTGTTGTATGTGCTCAGCTCCGCTTTCTTACCTCATAGAAACTATTACAGCAATCCTGTTGCCTTCTATAATTATTCCATTTCTCATTCCTCTTATAAACTTTTTAAATGAGTGGCCAAGTCAGTGGCTACTTCTCATGGCCTATGCCCTCCTTTGTGCTTTTCATCTTTCCTTTTTTTTCTCTACAACTGTAACAAAACTGCTAGAAGATCACAACACCCTCAACAAGCAAATTCAGTTGCTTTTTTTCCTGTGGCCAAAGTCAACCACCTTCTCATTACCTTCATTCAAAAGAGTCCTTCCTTTGGTCTTTATAACATACCTTCAGAATATTTTCTCCCTAACTGTTCCTTTCTCCTCTCTTTCACTCCACTTCTTCCTCTTGTGTCATCAACTAGCAGCTGCCCTTCACAAATTCAGCCTTCCTAGTATAGCTACCTTTAGAAATAGTATAGAAGTTTCTGGCCAGGCATGGTGGCTCATGCCGGTAATCCCAGCACTTTGGGAGGCCGAGGCAGGTGGATTACTTGAGGTCAGGAGTTTGAGACCAGCCTGGTCGACATGGCAAAACCCCGACTCTACTAAAAAAAATACAAAAATTAGCCAGGCATGGGGGCGCTTGCCTATAATCCCAGCTACTAGGGAGGCTGAGGCAAGAGAATTGCTTGAACCTTGGAGGCAGAGGTTGCAGTGAGCTGAGATTGCACCACTGCACTCCAGCCTGGGTGACAGATTGAGACCCTGTCTCAAAAGAAAAAAAAAAGAAATAGTATGGAAGTTTCTTAAAAAAACTAAAAATAGTACTAATATGATCCAACAATCCCACTTCTTGGTATTTATCCAAAGGAATTGAAATCAGTGTGTCAAAGAGATATATGTGCACTCCCATGTTCACTGCAGCACTGTTCACAACAGGCAAGACGTGGAATCAATCTAAGTGTCCACTGAATGGATAAAGTGGTATACATACACAACGGAATACTATATAGCCTTTAAAAAGAAGTACATCCTGTCATATGTGACAGTATGAAAGGATCTGGAGAGTATTATGGTAAGTGAAATAAGATAGGCACAGAAAGACAAATACCATCTGATCTCACTCATATATGGAATCTAAAAAAGTTGAACTCATTGTGAACAGAGAGTAGGAAGGTGGCTACCAGAGGCTGGGGGTTGAGGGGTATGGAGAAATGGCAGATGTTGGTTAAAATGTACAAAGTTTCAGATAGACAGGTGGAGTAAGTTTTAGTGATCTATGGTAACCATAGTTAACAACAGCGTGTATTTCAAAATTCCTGAAAGAGATTTTAAATGTTTTCACCACAAAAAAACAGTAAGTAGGTGAGGTGACACATATGTCAATTAGCCTGACTTAATCTTTCTACAATGTATACATATACCAAAACATCATCTTGTACTCATACATATACACAATTATTTTTCAGTTAAAAAAACTGAGACTTCATCTTCTCATTTTCTTCACAGGTATTTCAAAACACTCATTTTCACAATTCCAGCTAAGAACTTCCAGCTAATGACTCCTCTAAGATATTAAGAGAGAACACAAACTAATATAAACTATTTTTAAATAGTAATAAATCCTAAAATTATTGATATAAAACTGCAGTTATCTTCCTTCATTTTTCTCACCCCTAAATTTAACCCTAGACTGTCACTAGAGAGATGTCAGATGTTGGTATGATGGCTCATGCAGGAAAGGATCCAGGTTTCATAGGGCATGGATTTCACACCACTGATGGGGGAGGGGGGAGGGTTCTTTAAGAAAAAGAATACAAAATTACACATACAAAATAAGTTAAAAGATCATGGAAGACACCTAATGCAAGTTTTAAAAGGCCCTGAACTTAAGCTTCATTAATTTCACATTAAATTAACTTCTAGCCTCATGTATAAATCTACACCCTATGAAGTTAAAATCGAGATTGGTAATATAGCTAAATACATACACAAAGTTTAAGATTAACCTTAAACTTCCTGTAAGGATCTGAGTAAACACATTATTGCATTGAGACGTCCACCAGGAACTGTCCAGGACAATATT